>NC_000016.10:67289772-67592803 GCF_000001405.40 Homo sapiens | reverse complement strand
CCACCCACCTCGGCCTCCCAAAGTGCTGAGATTACTGACGTTGAGCCAGTCACCAACGCCTGGCCTCTGTAAGTATCTTTTTTTGATGTTGTTGTTTTTGAGACGGAGTCTCACTCTGTCACCCAGGCTGCAGTGCAGTGGCACGATCTTGGCTCACTGCGACTTCCGCCTCCTGGGCTCAAATAATTCTAATGTCTCAGCCTCCCGAGTGGCTGGGACTACAGGCGCATGCCACCATGCCGGCTAATTTTTATATTTTTAGTAGAGACAGGGTTTCACCATACTGGTCAGGATGGTCTCAAACTTCTGAGCTCTGGTGATCCTCCCACCTCAGCCTCCTAAATTACTGGGATTACAGGCATGAGCCACTGTGCCTGGCCTTATTTATTTTTTTAGACAGATTCTTGCTCTGCCACCCAGGCTGGAGCGCAGTGGCACAATCCCGGCCACTGCAACCTCTGCCTCCAGGGTTCAAGCAATTCTCCTGCCTCAGCCTCCTGAGCAGCTGGGATCACAGGCGTACACCACTATGCCCAGCAAATTTTTGTATTTTTAGTAGAGACAGGGTTTCACTATGTTGGCCAGGCTGGTCTCAAACTCCTGACCTCAGGTGATGTGCCCGCCTCATCCTCCCAAAGTGCTGGGTTTACAGGTGTGAGCCACTGCGTCCAGTCGATAGATCTTTACATTAGAAAAATGTTGACTGAAAAGCTTAGTCTGGTATTCTCACTATACAGAATGTTAAATGACATTAGGACAAGGAGGGGAAAAAAAGCAATTATAAGTCATCAGGTCGGGCACAGTGGCTCACACATATAATCCCAGTACTTGGGGAGGCAGAGCCAAGAGAATCGTTTGAGCCCAGGAGTTCAAGACCAGCCTGAGCAACATAGTGAGACCTTGTCTCCATTAAAAATTAAAAAAAAAATTAGCTAGGTATGATGGCATCCATCTGTAGTCCCAGCTACTCGGGACTGAGGCGGGAGGATCGCCTGAGCCCAGGCTGCAGTAAGCTATCATCACACCACTGCATTCCAGTCTGAGTGACAGCGCAAGACTCTGTGCCCTTACTGCCCCCCCCCAAAAAAAGTAATCAGTTTTTCCTGAGGATGAAAGGAAAAGCTAAGTAACTTTTACTAGATGCAGGACACTAGCCAAAACGAATAAAAGTTATTAACTCTTTTAGAGTAAAAGCTAGGTTTAAAAGTTAAACAAAATAACCATTTTACTCTGCTATTCCTGAAAACATATACGCCATCATCTTATCTGAGAGCTTAAAATACATCAAAGCAAAGTATCAGTGAACTAGTACCAGGAAAGTTGTAGACTACAATAAAGAATGAGGAGGAGTTGAATTGGGAGAATAACTTGGGCTGAGAAGCAGAAAAATAATAGTGACCATTTCTTTCACAGTGACTGGGAACGGAAGCAGCCTTTATCTGAAAAAGCACTCATCTATTTAATCACAACTGTACCTCTCACTTCTCTGACATTAATTTTCATTTATTTTTTGAGACAGAGTCTCGCTCTGTCACCCAGGCTGGAGTGCAGTGGTGAGATCTTGGCTCACTGCAATCTCTGCCTCCTGTGTTCAAGCAATTCTCAGCCTCAGCCTCCTGAGTAGCTGGGATTACAGGCACGCATCACCACGACTAGCTAATTTTTGTATTTTTCGTAGAGATGGGGTTTCATCATGTTGGCTAGGCTAGTCTCAAACTCCTGACCTCAAGTGATCTGCCCGCCTCGGCCTCCCAAAGTGCTGGGATTACGGTGGCTCACGCCTGTAATCACAGCATTTGTGTGAGCCACCCAGTCCAGCATTTTTTTTTTTTTTTTTTTTTTTGAGACAGAGTCTCACTCTGTCATCCAGGCTGGAGTGCAATGGTGCCATCTCAGCTTACTGCAACCTCCACCTCCCGGGTTCAAGCGATTCTCCCGCCTCAGCCTCCCAAGTAGCTGGGATTGATTACAGGCACCAAACATCATGTCCGGCTAATATTTGTATTTTTAGTAGAGACAGGGTTTCGCCATGTTGGCCACGCTGGGCTTGAGCTTCTGACCTCAGCTGATCCACCCTCCTCAGCCTCCCAAAGTGCTAGGATTACAGGTGTGAGCCATCACACCTGGCCGATCACCGTGCTCGGCCAATTTTTAAAAGAACAGTTAGGGCCGGGCACGGTGGCTCACGCCTGTAATCCCAGCACTTTGGGAGGCCGAGGTGGGCAGATCACAAGGTCAGGAGATCGAGACCATCCTGGCTAACACAGTGAAACCCTGTCTCTACTAAAAAAATAAAAATAAAAAATTATAAAATAACAGGGCTTTTTGTATGTGTGTGTGTAGAAATAATTAAAAGGGAAATGAAAATGTTTCTTCTAAGTTAAAAAAAAAGTTAAGAGCATTCTAGTATTTTGTTAACAATCTCCCCTCCCATTTGTTAATATTAAAGGGTATGGTCAAAACAAAACAATTATTCTAACAGCTACTTGAAGAAAGCCCACTGAAGCTTTGAATCTAGGAAATACGTACTAATAAAATATTTGTAATGGCAACAGTGAAACTAGTATGGGAGGAGGGGAAGGAGTTCTTTTGCTACAAAGAATAATAAAGGCTAGACAATAATTCTTTCGCCAAAAGGTGGCTGACGCTGCTGTAGAAAGGAACTCTCTTCTTTAAAAAAAAAAAAAAAAGTTCTAACTGTTCTTTTTCTTTTTTTGAGACGGAGTTTCGCTCTTGTTGACCAGTCTGGAGTGCAATGGCGCCATCTTGGCTCACTGCAACGGCCGCCTCCTGCGTTCAAGTGATTCTCCTGTCTCAGCCTCCTGAGTAGCTGGGACTACAAATGCCCACCATCATGCCAGGCTAATTTTTGTATTTTTAGTAGAGATAGGGTTTCACCATGTTGGCCAAGCTGGTCTCAAACTCCTGACCTTAGGTGATCCAGCCATCTTGGTCTCCCCAAATGCCGGTATTACAGGTGTGAGCCACCGCGTCCAGGCTCTTTTTCAAGTTAATGGAAGAAATCGGGTATTAGGTGTTGAAGCGTCATTTGGGGCTGGAGGCAGGGAAGGGAGAGAGAGTACAAGCATATGTACTAGGGGTAGTCTTCAATCAGTACTGTGCTAAAGCTGACTCCCAGATAAGCTTTGTCTTCTGCACGAGGTTCAGTTCTTAGGGAGCTCCTTGTCTGGCAGGCAGAAAGAAAAACAAATAGCAGCTATATAGTGTGATGAGTACTGTAACAACGGTTAACATACTTCCTACCACCCTGGCATAAAGGATGACTTCAGTGGGTGAAGGGCTTTAAGGAAAGGAATTGCTACAGCTGGATATCAAATGATGAGGTGGACCTTGCCTGACAAACTACAGAACAGGTGAACGGTATATAACAAAAATATGTATGGAATTAGACCAATTTTGTGCAGAAGAAATTTAATGTAACTGAGTGGAACTGTATTAAGCCATCTCAAATTAATATTATTATAATTATTTATCTTTTTTAAGAGGTGCGGTCTTGCTCTGTCTCCCAGACTGGAGTGAGCGCAGTAGTGTAATCGTAGCTTGCCACAGCCTTGAACTCCTGGGATCAAGTGCCTCTCTTGCCTCAGCCTCCTGGGTAGTTGGGACACTACAGGCATGCACCACTGCACCCTACTATTTTATTATTATTATTTTGTAGAGGTGGGGTCTTGCTTTGTTGCCTCGGCTGGTCTTGAGCTTCTGGCTTCAAACAATCTTCCTGCCTCAGCCTCCCAACATGTTGGGATTATGGGCATGAGCCATTACACCCAGGCCTCAAATTTATTATTTTGAGGCTGGGCACGGTGGCTCACGCCTGTAATCCCAGCATGTTGGGAGGCCAAGGCGGGTGGATCACTTGAGGTTAGAAGTTCGAGACCAGCCTGGCCAACATAGCGAAACCCTGTCTCTACTAAAAAAAAATACAAAAATTAGCCGGGTGTGGTGGCGTGCACCTGTAATCCCAGCTACTTGGGAGGCTGATGCATGAGAATCGCTTGAACCCAGGAGGTGGAGGTTGCAGTGAGCTGAGTTCACGCCACTGCACTCTAGTCTGGGGTACAGAGTGAGAATCTGTATCAAAAAAATATATATTATTTTGATGTGGTTTCAGAGCCCTCTGTTAAGGGTAGCCTGTTTATTTCACTTATTGAACATTTACAAAGATAATGCTCATCTGTGAGTCAACATTGGTGCCATAGTACCAACAGGAGGCTGCCTCCCAAGTACATGCTGTCCTCTCTCTGCTCTCCATAGCCCAAATGACACTTTTGCTGGTGTAGAGTAACCTAAGCTTCACTTTCTGTTCCCCTAATAAGAGACTATGTTAGAGACCACCAGATCCCTCCTTGCCACACTGCAGACCCATATCCCTGGAAGCAGCTCAGAGTTAGACCGTCTTTGGAGCAGCCCTACAGTCTTTTCATCACTTGGAATAGGAGAAAGACTGAGAATCTATAGCAAGTCTATCACCTTGAATAAATGTATTACAAAATAGGAATAAACTACACACACATAATGCAGGATTTACACAACACCTAACAGGTACTTTTATGAATTTTGGACAGATGCTGCCTGAGCAATGATTCCCAAACCTATTCTGGTGAGCTTTAAAAAATATAGATCCTGGCTGGGCGCAGTGGCTCATCCCTGTAATCCCAGCACTTTGGGAGACCGAGGCAGGTGAATCACCTGAGGTCAGGAGTTCGAGACCAGCCTGTCCAACATGGTGAAACCCCGTCTCTACTGAAAATGCAAAAATTAGCCAGGCGTGGTGGTGGGCGCCTGAAATCCCAGCTACTCAGGAGGCTCAGTCAGGAGAACTGCTTGGACCTGGGAGGCAGAGGCTGAAGTGAGCCAAGATTACGCCACTGCATCCCAGCCTGGGTGACTCTGTCTCAAAACAAAACAAAACAAACAACAACAAAAAAACTACAAAGCCTATCTCAAAACTAATATAATTCTCACATAAGCAATAACAGAATGTATGACTCAATGAGTCTTTTGTCTTTTTCCCCCTTTTTGTGGAGAATGGGGTCTTGCTATGTCACCCAGGCAGGTCCTGAACTCCTGGGCTCAAGCTATCCTCCTGCCTCTGCTTCCCTAAGTGCTGGTATCACAGGTGTGAGCCACTGTGCCAAGCAGAGTAAGCCTTGAAGTTTCACTTCTATTTTGGGTACAACCAATATTTAACAATCTCTAGGTAGTAAGGACAATCTGTAGGCATGAAAGAAGGGAAAAAGAAAAAAAAAAAACCCTGCAGAAATGGGCACACATGATAGGGTGAACTGTCATGGTTTTTATTTTTATAAATAAAAATGTCTCTGTAACCCAGGACTCACCTCATGAAGGCTACTTAGTAAAACCAAGACAACTTTTATTTGGTAAAGGGGTTGTCCTGTAAAGTTAACATTAAATCAGAAGCTAACAGTTTAAATAACAACAATGGATACTTGTACCAAATAGCAATGTGGTAATAATAAATAGCAATATAATGTCTTCGACAACAATCAAGAAAATTATTGGCTGGGCAGGGTGGCTCACGCCTACCATTCCAGCACTGCAGGAGGCCGAGGCAAGAGGATTGCTTGTGCCCAGAATTTTGAGGCTGCAGCAAGCTGTGATCATGCCAGCCTGGGCGACAGAGCGAGACCCTGTCTCCAAAAAAAAAAAAAAAAAAAAAAATGTTTAAGAAGTTACCTACCCTAAAATGACATCTTTAGCAAGTAGCAGGCCAGGCACAGTGGCTCACACCTATAAACCCAAGAGATGGGACAAGCCTAAGCAACATGGCAAAACCTTGTCTTTACAAAAAGATACAAAAACTAGTCAGGCATGGTGGTGCGGGCCTGTAGTCCCAGCTACTCAGGAGGCTGAGGCGGGAGGATTGCAGGCGCCCAGGAGCCAGAGGTTGCAGTGAGCTGAGATTGTGCCACTGCACTCCAGCCTGGACCAGAAAGTGAGACCCTGTCTCAAAAAAAACCCAAAACAACAACAAAAGAGTATAGCAGCATAAGATATGGATAATAAAGCATTACTGAATAGCTATGAAGAATAAAAGAGGCTGAAAAAACAAAGATACACATGTAGAAGTTTAAACAACAAAAGAAACAAAATGTTACTTTGTTTTTTTTTTGAGACACAGTCTGGAACCTCCACCTCCCAGGGGGTTCAAGCAATTCTTGTGCCTCAGCCTCCCTAGTAGCTGGGAATACAGGGGCCATGCCCAGGAAATTTTTTTTTTTTTTTTGAGACGGAGTCTCACTCTGTCGCCCAGGCTGGAGTGCAGTGGCGCGATCTCGGCTCACTGCAACCTCTGCCTCCCGGGTTCAAGCAATTCTCTGCCTCAGCCTCCTGAGTAGCTGGGATTACAGGCGCCTGCCACCATGCCCAGCTAATTTTTTTGTATTTTTAGTAGAGACAGGATTTCACCATCTTGGCCAGGCTGGTCTCGAATTCTTGACCTTGTGATCCACCCGCCTCGGCCTTCCAAAGTGCTGGGATTACAGGTGTGAGCCACCACGCCTGGCCTAATTTTTTGTATTTTTGGTAGAAATGGGGTTTTCTATGTTGGCCAGGCTGTTCTCAAACTCCTGGCCTCAAGTGCTCCACCTGCCTTGGCCTCCCAAAGTGCTGGAATTATAGGCGTGAGCCACTGCACCCAGCCTCAAAATGTTACTTTGAACCAAGATGATTAAAACAAGTAATTTGTCAACTTGGTTACTTCTTAGAAATATTGAAACAAACATGTATAGGCAACAAAAAAATGCAGGCAATACCATAACCAAGAAATTGCATGGGGGTAGGGTGGAGGGCAGGGAGGGTTATATATTTATATACACCCAAAAGACACAATAAAGACAAAGGAAGAAGCAAATACTTTGTTGAACAGGGGGACAGGGAGAAAAAAATTACAAACCAAGAGTCACTATTATTTTATACTCTCAACATAACCTTAAAAATTTTTAAATAGGAGTAGAAAGATATAAGAGATAAAACACAGGAAATACTAAAAAGAATTAGGATATCTTCTGTTATAGAAGAGTTATGTATCATACCTCTGTAAATATGTGATAGTGACCATGCTATTCCAGAGATTTGTTATATTAGAGTTTATTTAAGCAAATAAACAAAAAGTAGTGGTTGGAAAAATTGAAAACTTTCAGTGGTCCAAGTGCACTACATTAAAAACAGAAGTGCTAACCAATACTGCCTGTAAGGATGTTCTGTTCTTATCACATAAAGATTATTGAAGGATTCTGAAAAGTCCTGGGTTAAGAAGATGAGTAAGCTCAAAATCTTATTAGATACTGAACTTTAATATTATCTTCAGTCAGAGCCTAGTAATGCATCATTGCACATGTGGGCAAACTTTTTTAAAGTTGGTAACATTACTGCTCTTGTTGTCTGAAAAATACACACTGAAGACATGTGTAAGACGGGCACGGTGGCTCACGCCTGTAATCCCAGCACTTTGGGAGGCCAAGGTGGGTGGATCACATGAGGTCAGGAGTTTGAGACGAGCCTGACCAACATGGTGAAACCCCGTTCACTACTAAATACAAAAAATTAGCCGGGCATGATGGTGCATGCCTGTAGTCCCAGCTACTTGGGAGGCTGAGGCAGGAGAACTGCTTAAACCCAGGAGGCAGGAGGAGGTTGCAGTGAGCCAAGATTGTGCCACTGCACTCCAGACTGGGCAGTAAGAGCAAAACTCTGTCTAAAAAATAAAAAACAAAACAAAACAAAGACATGCATACTACACCCAAGAGCAATTAATGTACAGCCTCTACATTGTTTTTCTAGACATACACATTGATGCATGTTTTTCTGTCAAAAGAGATTTAAAAAATGAATGTATAAAATAATTAGCTACAGAATCAAATGCAGCAGGAAATTCTGGGAAACCCAAAGACTATTCAGAGCCAGTCTAGGGAAGAACAAAAAAGGCATAAGCACTTGTCCTACATCCATGACCTTAGGTGAATCACTTTGCGTCTTAGTTTTCTTATCTGTAAAATGAAGGGATTGACAGATGACTTAAATTTTCTTTTGGCTTTAATATCCTACAGTTTTATTAGGTTATCAATTTGAGTAATACTTATAGGTAAGAAGGGAACCAGTATCACCACTTTACAGTTTAAAAAAAAAAAGAAGACTGGCCAGATGCGGTGGCTCACGCCTGTAATCCCAGCACTTTGGGAGGCCAAGGCTGGTGGATCATGAGGTCAGGAGTTCAAGACCAGCCTGGCCAAGATGGTGAAACCCTGTCTCTACTAAAAGTACAAAAATTCCACCACGCCTGTAATCCCAGCTACTAGGGAGGCTGAGGCAGGAGAATCGCTTGAACCTGGGGGGCAGAGGTTGCGGTGAGCCGAGATCGTGCCACTGCACTCCAGCCTGGGTGACAGAGCGAGACTCCATCTCAAAAAAAAAAAAAAAAAAAAAGAAGACTTTTTTTTTTTGAGAAGGAGTTCCGTTCGTCATCCAGGCTGGAGCGCAATGGCACCATCTCAGCTCACTGCAACCTCCACCTCCCAAGTTGAAGCAACTCTCCTGCTTCAGTCTCCCGAGTAGCTGGGATTACAGGTGCCCACCACCATGCCCAGCTAGTCTCGAACTCCTGACCTCAGGTGATCCACCCACTTCGGCCTCCAAAGTGCTGGGATTACAGGCATGAGCCACTGCGCCCAGCTGAAGGCAGACATTTTTAAACGACTGCACACAGTGAGGCTGCACACAAGCATGAAGCAAAGAGTGGTTCTCTGGCTTTGCAGTCCCCTTGTCTGTAACCCAGAAATCAGACAGAAGTCTCCAAAACCTAGTTTTCGCTATGCACACCACTAATCGCTAATGCACACCACTCTACTGAGCAGCATTTACATCTGCAGTCCAAGAAATATAAAGCAGAATCCCTGTGTCAGGCAAAAATGCTACAACATAAAATACAACTTACCAGAATGCCCTTTTCTCCCTCCATTAGGATATGTTTTAAACTAGAAAAGCTGCCCGAAAGTCAAGGATTAATCACTGTATACTCTTGCTTACTACTCACCACACAGAGCATCAAGATATATGCTCTTTTGTTTTTTTTTTTTTGAGACCAAAACTCACTCTGTCGCCCAGGCTGGAGTGCAATGGAGCAATCTTGGCTCACGGCAACCTCCACCTTCCAGGTTCAAGTGATTCTCCTGCCTCGGCCTCCCGAGTGGCTGAGATTATAGGCATGCCCCACTACACCCGGCTAAGTTTTGTATTTTCAGTAGAGACAGGGTTTCACCATGTTGGCCAGGCTGGTCTTGAACTCTTGACCTCAGGTGATCCACCTGCCTCAGCCTCCCAAGGTGCTGGGATTACAGGCGTGAGCCACCGCGCCTGGCTAGATATATACTCTTTTCCTCAAAAACCCTCAGCAACCTAGGACATTTTAGGACTCATTTCCTCCTTCCTTATTGGGGAAGATAATGTGTATCATCTACTTCTTTCAAAATAAGAAGTAGGCTGGGCGCCATGGCTCATGCCTGTAATCCTAGCACTTTGAGAGGCCAAGGCTGGAGGATCACTTGAGGTCAGGAGTTAAGAGACCAGCATGGCCAACATGGTGAAACCTCATCTCTACTAAAAATACAAAAAATTAGCCAGGCGTGGTAGTTGGTGCCTGTAATCCCAGCTACTTGGGAGGTTGAGGCAGGAAAATCACTTGAACCTGGGAGGCGGAGGTTGCAGTGAGCCGAGATCGCACCACTGCACTCCATCCAGCCTGTGCAACAGAGCAAAACTCCGTCTCAAAAAAAAAAAAAAAGAAAAATAAGAAAAAAAAGAAATTGGAGATTTAAGTTCAGTGTGTGAAAAATGTGTAGAGTATTTACAGCTATATACGTGATAGGATAATCTACATAGCTGTTAACTAAGACAGACCTCTATGTCACCCTATCTGTAAGTCATTAAACCAGCAAATATCTACCACTTAGAAAACAAGAACAGGACCAAAAAAGGTTTGATTAAAAAAAAAATCTCAAAGTCTATGCACTCAAATTTACAATAAACTTGGCTCTCAGAGTCAATGTTCATATTTTATTTAATTTATTTTTTTGACACAGAGTCTCACTCTGTTGCCCAGGATGGAGTGCAGTGGCGCGATCTCGGCTCACTGCAACCTCTGCCTCCCAGGTTCAAGTGATTCTTGTGCCTGAGCCTCCCAAGTAGCTGGGATTACAGGCACCCACCACCATATTCGGCTGATTTTTATATTTTTAGTAGAGACCGAGTTTCATCATGTCGCCCAAGCTGGTCTTAAACTCCTGAACTCAAGCGATCCGTTCGCCTCAGCCTCACAAAGTACTGGGATTACAGGCATGAGCCACCCTGCCTGGCCAATGCTCGTATTTTAGAAATAATTCAATTAATGAGGAATAGGTAGAAACAACATACTAGAGGCAAAAAGTCAGGGCAAACAAGGACTGCTATGCCCAAAGGAACAGTTCAGAAAACTAAAGCATGCACACATGCCACTTAACATCCAACAACAAAGTTCCTACTAATTTGAAGTAACAGAAGATTTTTTTTTTTTTTTTTGAGACGGAGTCTTGCTCTGTGGCCCAGGCTGGAGTGCAGTGGCACGATCTCGGCTCACTGCAAGCTCCGTTCATGCCATTCTCCTGCCTCAGCCTCCCCAGTAGCTGGGACTACAGGTGCCCACCACCACACCCAGCTAATTTTTTGTTTTAGTAGAGACGGGGTTTCACCGTATTAGCCAGGATGGTCTCCATCTCCTGACCTCGTGATCCGCCAGCCTCGGCCTCCCAAAGTGCTGGGATTACAGGCATGAGCCACTGCACCCGGCCAACAAAAGATATCTAACAGAGGCTGTGTGAGGTGGCTCACACCTGTAACCCCAGCACTTTCGGACGCTGAGGCAGGTGGATCAACATCAGCCCAGTCAACATGACAAAACGCTGTCTCCACTAAAAACACAAAAATTAGCGCTGTGTGCTATGGCTCACGTCTGTAATCCCAACACTTTGGGAGGCCGAGGTGGGTGGATCACCTGAGGTCAGGAGTTCTAGACCAGCCTGGCCAACGTGATAAAACCTCATCTCTACTAAAAGTACATGATTAGCCGGGTGTGGTGGTGCACGACTGTAATCCCATCTACTCCGGAGGCTAACGAAGGAGAATCGCTTGAACCTGGGAGGCGGAGGTTGTAGCGAGCCAAGATCGTGCCACCACACTCCAGACTGGACAACAGAGGAAGACTCTGTCTGAAAAAGATAAATAAAATAAAAATAAAATAAAATAAGCCAGGCCTAGTGGAGCATGTCTGTAATCCCAGCTACTTGGGAGGCTAAGGCACAAGAATCACTTGACCCCAGGAGGCAGAGGTAGCAGTGAGCCTAGATCATGCCACTGCACTCCAGCACGGGAGACGGAGTGAGACTGTCTCAAAAAAAAAAAAAAGAAAAAGATCATCTAACAGGAAAAACGTTCACAACACGCAGCAAGGTTACAAAGGAGGATGCAGAATAGGATTCCAACCTAATTAAAAATAAGTAAGGCCGGGCCAGGTGCAGTGGCTCACGCCTGTAATCCCAGCACTCTGGGAGGCCGAGGCAGGTGGATCAGGAGGTCAGCAGATCGAGACCATCCTGGCTAACACGGTGAAACCCCGTCTCTACTAAAAACACAAAAAATTAGCTGGGTGCGGTGGCGGGTGCCTGTAGTCCCAGCTTCTCGGGAGGCTGAGGCAGGAGAATGGCGTGAACCCGGGAGGTGGAGCTTGCAGTGAGCCAAGATAGCGCCACTGCACTCCCGCGTGGGCGAAAGAGCGAGATTCCATCTCAAAAATAAATAAATAAATAAAAAATAAGTAAATCCTGGTGCGGTGGCTCACGCCTGTAATCCCAGCACTTTGGGAGGCCGACGTGGGTGGATCACCTGAGGTCAGGAGTTCTAGACCAGCCTGGCCAACATGGTGAATCCCTGTCTCTACTAAAAAAAA
Organism: Homo sapiens; assembly: GCF_000001405.40. NCBI lineage: Eukaryota > Metazoa > Chordata > Mammalia > Primates > Hominidae > Homo > Homo sapiens. The sequence goes on along the minus strand of NC_000016.10, from coordinate 67,580,787 downwards.
AAAAAAAAAAAAAAATTTGGCCAGGCGTTGGGGCAGGTGCCTCTACTAAAAGTACAAAATTAGCCGAGTGTGGTGGTGCACGCCTGTAATCCCAGCTACTCTGGAGGCCGAGGCAGGAGAATCACTTGAACCCGGGAAGCAGAGGCTGCAGTGAGCTGAGATTGAGCCACTGCACTCCAGCCTGGTGGACAAGAGCGAGACTTCGTCTCAAAAATAATAAATAAATAAATAAATACATAAATAAATAAAATAAAAATAAAATACATAAATAATTAAAAAACTAAGCTGGGCATGGTGGCTCACACCTGTAATCCCAACACCTTGGATGGCCTGGGAGGAGGGGATTGCTTGAGGCCAGGAGTTGAAGGCCAGCCTGGGCAACACAGTAAGACCCCATCTTTACAAAAAAAATTAGCTGGGCCTGGTGATACGCACCTACACTCCTAGCTACTCAGGAGCTTGAGGCCAGATGATCACTTAAGGCCAGGAGTTCAAGGTTATAGTGAGCTATGATCACACCACAGCACTCTAGCCTGGGCAACAGAGCGAGAGTCTGTCTCTAAATTAATTTAAAATAATCATTATAATTTAACAAACTAGACAAACAGCAATCCCAGTTATCCCACCTTAAGTCAGGACAGCATTACATCTTGCATGGACCAATGCAATGGCCTTCTAAACAGTTTCCCTGCTTCCCCTCTTGCTCCATTACCCACCATTTTTCACACAGCGGCCACGGATTTCTAAAATGTAAATCCATTATCAGCAAGAAGACTTCCCTTCTGAAACCACCATGCTGAAAACTCTTAAAGTCCAAACTCTTTCACATGGCCTACCAAGTGCTTCAGGGCCCTATCAGCAGATCTGCATCCAGCCTGACATACTCGCCTCTAATCACACTGAACTTCTTTCAGTAGCCAGAACATTCTAGGTCTTTCCTTTCCTGCCTCTGGGCCTTTGTACATGCCATTCCCTCTTCTAGGAATATACAAGCAATTCTCTATGTTTACACTAGTACACGAGCCTAAAGATGTGTATATAAGAAGGCTATCTACTACTAGGGTATTTTTCTCTAATGGCAAAAGATTAAAAACAAGCTGGGCGTGGTGGCTCATACCTGTAATCCCAGCACTTCAGGAAGCCTGGGCAGTTGGGAGGCCAGGGCAATTGGGAGGCCGAGGCAGGTGGATCACCTGAGGTCAGGAGTTTGAGACCAGCCTGGCCAACATGACGAAACCCTGTATCTACTAAAAATACAAAAATTAGCCGGGCATGGTGGCATGTGCCCATAATCCCAGCTACTCGGGAGGCTGAGACAAGAGAATCGCTTAAACCTGAGAAGCAAGGATTGCAGTGAGCCGAGATCACGGCACTGCACTCCAGCCTAGGTGACAGAGCAGCAAGACTCCGTCTCAAATAAAAAAAAAACAAAAAAAAACAAAGATTGAAAACAACTCAAACGTCTAGAACAACGTGTATAGTAAGCTACTATTTGTGCTTTATTTTTTATTTTTATTATTTATTTATTTATTTTGAGACGGAGTTTCACTCTTGTTGCCCAGGCTGGAGTGCAATGGCGATCTCGGCTCACTGCAACCTCCACCTCCCAGGTTCAAGCGATTCTCCTGCCTCAGCCTCCCGAGTAGCTGAGATTACAGGCGTGTGCCACCACACTCCGCTAATTTTTGTATTTTTAGTAGAGATGGGGTTTCACCATGTTGGTCAGGCTGGTCTTGAACTCCTGACCTCAGGTGATCCACGCACCTTGGCCTCCCAAAGTGCTGGGATTACAGGCGTGAGCCACCACGCCCGGCCTTTTATTTTTATTTATTTATTTTTGAGACGAAGTCTTGCTCTTGTCCCCCAGGCTGGAGTGCAATGGTGCAATCTCGGCTCACTGCAACCTCCACTTCCCGGGTTGAAGCGATTCTCCTGCCTCAGCCACCTGAGTAGCTGAGATTACAGGCGCCTGCCACCACGCCCAGCTAATTTTTGTATTTTTAGTAGAGATGGGGTTTCACCATGTTGGCCAGGCTGGTCTCGAATTCCTGACCTCAGGTGATCCGCCTGCCTCGGCCTCCCAAAATGCTGAGATTACAGGCGTGAGACACCATGCCCGGCCTATTTGTGCTTTTTTAAAAAGATACATAAACTTGGCCAGGCACATTGGCTCATGCTTGTAATCACAGCAATTTGGGAGGCCGAGGTGGGTGGAACACTTGAGGCCAGGAGTTCGAGACCAGCCTGGCCAACACGGTGAAATCCCATCTCTACTAAAACTACAAAAATTCGCTGGGCATGGCCGCACATGTGTGTAATCTCAGCTACTTGGGAGGCTGAGGCACAAGAATCACTTCAACTCAGGAGGTAGAGGTTGCAGTGAGCCAAGATCACGTGTCTCACTCCAGCCTGGGCAACAGAGTGAAAACCCTGTCTCAAAAAAAAAAAAAAAAAAAAAAAAAGATACATAAACTCATACATTTGAATATACGCAGAATTTTCTTTGGATGGATACATCAGAAATTGGTATTTATTGCCTCTGAGGAAGAAAAATGAGAGATCAGAGGCAAGACTGAGGATTACTTTTCATTATTAACATTTTGCACTGTTTGAAGTATTTCCCCCTCATGTTCTTACATTAAATGTGGTGGTTACAGAAAATTTCCATAGCACAATTATATTTTGTTTAAAAAGTTGTATTATATGTACATGCCTGTTAATAAAAGTGCAAAGTCAACACACCAGACTATTAATAGTCTTCAGCTCTGGGAAAACAAAGTTAAGGGATTCTTTAGGTTCTAATGTAATTCTACAATCATTAGACTCTTCCAAAGAATGAAACTAAACATTACTTGGGTAATATTTAAACAAAGTTTAAGACCAAATTTAAGTGAGGATCACTGCAAGAACTGCCTCTGCAACCTCAATCCCCTCTAACAGCTGGGCAGATGCAGGAGCTTCCTCCTGCCTTACTCTCCTCCTGGCTGCACTTCTATAACTGTTCCAGTGGCCCTCTCGATTCCACTCAAGAAGTCTAGACTGGCTGGGAGCGGTGGCTCACGCCTGTAATCCCAGCACTTTGGGAGGCCGAGGTGGACGGATCACAAGGTCAGGAGATGATGAGACCATCCTGGCTAACACAGTGAAATCCCGTCTCTACTAAAAAAAATACAAAAAAAAAAATTAGGCAGGCGTGGTGGCAGGCGCCTGTAGTCCCAGCTACTCAGGAGGCTGAGGCGGGGGAATGACATGAACCCGGGAGGCGGAGCTTGCAGTGAGCCAATATCGCACCACTGCACTCCAGCCTGGGCAACAGAGCGAGACTCCATCTCAAAAAATAAAAAAAAAAAAAGAAGTCTAGACATTACTGCCAAGTAAACTAGGCAAAAACACCTTTTATCATTTCATTATCCTTTTTTTTTTTTTTTTTGAGACAGAGCCTCCCAGGTTCACACCATTCTCCCACCTCAACCTCCTCAAGTAGCTGGGACTACAGGCGCCCGCCACCATGCCTGGCTAATTTTTGTATTTTTAGTAGAAACGGGGTTTCACTGTGTTAGCCAGGATGGTGTCGATCTCCTGACCTCGTGATCCGCCCACCTCGGCCTCCCGAAGTGCTGGGATTACAGGTGTGAGCCACCACGCCCGGCCCATTTCATTACCTTTATCAGAAAGTTTCAGTGCTACTTCCTACTGTACTGCATTCCCTTTTCCTTTAAAAATTATGCAATACAGGCAACAGGAGAAAGCTTAAAGAAACCTACCTATAGGTTTTATACACACATTCTGGCTTATATCCAAATTCGCAGTCCCCTCCCCAATATATACATATACTTACTCTCACGAGATCATACCATACATATTGTTTGATAATCTGCTTTCTTTGTACTTTGTTTCAAATATCTTGCCATTTCAACATATTTTTTATACATAATGGCTACACAACATTCTATTATAAGGCCAGGCACGGTGGCTCACGCCTGTAATCCCAGCACTTTCGGAGGCAGAGGCAGGCGGATTACGAGGTCAGGAGATCCAGACCATCCTGGCTAACATGGTGAAACCCCATCTCTACTAAAAACACAAAAAATTAGCGGTTCTAGCTACTCAGGAGGCTGAGGCAAGAGAATGGTGTGAAGCCGGGAGGCGGAGTTTGCAGTGAGCAGAGATCGTGCCACTGCACTCCAGCCTAGGTGACAGAGGGAGACACCATCTCAAAAAAAAAAAAAAAAAAAAACATTCTATTATAGGGATGTATCATAATTTAACCAGTCACCTATTGTTAAATATTTTTATAGCCAGATTTTGGTAATTCTGCTTTAATCTAAGAAAAGAAAAAAAGTATTTGCATTAAAAAAAATTACACAAACTATACAAAACCAACAAAAAGTGACCCCCAAACCAAACTACCCTCACACTACTAGTTTTGACTGATGATTTCCACGTCTGTTTAGTCTTTTTTCCCTAGGCATTCATTCATCCAAATAATTACTTATTGAGCTTCTGCTATACGCCAGGTTTTAGTTTGGGATTTTCTTTACTTTTATTCCATAATAATTAACTTTTTGGTATTATGCTATTAAAAAACCTCTCTCATAAGCATTTTGCTGGTTAACAGCCTTCCGTTTTTTTTTTTTTTTTTTTTTTAAGACAGGGTCTCACTCTGTCACCCAGGCTAGAGTGCATGCAGCCTTAACCTCCTGGGCTCAGGTGATCCTCCCATCTCAGCCTCCCAAGTAGCTGAGACTACAGGTGTGCACCACCACACCTGGCTACATTTTTTTTTTTTTTTTTTTTTACAGACAAGGTCTCACTAAGTTGCCCAGGCTGACATTCATCTTTTTAAATGGGTTAGGGTTTTATATCCCTTGCAACATGCAACGAGACCTTGTTTTCTTACCCACTTCTCTACTGCTCAACAGATTTTCTGATAAATCTAACCCATTTTCCTATGGCACAATATTTCCGTTTAGTTCATTAACATTTGTATTATCTGGTGGTCATCGAAGTTCAGTTTAATGCAAAATATATACAATAACCAACTTGGCTGGGCGCGGTGGCTCACGCTTGTAATCCCAGCACTTTGGGAGGCCAAGGTGGGCGGATCACCTGAGGTCAGGAGTTTGAGACCAGCCCAGCCAATATGGTGAAACCCCGTCTCTACTAAAAATACAAAAATTAGCTAGACATGGTGGCGCACCTGTAGTCCTAGCTATTCAGGAGGCTGAGGCAGGAGAATCGGTTGAACCCGGGAAGCAGAGGCTGCAGTGAGCCGAGATTGCACCACTGCACTCCAGCCTGGCGACAGAGCGAGACTCCATCTCTCAAAAAAAAAGAGGAAAGGGAAGCCCAAGGAAGTCACCTCTAATAGAACTGCCCTGCCCAAGGCCATATAGCTATTAAGCTGCATGGCCAGGACTTGGAGTCCTAATGGGATTAAAATAAAATTCATCCTCCCAAAGTGCTGGGATTATAAGCATGAGCCACCACGCCCAGCCTCAGAAAACTTAATTCTTACTTACTTATTTGTTTATTGAGACAGGGTCTTACTCTGTCACCCAGGCTGAATGAAATGCAGTGGTGGGACCACGGCTCATTGCAACCTCAACCTTCTCAGCTCAGACGATCCTCCGGCCTCAGCCTCCTGAATAGCTAGGACTACAGGCATGCAACACAACGCGTGACTAAAGAAAATGTAATTCTTTTTTTTTCCTCTATCCACAAGGACATATGGAAAAAATGTAATTCTTAAATGCCACTTATGTTAAGAGCAATATGTTAATAACAATACTTAGTAATTGTAAAACACACAGTTAAGAATAGATGCTTTTGGCTGGGCGCAGTGGCTCACGCCTGTAATCCCAGCACTTTGGGAGGCCGAGGCAGGCAGATCAAGAGGTCAGGAGATCAAGACCATCCTGGCTGACAAGGTGAAACTCTGTCTCTGCTAAAAATACAAAAATTAGCTGGGTGTGGTGGTGGGCGCATGTAGTCTCAGCTACTTGGGAGGCCGAGGCAGGAGAATGGTGTGAACCTGGGATGCGGAGCTTGCAGTGAGCCAAGATTGCACCACTGCACTTCAGCCTGGGCAACAGAGCAAGACTCCATCTCAAAAAAAAAAAAAAAAAAAAAAAAAAGATGCTTTTGGCTGGGCGTGGTGGTTCATGCCTGTAATCCCAGCACTTTGGGAGGCCGAACTGGGTGGATCACCTGAGGTCAGGAGTTTGAGACCAGCCTGGCCAACATGGCAAAACCCCATCTCTACTAAAAATACCAAAATTAGCCAGGCGTGGGGGTGAACGCCTGTAATCCCAGCTACTCGGGAGACTGAGGCAGGAGAACTGCTTGAACCTGGGAGGGGGAAGTTGCAGTGAGCCGAGATCACGCCACTGCACTCCAGCCTGGGCGACACAGTGAGATTGTCTCAAAAATAAATAAATAAAGTAGTCCTCTTAACAAACTGGCAAATCTAAAGAAGTGTTTCCTTGAGGTCTGTGAACTGCTTTAGCAAACTAATGGAACCCAAGAAAGAGGTCGTGGGAAACTCAACTTGAAGCCAGTTGGTCAGAAGCTCTGAAGGAATGGGCTTGTGACTGGTAGGAAGGACAGGTGGTCTTATGGGACTGAACCCTAAACGTGTGGGATCTGACACCATCTTGGGTAGATGGTGTTGGATGACACCTAGTTGGCATACACTGTTTGGTGTGTGAGGAAAATCCCTCCACCCCATCTTTGGTCACGTAAGTCTTTTTTTTTTTGAGATGGAGTCTCGCCTTGTCGCCAAGCCAGAGTACAGTGGCATGATCTCGGCTCACTGCAACTTCCGCCTCCCGGGTTCAAGCGATTCTCCTGCCTCAGCCTCCCCAGTAACTGGAACTACAGGCACGCACCACAACGCCCGGCTAAATTTTGTATTTTTAGTAGAGATGGGATTTCACCATGTTGGTCAGGATGGTCTCAATCTCTTGGACTTGCAATCTGCCCACCTTGGCCTCCCAAAGTGCTAGGATTACAGGCATGAGCCACTGGGCCCAGCCACGTAAGTCTTCTTTTGTGTTGATGGTGGTTGTTATGTGAAAGCAAAGGAAAAACCTGGGCTTGAGAGTTTTTCCCTACACAAATACTACAAGGACAAAGTAAGGAGCAGGATAGCAGAGCTGTTCTATAGCTCAAATGTATTGCTTCTCAAACATATCCACTATAGAACCTATACAGAGAGAACTTCCCACCCTCAGGCACTCATGCTCATTTTGTTGAAGACCTATGTTATCTTAATCATACAGTTTTCATTCTGCTCCAAAAATGTCTATTTGTTTTAATATAACAATATTTAATATTTATTTATTTATTTATTTTTTGAGACGGTCTTGCTCTGTCACCCAGTCTGGAGTGCAGTGGTGTGATCTTGGCTCACTGCAACCTCTGCCTGCCTCCTGGTTCAGGTGATTCTCCTGCCTCAGCCTCCCGAGTAGTTGGGATTACAGGCACGCACCACCACACCCAGCTAATTGTCTTCTTGGGGTTTTTTTTGTTGTTTTTTTGAGACAGAGTCTCACTCTGTTGCCTGGGCTGGAGTGCAGTGATTTCAACTCATTGCAACCTCCGCCTCCCAGGTTCAAACAATTCTTCTGCCTCAGCCTCCCGAGAAACTGGCATTACAGGTTCCCGCCACTACACCCAGCTAATTTTTTGTATTTTTAGTAGAGACGGGGTTTCACCATGTTGGCCAGGCTGGTCCCGAACTCCTGACCTTGTGATCCGCCCACCTCAGCCTCCCAAAGTTCTGGGATTACAGGCGTGAGCCACCGCGCCCAGTCTTTTGTTGTTTTGGGGGGGGGGGCGGGGGGGGGCAGACAGAGTCACTCTGTCGCCCAGGGTGGAGTGCAGTGACACAATCCTGGCTCACTGCAACCTCTGCTTCCCAGGTTTAAGCGATTTTCCTGCCTCAGCCTCCCAAGTAGCTGGGATTACAGGCACCCACCACCACACTCGGCTAGTTTTTATATTTTTAGTAGAGATGGGGTTTTACCATGTTGGCCAGGCTGGTCTGGAACTCCTGACCTCAAGTGATCTACCTGCCTTGGCCTCCCAAAGTACTAGGATTACTGGGATTTTGGAGGCCTTGGCCTTCCAATGTACTGGGTGTGAGCTACCGTGCCTGGCCAATATTTAATATTTAATCACTGACCAGTTAAATTACTTAACTCACCACCTCCTCTATGACTATAACTGAAGTTCTAGGAAGATGGGTCATGTTTATCTTTCTTGTGACTCCAAGTACCCCGAAATCATACCACCTGATTCCCTAAGGGTATTCATATCCCAGTTTGAGAAACAGGGATCTAAGCAATTAAGCTAGTCATAACACTTGAAAGTGATTAACGTGTTCCTATAAACCCATTCCCTAAACTCTTAAAGGTTCGATTTCTCAATAGTTTTTAAATCAGCAACTTTTGGTATGCACTCTGTGTCAACACTCCTAAAAGAACCTGCAGGGCGTAAGTTATTTTTGGAGTGACAGAATACTACCACAGACCTTCTCCTTCCCATCTAGCAGGATAACAAGTTGCCCATTTGGAAAATAAAGGTTTGAAGAATAACAGAACTTTCATTCCTATTCCCTTCTCTTTATTTGCTCCAGGCAGAGCTTGTAAGAAAAATCTTAGTAGTCATTTAGATGATTCATTCACATAAGCTTATCTAATCCTGGCATTTGTAATTTCCACTTCTACATTCCTTTTTGCCATTACACATGTACGATTAAATTATTTTCACATTTTTCTAGGGTCTGAAAAAAATGTGCTTTCCGGTACCGTGAGAAGAGATAATTTTTACAACCAGAATCCCACTTTGTTGTTTATGAGATCCCAAAGCATAGTAGATTCCAATATTTATAGAAGGTCTGTTCCAAGTTCCATATAATGTCCATTATATTTTATAGCAAAAATTACAGGCTAAATTAAAATGATAATCACTGTCACACTCTGACGCAAAATGGGCAATGAGCTAGGCTAACTCAAATTAAGACAATTTTTATCCAGGATACCAGGTTCCCCAAGAACAGGATTCCATCTGTTTCTTATCAAAATTACAAGTAGCCACAGGTCATGGACTTTCTTTTCAGTTCATTTGCCAATAGTCAAAATACACATTCCAAGGGTTTCTACAGAAAAGCAGCCACAATTTCCTGGGATCTTTCTATGTACATGTTCAGAATAGTACTTAAAGCTTTACAAAACACATTCTCATTAACGGAGAATAGTCTCTGAGATTGGTGGTGTTATTCTCTCACAAGTGAGGACTACAGGAGTAGACAGGTTAAAGTAACTTGCCCCATATTACCCAGCTAGTATATCATCGTAAAGAGTTTCAAACCCAGGACTCTGATTATGAAGCCTGTATGCTCTCAATCACCTGATATCCTGCATCCCCTATATTCAAGAATTAGCCAACAAATCCTCCAACTCCAGGAGGGTTATATTACTACCATTTTTAAGATAGAAAAAATGGAAATAGCACTTACCTCTCCGTGGCTGCAAAGTCAGTTTGAGGAGGGAAAATAGAACCCAGCTCTCAAGCCCCTGGTCAGCAATCTGTCCACTAGCGCATCTTGTTCTTTGGCTTCAGGTCCGTAATCATTCTAAAAGAAAAGCACAAATCATTTTATGAAACACTAAATTCATACAAATACGCATATAGTATGAAAAAAAATGAGGGAAAACTGAAGACAGAAAAAATTGGGAAAGAAACAAAACACCTGTTCATGTCATGTCACTAACCGAGCCATTCCATAAATGTCCACCATCAAGCCAATAACAAAACATTCATTTATTTTTTCACACATTTGCTAAATATATAAAGGACTAAAGGTTTCTAAGTAGCAAAATAGTACTCCAGGCTCACACCAGTAATCTTAACGCTTTCGGAAGCCAGGGTGGGAGACTCACCCAGGAGTTTGAGGCTGTACTGAGCTGAGATTGTGCCACTGCATTCCAGCCTGCTTGACAGAGTGAGAGATCTTGTCTCAAAAAAAAAAAAAAAAAAAAAGGCCAGGCGCGGTGGCTCATGCCTGTAATCCCAGCACTTTGGGAGGCCAAGGCGGGCAGATCACGAGGTCAGGAGATCGAGACCAGCCTGGCTAACATGGTGAAACCCCGTCTGTACTAAAAATACAAAAAATTAGCCGGGTGTGGTGGCAGGCGCCTGTAGTACCAGCTACTTGGGAGGCTGAGAATGGTGCAAACCTGGGAGGCAGAGCATGCAGTGAGCCGAGATCGCACCACGGCACTCCAGCCTGGGCGACAGAGCGAGACTCCGTCTCAAAAAAAAAAACAAAACAAAACACTCCACTGCAATATTGCAACCAAATAATGGCACACATATTCAAACTACCAAAAAATTAATTATTGGCTGGGCGCAGTGGCTTACGCCTGTAATCCCAGCACTTTGGGAGGCCGAGGCAGACAGATCACGAGGTCAGCAGATCAAGACCATCCTGGCTAACACGTGAGACCCCGTCTCTACTAAAAATACAAAGAAAAAAATTAGCCGGGTGTGGTGGCGGGTGCCTGTAGTCCCAGCTACTCAGGAGACTGAGGCAGGAGAATGGCATGAACCCGGGAGGCGGAGCTTGCAGTGAGCCGAGATCCTGCCACTGCATTCCAGCCTGGGCAACACAGCGAGACTCCGTCTCAAAAAAAAAAAAAAAAAATTAATTCTTATGGCTGCAGTAATGGCTCTCTAACAGTTTATTTCCGTATCTTTAGCAAGTAGTGGTCTTACTGATTAAGTTTGTTCATGCCACAAGTAAAGGCTATGCTTTCCAGTTTAGTAAGATAACTGGGGAAGCCAAGGCAGGTGGATCACCTGAGGTCAGGAGTTTGAGAACAGCCTGACCAACATGGCGAAACCCCATCTCTACTAAAAATACAAAAATTAGCCAGGCGTGGTGGCACACGCCTGTAATCCCAGCTATTCAGGAGGCTGAGGCAGGAGAATCGCCTGAACCCAGGAGCCGGAGGTTGGAATGAGCCGAGATCGCGCCACTGCACTCCAGCCTGGGCGACAGAGCTAGACTCCGTCTCATTAAAAAAAAAAAAAGATAACTGGCAAAAGGAGCTTTTACTGACCTTTGAAAATCCTAGAAGCATAGCAATGAAACAGTTTTTTTAGTCGAATAACGGAATACTTTGTTAGATGGCATCTTTTCACCCTAAATTACAAAATGAACTGTCAAGCTTCAAGCAAAGGTAGAGTGGAACCTACCTCTAAAGAAAAAGAAAGAAAGAAAGAAAGAAAATCCCAGGCCAGGCACAATGGCTCACACCTGTAATCCCAGCACTTTGGGAGGCCAAAGCGGGCGGATCACGAGGTCAAGAGATTGAGACCATCCTGGCCAACATAGTGAAACCCCGTCTCTACTAAAAATACAAAAATTAGCTGGGCATGGTGGTGCAGGCCTGTAAACCCAGCTACTCAGGAGGCTGAGGCAGGAGAATCGTTTGAACCCAGGAGGCGGAGCTGCAATGAGCCAAGATCGTGCCACTGCACTCCAGCCTGGCGACAGAGTGAGACTCTGTCTCAAAAAAAGAATAAAATAAAATCCCAAATGAAATAAAGAGCTAAATTTGAACTAAGTGTTTCCAAATAGGCCAGGCACAGTGGTTCACGCCTGTAATCCCAGCACTTTGGGAAGCCAAGGCAGGCGGATCACAAGGTCAGGAGTTCAAGACCAGCCTGACCAACATAGTGGAACCTTGTCTCTACTAAAAAAAATACAAAAATTAACCAGGCGTAGTGGTGTGTGCCAGTTATCCCAGCTATTCAGGAGGCTGGGGCAGGAGAATCGCTTGAACCCAGGAAGCAGAGGTTTCAGTGAGCCAAGATCACACCACTGCACTCCAGCCTGGGCAACAGAGCAAGACTCAGTCTCAAAAAAAAAAAGAGTTTCCAAATAATATAGCCAGGTGTGATGGCTCACACCAGCAATCCAGCACTTTGAGAGGCCACAGCAGAGGACTGCTCGAGCCTAGGAGTTCAAAGCCAGTCAGGGCAACATGGCAAAACCCCGTCTCTACAAAATACATAAAAATTAGCCAGGCAGGCCGGGCACAGTGGCTAACGCCTGTAATCCCAGCACTTTAGGAGGCCCAGGCGGGTGGATCATGAGGTTAGAGTTCGAGACCACCCTGGCCAACGTGGTGAAACCCAGTCTCTACTAAAAATACAAAAACTAGCTGGGCATGGTGGTATGCACCTGTAATCCCAGCTTCTCAGGAGGCTGAGGCAGGAGAACTGGTTGAACCCGGGAGACGGAGGTTGCAGTGGGCCACCATCGCACCACTGCACTCCAGCCTGGGTGACAGAGGAAGACTTCGTCTCAGGGAAGAAGAACAACAACAAAAAAAAGGCCAGGCATGGTGGCTCACGTCTGTAGTCCCAGCACTTTGGGAGGTCGAGGTGGGTGGATAACCTGAGGTCATGAGTTCCAGACCAGCCTGGCCAACATGGTGAAACCCCGTCTCTACTAAAAATACAAAAATTAGCTCGGCACGGTGGCAGGCACCTGTAATCCCAACTACTCCCGAGGCTGAAGCAGGAGAATCACTTGAACCTGGGAGGCCGGGGTTGCAGTGAGCCCAGAACATGCCACTGCACTCCAGCCTGGGAGACAGAGTGAACTCCATCTTAAAAAATATATATATATACACGTATACATATATATGCCAGGCATGGTGTTGTGTGCCTGTGGTCCCAGCTACTTGGAAGGCTGAGGTGGGAGGATCGCTTGGGGCAGGTGGGGGACAAGGCTGCAGTGAGCCATGATCACACCACTGCACTGCAGTGTGGGCAACACAGTGACAACCTGTCTCAAAAAAAAAAAAAAAAAAAAAAAAAGCCGAGTATGGTGGCTCACACCTGTAACGTCAACACTTTGGGAGGCCGAGGTGGGAGACTTGCTTGAGCCCAGGAGTTCAAGACCAGCCTGAGCAACATAGTAGGATCCTGTCTCTACAAAAAAATAAAAGAATCAGCTGGGCATGGTGGCACACGCCTATAGTACCAGCTACTTGGGAGGCTGCAGCAGGAAGACTGCTTGAGCCCAGGAGTTCAAGGCTGCAGTGAGCTATGATCATGCCACTGCACTCCTATCTGGGCAACAGCTATGATCATGCCACTGCCTCAATCAAAATGTATTAAAAAAAAAAAGTTTCCAAGCAATTTGGCACATGAGGTACATCTTCTAAGAGGAAATCCATCTCACAATTAGCTAAACTCCACAAAACTCACTAATACTTAGATGAAGCTAAAGTCTCCTCTGTTGAGAGGCAATTTTTAGTAACACAAATAGGTGATTAGCATATTTAGTCCAACCAACACTTCCATACTGGAGTCCATTATTATTACCAGCATACCTCAAAGGGAATGAAATTTTCTACCCCTGAAAATTCCAAGAGTGACCAAAAACAAGGATCAAGTGTGAAAGAATACCATCCTAACCCTCACCTTTGGACTGTATTTTGGCAGTCTATATGCAATGCCACAACTTTGCATTCAAATATTAAATCACTGAGAAAATGCACAAAGATACTAGCAGGAAAGATACGAAGACAGACTACAGAAAGTTTACAGGTGTTTAAAAAAAATGGGCTGGACACGGTGGCTCACACCTAATCCCAGCACTTTGGGAGGCCAAGGCAGACAGACTGCTTGAGGCCACGAGTTTGAGACCAGCCTAGGCAACATGACAAAACCCCATACCTAGAAAAAATTAGTCCCAGCTACCCAGGAGGCTGAGGTGGCAGGATCATTTGAGCCAGGGAGGTGGAGGCTGCAGTGAGCTGTGATCACACCACTGCACTCCAGCCTGGGTAAAAGAGAAAGACCCTGTCTTAAAACAAACAAACAAACCCCACAGGCCGGGCACGGTGGCTCACGCCTGTAATCCCAGCACTTTGAGAGGCGGAGGCGGGCAGGTCAGGAGATCGAAACCATCCTTGCTAACACGGTGAAACCCCGTCTCTACTAAAAATACAAAAAATTAGCCAGGCGTGGTGGCAGGCGCCTGTAGTCCTCCCAGCTACTCGGGAGGCTGAGGCAGGAGAATGGCGTGAACCTGGGAGGTAGAGCTTGCAGTGAGCCGAGATCGTGCCCCTGCACTCCAGCCTGGTAGACAAAGCGAGACTCCATCTCCAAAACAAACAAATACCCCACAAGAACAACAAAACAAATGTGGTAAGACTAATCTTTTTTTTTTTTTTTTTTTTTTTTTAATTTTGAGACAAAGTCTCACTCTGTCACCCAGGCTGGAGTGCAACGGCACGATCTTGACTCACTGCAACCTCCGCCTCCCGGGTTCAAGTGATTCTCCTGACTCAGCCTCCTGAGTAGCTGGGATTACAGAAACAGACATATGCCACCACGCTCAGCTAATTTTTGTGTTTTTGGTAAAGATGGGGTCTCACCATGTTGGCCAGGCTGGTCTCAAACTCCTGACCTCAGGTGATCCGCCCGCCTCAGCCTCCCAAAGTGCTGGGATTACAGGTGTGAGCCACCATGTCCCACCTACAAATCACATCAATTGAGAACCATGGTCTTCAAAGTTACACATTATTTGCCATTATTGTTCTTTTTAAATCATAATGCATCTGAGTTGTTTGAAGAGGGGCCTAATTTTTGGCAAAACAGTCAAGTCATCTGGAGCCAAGACAGGTAAATTAGGCAGACAGATGGTCTAGTTTAAAAAAATTAGGTGGAGTCTATAACGTAGATGATGTGGAATGGCTGTGACAGCAGCAGCATCCCTGAAGCAAAAAAAGCAGTCTCTAGAGGTGACTTTTGGCCAGGAGGCACCAGCCTGCAAGGCTCTGCCCAGGATTCCTCCCCAGGGCCTTAAGTCAGCCACAAGTGGCTTCCACCAAGGAACTCCCCAAGCCATTCAGAAGTCCCAGGTGAGTGCCCCCATTTGCGTGTGTACTTTAAAATAAAATCCTAAAGCTCTTAGAATTTGAATGCATCTTAAGGACAACTTCACCTCTTAAATTCTTACATAGGTTGAATGGATCCCGATAAAGTTAACCTTTACAACTACTCTTTTTTTTTTTTTTTTTTTTTGAGATAAGAGTCTTGCTCTGTTGCCCAGGCTGGAGTGCAGCAGCACAATCTCGGCTCACTGCAACCTCCACCTTCTAGGTTCGAGCGGTTCTCCTGTCTCAGCCTCCCTAGTAGCCAGGACTACGGCGTGTGCCACCATGCCTGGCTAATTTTTTGTATTTTTAGTAGAGACAGGGTTTCACTGTGTTAGTCAGGATGGTCTCAATCTCCTGACCTCGTGATTCTCCCGCCTTGGTCACCCAAAGTGCTGGGATTACAGGCGTGAGCCACCGCTCCCAGCCACAACTACTCTTAAATAGGCAGTATTTTCTTATGCAGGCAAACATTCCTGTTTTAATCATCCTCCTATCACTAATTTAAATAACAGGTCCTGGCCTGGCGAGATGGCTCACGCCTGTAATCCCAGCACTCTGGGAGGCTGAGGCGGGTGGATCACCTGAGGTCAGGAGTTCGAGACCAGCCTGGCCAACATCGTGAAAACCCGTCTCTACTAAAAATACAAAAATTAGCCGGGCGTGGTGGCACGGGCCTGTAATTCCTGCTACTTGGGAGGCAGAGACAGGAGAATTGCTTGAATCCGGGAGGCAGAGGTTGCAGTGAGCCGAGATCGCACCACTGCCACTCCAGCCTAGGGGACAGAACGAGACTCCGTCTCAAAAAAAAAAAAAGGTCTGGGTTACCCTAACATATCAATTCATCCTCAATTTATTCTCTCCGTAGATTGTTTTTTAATAAAAACAAAACAAAGCATGATTCCTGGCATATGGGAATTTCAAAGGATAGCAACTGTGTGGAAAAGGTCTATTCCACTAAAACAGCATAAATGACGTATAAACCCAAGAAGCTGATGACTGCATATGAAACAACCAAACCAAGAAGCAAAATATGGTCTATGGAGCACAGTACTAACCCGGGAAAACAAGCTTTACTCCTGGCTCGATTATACACCTGCTGTATTTTAATTTTTAACTCAATGTTGAGCTTATTTAAATAAATAAAACATGCTACTTAACCACAATTTCAAAAGGAAAACAAAGTCACAAAAGAATGCAATAAATTACACAATTGGACTAACATATTAGATAATTAAAGGTGATTCTATTCCCAAGTCTAACTATCAATCAACGCTACTGCATTTAGTTACTCTATGCAATTTTATTGAGGAAGAGGGGTGGCAGGAATATTTTGCAGGGTTCCAAAAGGAGACATAGAAAGCGTGCCTACGAAGAGGACTGCAGTGAGGAGCTACACATTGAGATTACATACAGTGGACTGGACAACTTTGGTTAGGACCAGGCTGTTTAATTTCTTCATAAACTTAACATAGCTTCCTTCCTAAAAACAGGTTAATCCAGACTTTCTTCTCTCCAAAACAACCCGAACTGATACATTAACTGCTGCAATGAACTATATTAAGGCACTAGAATATTTACGGAAAAGCAAAAGACTCCCGCAATTCAACGGGATGCTTTTTAGTGAAGAAAGAAAACTTAAGGACCGAATAAATTTAAATATATGCCTTGTTTAACTTCCTTTCCCACCTATGAGGACTTGGTTTTTAACTTTCCTAGTTGATCGAAACTCAAAGTATGAAGACTACGTATGCGAATGTTTACTTAACGCTGAACTCGGGGCTACAGGAAGTCTCCTACTAAACAGTAGTTACATTAGGCGTAGATATTTATAAACCATCTGCAGCAAGTGACCCAGGATTCAATTACAACATCAACCCTCATATTTCATCGCATGGGCAAATTACCAGTCGAGTCAAGAATAAACTCATTCTGCCCTACTGGCGCTCTAGATCGAGTTGCACAATCCTGGGGCAGAACCGCCTTCACCTAGCCCTAGAGCATCAGGTACTAAGTTAGTGTGAGGACATTTTAAAGCGGGAGGGAAACTCAAGGGACTTAGCCCATACTCCCAAATTCAGAAATTTGTCACGTCACTTGAGATCAGAATGAAATTTAAGTTTCAGTCCCTTTGAGATCTCTGAGCGCACAAAGTCAGGCTGCTATCACTCGGCTGGGGAGTCCGAACCCGGCTGGATAAAAACTACTTGGTGCGGAACTCGCATCTTTTCCGCCCACCGTGGGGGGGCCGCACCGGTCGGGTCCGGCCAGGAACCCGGGCGCGAGTTTGGGGGCGCAGCGGGGGCGGCGAGCGCGCGTCCCCCCGCCCGCTCAGGCAGCGTAGAGGTGCGAGCAGCTCAGCCAGCCTTGCAGAGGGAGCTCTCGGCAGCTCTGGGGTCCCTCTGCTCGCAGCCGCTGCAGCGCCGCCTGCGCCACTCGGCGGAGACGGAGACCAGCGGCGGCGACGCGCGGACTGGGAGCGACCGCCGAGCAGCCAAGCAGCTGGGAAGGCACGCAGGCCGGCAGGGTAGGTTCCGGGGACGGGGCTGGCTGGAGGAGGGGCAGCCCGAGACGCGACGGCCAGGGCCCGACACCCATACGGCACCGGGACCTGGCTTAGCGCGCGGCGGCAGTCGGTCCGAACCCTTAAGCTAGGCGGGCGCCGAAGCCGGGACGCGGAGATAGTGTCTCAGCTGGGGCCACCCGCCGCGGGAGGGGCGGAGGACACAGGACAGAGGGCGGGCCGCGGCCGGGCGATCGGCCGGCCAAGAACCGGCCTCGAGGGCAGACAAAGGAAGGAAAATGGAGTCGCCGGGCGCGCGGGCCTCTGCCTCTGCCGCCGCCCGAGGCCTAGCGCGCTGCCAGGAGGGAGGCCTAGCGGGCGGGCGGGCGGGCGGGCGTGGGGGTGGGGGGGGCGGCCGGGCCACGGCGGCGACGGGCAATGGCGGCGGCCGCGCCGCAGCAGGGACGGTAGAGGGAGACAAACACCCCCCGGCGGCGGCGCTGGCGCCGGGCTGCAGCCAGCGCCGACCGGAGCGGCCCCATCGTGACACCTAGAGGCGGCCCGCGAAACCTCCTCCACCCCGGGCCCCCTTACCTCCGCGCCACACCCCCCGCGGCGCCCGCTCCGCCGCCGCTCCACGGCTCCGGCCACCCGGCGTCTCCGGCGAGCTCCGCGCGTCCGCACCGGCCACCGCCGCCGCCGCTGCCGCCAAAGAAGCAGCTCCGCGCACGGTTTAATCGCTCCACAGGCTCAGACACAAAATGGCGGCGGCGCGGTGCAGTGCGCCTGCGTCGGCGCTGCCGGGGCCGCGGGTGCTGATAAGGGAAGGGACGGGTGGGGGGACCGGCCGGGCGGCGAGTAGAGGGCGGGGGAGGAAAGGTGAGGGGAGGGGTTGGCGCAGGGCAGCATGGGAGGCGGCCCCGGGCGCCAACTTTCAAAAGCGGGCGCGATGGCGTCACGGGACGCGCCGCGAGTCGCGTCGTCACGCCGCACGCGCCCTCGCCGGGTCGCTCGTGGGCTCTGCCGGCGCCGCGGCGTCCTGGCTCCCGCTGGGTGGGGCTTCCTGGGCGGAGGCCGCCGCCCCTGGGCGGTGCCGGATCCAGTCCGCTTGACCTTATTCCCTAGCTGCTGTCTCCGGCCCCCTGAACCCGTACAGGGTTGGGGAAGTGGGGGTGGCTGGAGGAAGCGCGCGCGGGGCAAGCCAGTGGGGCTGAGGAGGCTCCCGGGCCCGGCCCCGCCCAGTCTCCGCCCCAGCCAGGCCCGACCCGCCCTCCGAATGTCTTACAGCTGCCCGCCCCAGAGTAAGGCCCGGTCGGTTCCCGCGCGCTCCCAGCTCCGTGCCCGCGAGCGACGACTGGAAGGGCTGTCCTTGCTCAGCGGCTTTTGGTGATCTCTCCGCCCTAGAAGAGGGCCACCTAAAAGCGGGTGCGAGAGGAGAGTGGGAGGGCCTCCTCTTGGTGTCCCCAGGCCACCTCAGCCCGGAGAGGTGGCGGAAAACCAGACTTGATGCTTTAACACGTTCATAGCAATCGCTTTTTACTGAAAGGAGTTTCTGTATTTAGCGCTGTGTAATTCTGTGGAAACGTGCATTTCTTGTCTTTGCGGGAGAGCTGTTCTCTGTGGGCGGAGACCTTCAGTCCCACCCCTCCCCAGGAGGCGCCTGCGGACCCTTCCCAACCTGCAGTCAAGTTGACCAAGAACTGACTGCAAGGTGCTGGTGGCTCTGGGATGAGAGCCTTTTGGTACTTACAGGGAATATGACTCTTCCCTTAGATATCAAATGGACCCAATATCTAGGGAGCAGCTTCTTCTCCATCCATCTGACCGTTCCGTTGTGAGAATGCTGGCCCAATAACATACTCTTTTTTTTTCCCCTAAAGGAATAAAAAAATCTGTATTTTTAAGATGTCAAATCTCCAGAGTTTTTAGATGTTAGCAACTGAATCAGATGTTTTTAAACTTCATGAGCTGATTAAACCACACAGATGAGCTGTCAGTTTACGACCCCTGGCTTGGCTTGGAGGAAAGAGTGAAGAGAAATTCCATGGCCAAATCCTGGGGCACTCCAATATTGGGAGGGTAATGGAGAAGGAGTCTGAAAGGCAGCATCTAGGAAGTCATGAAAGCTAGCGCTGAGTTGTGGAATCCCTGGGCAGAGAAGGTTTCAGGTAGGAGGCATCAGCTGAGCGGTGTGATAAACTTGGGCCAGAGATGTGGCTATTGGATTGGGTCACCTTGCAAGTCACTGGAGAATGTCACTGATGGCCTTGGCTTGATTCACGTGAGTATATCAGGGAGGTGGACCTGACCGGAATGGGTTAAACAGTCACCAGGAAAGTGAGGAAATGGAGACAGCACATGTATGCAATTTGAGAGAGGTTTTGCTGTGAAGGGACCAGATAAGTTTGGGGATAGATATAGAAAGAAATCTTTTAAAAGATAGTAGGGGCCGGGCGCAGTGGCTCACGCCTGTTATCCTAGCACTTTGGGAGGCCAAGGCAGGTGGATCACCTGAGGTCAGGAGTTCGAGACCAGCCTGGCCAATATGGTGAAACCCGGTCTCTACTAAAAATACAAAAATTAGTTGGGCATGGTATCGCGCGCCTGTAATCCAAGCTACTGGGGAGGCTGAGGCAGGAGAATTGCTTGAACCCGGGAGGCAGAGGTTGCAGAGAGCCAAGATTGGGCCACAGCACTCCAGCCTGGGCAACAAAGCGGGACTCCATCTCAAAAAATAATAATAAATAAAATAAAAGATGGTAGGGTTCCCAGAGCATGTTTATGTGCCATTGGGAGGGATATGGTGGGGAAGAAAGATGGGTGATCCAGGAGAGAGGAGGCTTGCTTGACCTATATAGGAGTGAAATCCATCAGAAGATATAAGGAAACAGGGAGGGTTGACCTTGGAGAGGAACAGGGATGCTTCCATTCATGATAAGGGCAACAAAGGTGAAGACAGATGCAAGTGCAGGGGAGAGGGAAGGCAAGTCCTTAACAGGATTGCCTTGGTGGCATTGGGTACTCATCTGAGGTTTGTGATCATGATGTTAAAGGTAAACCAGTTGGCCCAGTGTGTTGGTTTTTCTCCAACATTCAGCTGCTTGGGTACAGACATGAAGAAAAGGGATAGTACAGCTTCTCAACACCAGGACCCAATTTTTCTCATTTCTTTTTTTTTTTTTTGAGACGGAGTTTTGCTCTTATCGCCCAGGCTGGAGTGCAATGGTGTGATCTCAGCTCACCACAACCTCTGCCTCCTGGGTTCAAGCGATTCTCCTGCCTCAACCTCCTGAGTAGCTGGGATTACAGGCATGCGCTACCACCCCCGACTAATTTTGTATTTTTAGTAGAGATGGGGTTTCTCCATGTTGGTCAGGCTGGTCTTGAACTCCCAACCTCAGGTGATCCGCCCGCCTCGGCCTCCCAAAGTGCTGGGATTACAGGAGCGACTCACCGCGCCCGGCAAGTTTTCTCATGTCTAATCCCAGTTACTTACCTTATACAATTAGATACTATTTTAGAAATGTGTGAAGTATTTGAAAAATTTACACGTGACCCTTCTTTTTCTAGAAACCAAGTTATCCCATTTGCCTCTTATGTACACATTAGGACTCAGACATAAAGAAAAGACAAACTCAGAGGAAAATTACCAAACAGATGCTTCTGGAATATTTGCATTTTGCATTCTCCTCAGCCCAAATAGTTCCTGGTATACTTAAGAACTTATGTACTAGAAACAACAAAGCTGACATGCACATAGGGAGACCTTGTTTATACAAAAAATTTAAAAATTAGCTGAGTGTGGTGGCGTATGACTGTAGTCCCAGCTACTTGGGAGGCTGAGGTGGGAAGATCGCTTGAGCCCAGGAGGTCGAGACTACAGGGAGCCATGTGTGTGCCACTGTACTCCAGCCTGGGTGATGAAGCAAGACCCTGTCTCAAAAAAATAAAAAATAGGCCAGGCACAGTGGCTCATGCCTGTAATCCCAGCACTTTGGGAGGCCAAGGTAGGTGGATTACTTGAGCCCAGGAGTTTGAGACTAGCCTGGGTAACATGGCAAAAGCCCATCTCTACAAAAAATTAGCTGAACATGGTGGTGTGTACCTGTAGTCCCAGATACTTGGGAGGCTGAGGCAGGAGCATCACTTGAGCCCAGGAGGTTGAAGCTGCAGTGAACCCCGATTGCACCACTACATTCCAGCCTGAGTGACAGAGCAAGACATTGTCTCAAAAATAAAAAAAAAATTAAAAGCTGACTTGCATTTAAACTTTAGATTTTCTTTCTAGTAACATTAATAAGCTAATTAGTTCACTTTCTCAAGATTTTACTTCAAATCACCTTCCTTTTTTTTTGTTTTTTGTTTTCTTTTTGTGGAGATGAGGTCTCACTGTGTTGCCCAGGCTGGTCTCAGGCTCCAGCAATTCTCCTGTCTTGGCCTTCCAAAGTGCTGGGATGTAAGCCACCACACCTGTCCCCATCTTCTTTAAGAGTAGACTACAGGAACACCTTCTAAAGCTTTTATGTAGGCAAATATGAAGCAGTGGATTTATTTTTTTATTTTATTTTATTTTTAGATGTAATCTCACTCTGTCGCCCAGGCTGGAATGCAGTGGCTCGATCTCAGCTCGCTGCAACTTCTGCTTCCTGGGTTCAAGCAATTCTCCTGCCTCAGCCTCCCGAGTAGCTGGGACTACAGGTGTGCACTACCACTCCTGGCTAATTTTTTGTATTTTTAGTGGAGACGGGGTTTTGCCATGTTGGCCAGGCTGGTCTTGAACTCCTGATCTCAGGAGATCCGCCCACCTCAGCCTCCCAAAGTCTTGGGATTACAGATGTAAGCCACCACACCCAGCCTGAGGCAGTGGATTTAGAGGGAAAAAAGCCTCAATTATATTTATGATTATATTTACAACTATATATTAATTATATTTATAACTCTATGATCTCTGAGGCATCAAAAGCCAGGAATGGGGTCCAAGTGGCCTTGAAGCCTGCTTTCTGAAGACAAGGACCCTATGTACTGCTCTCACATAGGGCTGAGAAAATGCGAAGGATCACTAAGGAAGGAAGAAAAGAAAATATTTTCTGGCTGGGCGTAGTGGCTCACACCTGTAATCCCAGCACTGTGGGAGGCCGAGGCAGGCGGATTACCTGAGGTCAGGAGTTTGAGATCAGCCTGGCCAACATGGTGAAACCTCATCTCTACTGAAAATATAAAAATTAGCCAGGCGTGGTGGCACACCTGTAATCCCAGCTACTCGGGAGGCTGAGGCAGGAGAATTGCTTGAACCTGGGAGGTGGAGGTTGCAGTGAGCCGAGATTGCGCCACTGCACACCAGCCTGGGCGACAGAGCGAGACTTCATCTCAAAAATAAATAAACAAACAAAATATTTTCTTGTCTTTATGGTAAATCTTGATGTGTCCTACTTTATGGAGTCAGCTCCAAAGATGAAGGAACAGAAGGCCAAACAAAAGGAATAGAATGTTTGAGGCTGGAAAGAAACAAGCTGAGGGAAAATATGATGACAGGCTGTGAAACAGTTGAGGTGATAAAAATAAGGCTAGGCTGGGCACGGTGGCTCATGCCTGTAATCCCAGCACTTTCAGAGGCCGAGGTGGGCGGATCACTAGGTCAAGAGATTGAGACCATCCTGGCCAACATGGTGAAATCCCGTCTCTACTGAAAATACAGAAATTAGCTGGGTGTGGTGGCGTGTGCCTGTAATCCCAGCTACTCAGGAGGCTGAGGCAGGAGAATCGCTTGAACCTGGGAGGCGGAGGTTGCAGTGAGCAGAGATCGCACCACTCCACTCCAGCCTGGCGACAGAGTGAGACTCTGTCTCAAAAAAAAAAAAAAAAAAGATCTGGCCTTGAGCCTCACGTACAGGACCAGAAACCCAATGTGGTTTGTACCCTAAGAGCAGATTCCTTCCTCGGGGATTTGTCAGGCTCACAGGCGCTTGCTAGATAAGCAGAGTGCTGTTAACAACGGGCAAGTGGACCAGTGTCCTCGTGCTGGCAAAAGGCATATTGATCCCCTATAGGAGAGCATTCGGGGAAGCCAAATTACTAGAAATATTTGATGAGCAGTTAATTAGATTAACTAGTGTTAGTTATGTAACTTAAATGTTTAATGTCACCCTCTCTGGATGCTAGAATTAGATTGTTCGGGATTCAAGTCTAGTCTTGGTTTTTTATTAGCCGTGTGGTCTCTGTTGAATTCGTAACAACTCAACTATAGATTTCTCTTCTATAAAATGGGATGATAGGTTGGGCGTGGTGGCTCATGCCTGTAATCACAGCACTTTGGGAGGCCAAGGCAGGTGGATCACCTATGGTCAGGAGTTCAAGACCAAAAATACAAAAATTAGCCAGGTACGATAGTGGGTGCCTGTAATCCCAGCTACTCAGGAGGCTGAGGCGGGAGAACTGCTTGAATCTGGAAGGCAGGGGTTGCAGTGAGCCGAGATCGCGCCACTGCACTCCAGCCTGGGTGACAGAGGAGACTCTGTCTCAAAAAAATAAATAAATAAAATGGGATGATCATTGTGCTTGATACAGCCATAAGGATTAGACAAGAAATAAAGCAGCTTTTTTTTTTTTTTTTTTTTTTGAGACAGGGTCGCATTGTCCACTGTTGCCCAGGCTGGGGTGTGGAGTGCAGTGGCGAACTCTGCTCACTGCAACCTTTGCCTCAGCATTCTGAGTTGCTGGGACTATAGGCGAGTGCCAACACACCTGGCTAAGGTTTTTTGTTTTTTGTAGAGATGGGGGTCTTACTATGTTGCCCAGGCTGGTCTCGAACTCCTGGTGTGAAGCAATCCTCCTACCTCAGCCTCCCAAAGTGCTGGGATTACAGGCATGAGCCACTGCACCCAGCCAGAAATCATTATCCTATGATTCTCAGGAGAACAGTTGTATTTCCAAGATCTTCCTTGGCTCCTATTGTTACCCCTGTAAAGCTTGCAATAATTATGATCATTTACATGTTTTTTAAAAACTCTTTAATCAAGATAATCAACAAACGAAGGGGAGACATATTGATTTTCTAAGACATAATGAGCAGGGAATCTTCCTGCCCTCCTTGGGGTAAGGCCTAAAGTTACATGTGAACACTCTGGTTTTCTCTATACCTGTTGAGAACATGTGTGAGACATGATGCAGCTCATCAAGTAATTATTGAATACTTGGTGTGTGTAGCTTCCTGTTCTAGGCACTGGAGATTCAAAGATGACTCACGATGTGTTTCCTGCCCTTGGACTCAAAATTTAACTAGTAAAACTGGTTAAAACAAACACACAAAAAATTAATGCAATAACTGTTATAGTGGAAAGAAATGAGCTCACAGCTAAAGGAGTAAATCACTCCAGGAGTATCTCATTTCAGCTGGGTCTAAAGGATTAGCAAAGCATTAACAAGTGACACGAAGACATGTAAGGTGAAGAGCCATGATCAAAGGCATAAAAGTCTACAAGAGTATTTGGGGGACAGCGAGTCATCTTACACCATTGGATGAGGGTGTAGAGTAGTGATGCTAAACCTTTAAAGACATTTGGAAAGCTTTCATTGTCTGCCAACATCAACTGCCAAGCCTAACCACTTCTAACATTTAAATTTTTTTTTTCCCCAAGATGGAGTCTTGCTCTGTTGCCCAGCCTGGAGTGCAGTGGTGCAATCTTGGCTCATTGCAACCTCTGCCTCCCAGGTTTAAGCAATTCTCCTGCCTGAACCTCCCAAATTGCTGGGATTACAGACACGCACCACCATGCCCAGCTAATTTTTGTATTTTTAGTAGAGATGGGTTTCACCATGTTGGCCAGGCTGGTCTCAATCTCCTGACCTCACGATCTGCCTGCCTCGGCCTCCCAAAGTGCTGGGATTACAGGCATGAGCCACCAAGCCCGGCCTATTCTAACATTTTAAAGACTCATCCTTCCATATCATCTCCTGCCTAGACTGTAGGAGTTTTTTTCCTTATTAATGTCTGCTTTCTTCAGACCCCTGTGAAAGCCTTATTTATTTATTTATTTATTTATTTATTTATTTATTTATTTATTTATTTTGAGACGGAGTTTTGCTCTTGTTGCCCAGGCTGGAGTACAATGGCATGATTTTGGCTCACCACAACCTCCACCTCCCGGGTTCAAGCAATTCTCCCGCCTCAGCCTCCCAAGTAGCTGGGATTACAGGCATGCGCCACCATGCCCGGCTAATTTTGTATTTTTAGTAGAGACGGGGTTTCTCCATGTTAGTCAGGCTGATCTGGAATTCCCAACCTCATGTGATCTGCCCACCTCAGCCTCCCAAAGAGCTGGGATTACAGTCGTGAGCCACCACGCCGGCCTATTTATTTATTTATTTATTTTGAGGTGGAGTCTCGCTGTGTCGCTCAGGCTGGAGTGCAGTGGCGAGATCTCGACTCACTGCAGCTTCCGCCTCCCAGATTCAAGCAATTCTCCTGCCTCAGCCTCCTGAGTAGCTGGGACTACAGGTATGTGCCACCATGCCCAGCTAATGTTTTTGTATTTTTAGTAGAGATGGGGTTTCACCCTGTTAGCCAGGATGGTCTCGATCTCCTGACCTTGTGATCTGCCCGCCTCAGCCTCCCAAAGTGCTGGGGTTACCCCGGCCAGCCATATTTATTTTTTACCTCTCAGCTCAAATGACTGCTCTTAAAGGTATAAAGGACTGTTGCTAAACCTATATCCAATGTTTTAGAAGTTGATTTTGTTTTCTGTGCTGTTACTTACTTTTCCAAACATGCATGGATCACCCTTTATAATCCATCTCTATATTTTTCATTTTGCAAAACACCTTCATGTCTGCCTTTTCAAGTGATGCTCACAGCTCTATTTGATCAGCCAGGCAGTTTTGTCCTAAATTCAGAAATGAAGTGACTTGCTCAGGGTTGTCCGGCAACTTGTTGGCAAAATCAGAATGAGTACAGTAGTCTCCCCCTTGTTCACAGCTTCACTTTCTGCTATTTTCTGCTATTGGTTACACATGGTCAACTGCAGTCTGAAAATACTAAATGGAAACTTCCAGAAATCATGTTTCGAATTGCACACCATTCTGAGTAGAGTGGTGAAATCTCACAACATCCTGCTGCATACTGCCTGGAATGTGACTCGTTCCATTGTCCAGCATACCCATGCTGTATATACTACCCACCTATTAGCCACTTAGTAGCCATCTCAGTTATCAGATTGATAACACATACTATATATAGGATTCAGGACTATCCTTGATTTCAGACATCCACCAGAGAGCTTGGAACATATCCCCCATAAAAAATGGGGGACTGTAGGCTTGGTGTGATGGCAATCACGGCCTATAATCCCAGCACTTTGGGAGGCTAAGGTGGGTGGATCACGAGGTCAGGAGTTCGAGACCAGCCTGACCAACATGGTGAAACCCCGTCTCTACTAAAAATACAAAAATTAGCTGGTTGTGGTGGTGTGTGCCTGTCATCCCATCTACTCAGCAGGCTGAGGCAGGGGAATCACTTGAACCTGGGAGGTAGAGGTTGCAGTGAGCCAAGATTGCACCACTGCACTCCAGCCTGGGCGACAGAGCGAGACTCTGTCTCAGGAAAAAAAAAAAAAAAAAAGATGGGATCTCACTCTGTCACCCAGGCTGAAGTGCAATGGCGTAATCATAGCTCACTGCAGCCTTTAACTCCTGGGCTCAAGCAATCCTCCTGAGTCGCTAGGACTACAGGCACATGCCACCATGTCTGGCTAATTAAAAAAAAAAGAATTATTTATAGAGACAGGGTCTCACTATGTTGCCCAGGCTGGGAAGGGCTTTAATTGTGGAAACTTCAGGCTCTCAGGCAGACAGCAGAGGTATTTAGGTGATGACTTATTAATCTACAAGTATGTCCTGAATAACTGCTTAGGACCCAGGTCTATGTTCAAGGTTAGGTACTACCAGAGATAGATAGAGGATGTCCCTAGCCCTCGAGTGCCTTCTATTTCGTTTTATATTAGTGTGGAAATATCAGACTAAACCTTGAGTATTAGAAGGTAAAAGTCAAGGATGAAAAGGGAAGTGTAAAGGTATAGGCTACAGGTGTGGAAGGAATGGAGCGGAGCAGTCACTGGACATCACAGTAGTCATATGAAACCGCATGCTAAAGCGAGCATGACTTTCAAGCCTCTGCTTCTAGCCTTTACCCACTCTGGCCCAGGCTACTCTTGCTTCTTTTTTTTTTTTTTTTTTGAGATGGGGTCTCACTCTGTTGCCCAGGCTATCAGGCAGTGGTGCAGTCACAGCTCACGCAGCCCTAACCTCCCAGGCTCAAGTTATCCTCCTGCTTCAGCCTCCTCAGTAGCTGATGCTACAGGTGCACACCACCGTGCCCAGCTAATTTTTGTATTTTTTGTAGAGATGGGGTTTTGCCATGTTGCCTAGGCTGGTCTCAAACTCCTGAGCTCAAGCAATCCACCTGCTTCAGCCTCCCAAAGTGCTGGGATTATAAGCGTGAGCCACCAGGCCCAGACTCTTGCTTCTTCTAATGTAACTGCAGGCTCCTCCCTGCTTCCGGCCTCCTCCCTCTCACAGCTGCCAGAGTGACCTTCCCAAAGCACACACGTGATCACAAAACCCCCCTGCTTCAAGCCCACTGGTGGCTCCCCGGTACCCTGGGATAAATTCCAAACTCAGCCACTCCACAAGGCCTCCCATGCTCACCAAGCCCCTGCTCACCCCCTCAGCCTCATCTCTAACTGCCCCCTCTGGCCCCTGGGGATTCAGCTTGCTTGCTTCCTCCACCAGTCTGACCTCAGTCCTCCCTCCCTCTGTTGTCCCCTCCTCAGGCTTCTGTTCCATTCCTTAATTGGGATCCTGGTGGTGAAAGTGCATTCTAAAGCGCTATGCCCCATGGGGGGGACTAGGGAGAGTGTTTGAGTTTCCAGGCTTCTTCCACACTGAACATATGGTACTTTCACACTCAAAGTGCTTTTCAGGTTGCTTTTGACATAAGACAAGGCCATCAGTTGGGGAGGTGTATGTAAGGGAAACCAGAGCTAGAGACAGGTTTTAGAGGTATTCATCAGAAGATATTTCTGGACCACTTACTGTGTATCTGGCCTTGGGTGCTGGGCATAGCAAAGGCAGATGCAGCCTGAACAAATAGAGAATTGGCTGGCCCTACGCCAGATTTGCTGAATTGGAATCTCCAGGGAAGTTCTCAGGTGAATCTTAGAACTGGGTAAGTTGGAAAGCCCTAACCTGATTTCATTTGTAAGACATATCCAGGATAGGCAAATCTGTAGAGACAGAAAGTAGATTAGTGGTTGCCTGGGGGTAGGGTGGAGAATATGGAAGCGCAGGGATGACAGCTAAGGGGTGCAGGGTTTCTTTTTGGGTTGATGAAAATGTTCTAAAATTGTGGTGATGGCTGTGCAACTCTGAATATACTAAAAGCCATTGAATTGTACACTTTAAGTATTTATTTATTTTTTTGAGATGGAGTCTCACTCTTCACCTAGGTTGGAGTGCAGTGGCATGATCTAACTCACCGCAACCTCCACCTCCCGGGTTCAAGAGATTCTTCTGCCTCAGCCTCCCAAGTAGCTGGGATTAGAAGCATCCACTACCATGCCCAGCTAATTTTTGTATTTTTTAAGTAGAGACAACATGGGGTTTCACCATGTTGGCCAGGCTGGTCTGGAACTCCTGACCTCAGGTAGTCCACCTGCCTTGGCCTCCAAAAGTGCTGGGATTATAGGCATGAGCCACTGCGCCTGGCCAAATTGTACACTTTAAATGGTTGAATTGCATGGTAGGTGCGCTAAATCTCAAAAAGAGCTGTTTAAAAAAAATAAAAAGGCTGGGTGTGATGCCTCATACCTGTGATCCCAGCACTTTAGAAGGCCAAGGTGGGAGGATCACTTGAGGCCAGCCTGGGCGACATAGTGAGACCACCTCTTTAGCAGGGCATAGTGGTGTGTGCCTATAGTCCCAGCTACTTGGTAGGCTGAGGTAGGAGGATCCCTTGAGCCCAGGAGTTCAAGGTTACGGTGAGCTATGATCATACCACTGCACTCCAGCCAGGACAACAGAGCAAGACCCTGTCCCAAAAACAAAACAAAACACTTGGACCAAGTTCTAGAGGGAAGGCACCCACCTCAGACCTGGGTGGTTACCCAGTAAAATTGTCAGCATATATTATGAATGTATGTTCCAGAGGGTACAAAGTAAATAAGCAATTGCAGGCCAGGTGCGGTGGCTCACGCCTGTCATCCCGCACTTTGGGCGGCCAGGGTGGGTGGATCACCTGAGGTAAGGAGTTTGAGACCAGCCTGACCAACATGGAGAAACGCCGTCTCTACTAAAAATACAAAATTAGCCGGGTGTGGTGGCACATGCCTGTAATCCCAGCTACTCGGGAGGCTGAGGCAGGACAATCGCTTGAACCCAGGAGGCAGAGGTTGTGGTGAGCTGAGATCACGCCATTGCACTCCAGCCTGGGCAACAAGAGTGAAACTCTATCTCAAAAAATAAATAAATAAATAAAATAAGCAATTGCAATGAAGTGTGATTAGTCTTATAGAAGGGAAAGCGCAGGCTCCTGTGACAAGAGCAGGTGGGCATGCAGCTTGCTAAAGAAATATATGGGCCAGGTGCCGTGGCTCACACCTGTAATCCCAGCAGTTTGGGAGGCTGAGGCGGGTGGGTCACTTGGGGTTAGGAGTTAGAGACCAGCCTGGCCAACAAGGTGAAACCTCGTCTCTACTAAAAATACAAAAATTAGCTGGTTGTGGTGGCGGGCATCTGTAATCCCAGCAACTCCAGAGGCTGAGGCACAAGAATTGCTTGAACCCGGGAGGCAGAAGTTACAGTGAGCCGAGATTGCGCCACTGCACTCAGCCTGGGCAGCAGCGCAAGACTCCATATCAAAAAAATATATATTTAGGGCATTTAATTGGGAGGATTCTGATGGCTGGGATGTGGGTACAGAGGAAAGAGTAAGGATGAGGCTCTGTTATATGGCTTGGGTACCTGGGAAATTGGTAACCCCTAGAGCTGTTGGAGGAGAAACAAGTTTTGAGAAGATGTTGAGTCTGATTTTGAGCATGTTGAGTTTGAAATGCCCCAGATGTTCAAAAGGAAGTGTCCAGTGAGCAGCTGGATGTGGGGGTCTGGAAGCAAGGTAAGAACCATGTGAATGATTGGCATGCAGCCTCAGCATGTGGATGGAAGCCAGCAGAATGGGGAGGTCATCTAGGGGTATGTTTTGAGAGAGAGGAAAGGGCCTAGAATGGAACCCTGTGGGGCGATTTTTATTTTTTAAGTAGAGACAACATGGGGTTTCACCATGTTAAGACATGCCTGAGGAGGAGGAGAAGGTTGTAAGGAAATTAAGAGGAGACAGTTAGAAACCTAGGTGTTGCGTATAGCAATTCAGCTGCTCTCAGTCAGCATTCACTGAGTGTCCATATGCCCTGGGTGTATCTGGAGACAAGTGAGACTTGACCCTTGACATTAAACTCAGAGTAGTGGCCATCACCCAATTGCCGTCAACCTTCTGAAACAAGAGACCCCTTTCTCGCAGGCCAATGTCAGTCCTATTTTCTAAATGATAGATTGTGCTTCATTAGCAGTTTATATGAGGCACTGGAGTCCTTCCCAAGCTTACCCTCCTGTATCACCCAGGCCCAGAAAAGCCAGGCCTTGCAGCCAAGCCAAGAGCCTTCTGTCCATGGGAGATGGATGGCCTGAAAGGGACACTCCAGGATTGTCTGGGGTGGGGAGGGGGGTATGGAGGGAAAGGAGGGTCATGTCATATGTCTGGGGTTCAGCAAATTGTACCCACATACCAGGCACAGAAACATACAAGGAAGGCACCCCCGCTCTGTGGGCGAGACAAAGCAGCAATCCTCTTCCCACATGCCAACCCATCTTTTTCTTTGCCTTCACAAACGTGCCTTTTTTCTTTCTTCTTTTTTTGGTCCTCTGCAGCTTGGAATACATGAGGAAGAAGAGTGGGAGACAGGAGGAAAGGTAAGGTTGGGAGAGGGCAAGAGGAAAGGAGGAGAGTAGAGGGAACACTCCATCGATTGCCAGCACAATAAACTGTATCATGGACTACTTCAGCCTGGCCCCTGCTTTGCAGTGTGCGTGGAGCAGTTTCCTCTGGGCAGAGTCTCAGAGATGATGGCCAAGGCGACTGTGGCCTCAATGGACTTAACTGATAGGGCACTTCTCAGTGTGTCACAGGCCTTGGAGGCCCACTTCCATCTGTCCCCTCAGAGGCTGGGCAGACGCTTTCCCTGCCCTGATACCTTTGACTCATGATGGTATCGTCAACTGCCCATCACCTGAGGCAAGGGGCTCCCAACTGTCCTCAGTCCCAAACAGCAGGAACACCTGCCTCCCTGACCCACATGACAGCAGGGTAGGGGGTGGGAGAATGCTATGGGCAGGTTTGCCCTGTGGGAGGCCCCTGTGAGGCAGAGGGGGTCAGGAGAGATACAGAGGTGGGAGGACAAGGGTTCTCTCTGCCCCTCCACCATCTCAGGAACCTGGGCATGGGCCTGGGTGTAGGAGGCCATCCAGCCTGCCTTCAAGCCACTGATGGAGAGAGGCTGACTGGCTGTCCTGGGGTTGATTCATGCTGCTCTGAGCCAGATAGGCATCATGTGCTTCACCTGGCTGTGCTCACAGTGCCCTCATTCCAGCTCCTGTCCCCTTCCGATCCTCACACCCACCCCTGGCTAGAGCTGAATACTAGGCTCTGGCCTCAGGACTCTGCAGAGCACAGAGTCTAGGGTCTGTCCCTTCCCAGCATTGGAGAGCAGGGATTCTTAGTGACAACGCCAGTGGACCCCTTGGCTGGGATGATGACATTTTTCCATCCTCCATTTCTTGCCCAAGCCCTGCTCTCTCCTGTGTACTGAGCTGTGAGCTCATGCAGGCTCAGTCACCCCCATCTGCACTTTCCCAGGACCTGGTCAACCAGTGTTCACTTCCTCTTCCCCCACCATGACAGGCTATGCTTTTGATGCAGGTGGATAGCCCTGCTCTACCAATGGGCCTCTTGTGGGGGCCTCAGGACTGAGGGCTGCTAGGGGCGGTTCTGGGATTGCCGGCCTCCTCCAGGGACCCCTGGGGCAGGCCCCAGCTGTGGCCAGCCTTGGGTGCTGGCCTGGTCTCCATCATTTGTTTGCCTCCTCTGCCCCATGCTGCTCCAGCTCACCACCCCAAATACTGAGCTGCACCATCCCGTGCCACCCTTCGTTACCCAGAGAGCAAAGAGCCGCGCCAGTGTGCAGAGGGCTGCCTGCCTGCCCCTGCCCACCCTCGCCCCAGCGTCTGGAATGAGCCACTTGCATCCACACAGGTGCTTCCTGTGCTTCTTCCTGTTGCCGTTTTTTCTGCTCAGCTTGGCTTCCCCAGCAGGTGGTTAAAGCCCCAGCCAAACCTCTTCATACCTAGCTCTAAAACACTGGGGGGCAGGGCTCCCTGGGGATCTGGGTCACCCTCCAGAGGACTGTTGGCACTTCACTGGCTCTTCCTGAGGGCAGGCTCCCCAACGTGACACGTCCTGCACAGGCCAAGCTGCTGCCACAGGTACTGGGACATCAGAGTGGCCTCAATGAGTCAGGGAAGTGCTGCGTATGCACCACCTCCTTGCCCCTGGATACTGGAAGTGCTGAGGGAGAGGGGAAGGGTGGAGAGCCTGTTTCTCTAGCCACGGGTGTGGGCCTCCCTCAGCCCCTCCTTAGAACAGGCCTGCCATCCTGAAGTCCCACCCCACACTCCAGTTCCTCACGCAGGACTCAGCCTTCTGGGGTTAACACATTCACTGGCCAGGCAGCTCTGGGGCAAGGCGAGGCGGGGCAAAGGCAAGCCCTCTCCTGGGATCTCTGCTTCCTGAAGCAGCACAGGTTGGCCGGCTGTTGGGGATCACAGAGTTCAGGCACGTTTGTTATTATAGAGGGGGAGACAGCTGGAGAGGGAAGGGACTTGCTGTCTTGGGTCACAGGTTAGCCATCCAGGTCTCCTGCCTCCCAGGTCCCAGCTCTTCCCCTCCGCAAGGAGCTCCTCTCCCCTGCCATCCAGCTTCAAGGAGCTCCTTCAGCCCCCTCTGCAGAAAGCTGCCCAGGCTGCAGAAGACCCAAACCTGGCATCTGCTGACGCGGATCTGCTGCCCCCTGGTGGGCAGAAGCTCCAGCCACCCCGTGCCTCCTTTCCCTTCCTGTTTTTCCTTTCCCTTCCCCTTTGCTCCCAGGCCACAGCCTGGGATTGGCACCCTTTGGTGTTTTCTGGGCCAACTCCAGTTTAGCTCCACCTTGGGCCGTAGTTCCCAGGCCCAGGGTAGGCCCCACCTGCAGGCTGAACCACCCTTTTCCCCTGCTCTCTTCTCCAAGCCCAGTTCCAGCCTCTGGGCTTTCTTCCACCTGAATTTCCAGGGCAAGTGCACATGGCACTGTCACAGCTGCAGTGTGAACACACCAGTGTCAGGCAGGGCCACAGCCAGAGGGTGTTGGAGCAGAGGGTCAGGAGTGTACCAGGCCATGTAGGAAAGACATTTTGCTTTTTTATTTTCTGTAAAACTCTGTAAATAAAATACAAAACCAAGGGATGTGGCTGGGCAGCGGCAGGGTGGCCAAGCCCCAGACACTGATTTGTGGCAAGGGATGTGCTGAGCCGAGGCTGGGAGGCACTTGACTGCAGGCACTGACTCTCCAACCCCAGGGGCAACAGAAGAATATATTAGATTTTCATTGCTAGGAATCTGTGGGGGAGGGGTATCTGGAGCCAGCCCTTACCCTCCCTGCCAGTGCCTGGTGAGCCCTGAAAGTGGGGGGAAAGGGGCACCAGGAACCCATGGGTGAATAGTTTAGAATGCTGTGCTGGCCATGCTGCCAGGCCCAAAGATGCGGGGCAGGGCGTCCAGGGACTCCTCCAGCCGTCGATGGGCAGACTGTCCCTCTTCTCCTGTAATGAGTGAGGATGAGGTCAAGGGTGGCCCTAGCCCCATCCCACTCTCCCACCCCTGGCGCCATCTCTCCTACTCCCATCAGCCAAGATGTCCCAGAACTCCACCCATCTCTTCCATCCCCCAGCCTCACCACACTGCTGTAGGCTTTGCCGGGCAGCTTCCCTCACAGCTTCTGTGTCAGTTTGGCAGAGGTACACCAGGGGCTCAATGCCCTCGGGAGCCTGTCAGGGGAGGGAGCATTGAGGTGGGCTCAGGGGAGCAGATGGGAGGGTTTCAGGGGTGGGGGTGCCGGAAGCGGACAGAGGGGTGGGAGGGTTGGCAGGGGTCACCTTGATGCAGCCTAGGGCCAGGCAGCCAGCCACTCGAGTCTGCACGTCCTCATCCTCCAGCTGGTCCAGGAAGCACAGGAGGGCCTGTGGAAGGGTGGGAGGACAGACTTAGCCAGACAGTGGGAGTCCAGGACCCCAGCCCTCGCCCTCAAGGGAGCCCTGTCCAACTCACCCTCTCCCGGAAGGTAGGGCCCAGTGACAGGCTCCGGAGCTGGGTGCTGACAGCAGCCATGACCTTGTTGTTGCCATGGACGAGCAGGGAGCTGAGGGCCCGCAGCCCGTCCCTTCGCAGACGCCCCTCGGGCGCCAATCTCAGGGCCTTCAGCACAACAGCCTGATCATCCGAGTTCAGATTCCGCACCAGTAGCACTGAAAAAAGGGGATATGGTGGGTGGGTGGGCAAGGTGGCAGGGTGAGGAGCCCCCGAGGTTGGGGAGGGCTTGTCCTCATGTCCTCAGACCCCAAGAGGCCACTATGTGATCAGGGCCACCGCCTCACCCTCCTCAGCGGTCTCAGTCACGTAGGCCTCCATGGTGGGGCTGTCCAAGGTTTCCACAAAACTCCAGAACTGGAAGACTGTGAGCTGCTCTCCAGGCCCTGGCTGGGGCCTTCTGGGCAGCTTCTGCCCCAGGGCATCCTCCAGGAACTTCACACACACTGCAGGAGGCAGTAGCA
This sequence comes from Homo sapiens, assembly GCF_000001405.40. Lineage (NCBI taxonomy): Eukaryota > Metazoa > Chordata > Mammalia > Primates > Hominidae > Homo > Homo sapiens. Next base: position 67,545,357 of record NC_000016.10, on the reverse strand, counting down.
TGGGCCTCAGAGTTTGGGTGAACACAGCTTTTAGAGGGGAGAGATGCTCCTATCCCAGGCTCAGGTCCAGGGGCCCCCTGTTCAAACCCCACCCATCTGGGTCCTTCTGCTCTAAGGCCCAAGTCTTTGCTGGTCTCCTCGGTGCCCAGTTCGTTTATCTGTGTGGGCTGACCTGGCTTCCCCGAGCTTCCTGTCACTGGGAATCTGAGCAAGGGTGGAAGGAGGAAGCAGCCCACTCACCAGCCTCAGCCAAGCCTGGCTGGCGCAGGGAGAGGCGGGCACCATACTGGTTGCAGAAGGTGAGAAGCACCCGCTCCACCGGGCAGAGGAAGCAGCTGAGTCTCTCTGTGCACTGGTCCCAGAAGGTCAGGAAGCCAGGCCGAGAGGCCGAGAACTGCACCACTGTGAGGGGGTGAGGGAAACCGTCAGCAACAGGCAGGCAGGTGAGTAGAGAGCATGCAGATGGCAGTAGGCTGAGGTAGGAGCTTCAAGGCAGATGGCAGAGCCCGAACCCCCAGGGCCTTTACCTTCCTGGGCAGAGCTGGCCGGGATCTCCCACCGCCTGCTGAACTCGCATACTGCCTCCAGTACTCGGGCTTCCCGCAGCAGCCGCTCCAGGGCCCATGCCTCCTGGCAGCGCAGGGGCCCAAATGTGCCCAGTTTCTGGAGAACATGGGTGGCCAAGTAGCTCAGGCCTCAGGGTAGGGCTCGGGAGGATCGTGCTCAGGGACAAGTCCCAGCATGCACTGGGGGAGGTTGGGGTTGCAGAGTTGGGAGATACTCCATTCAGCAAGGGCCAGATGCCAAGGGCCCTGGGGCACTGGGGTGTGGCACTCAGAGGAGGTATAGAGGACCAGGATGGAAGGGCAGGACTCCCTGGGGTTAGGGGTTACAAAGGAAGGGTGGGGGAACACCATCAGCCTCACCAGCAGGAGGCGACTGCAGTGGTACAGGTGCCGGACCAAGGCAGCATCCAGAGCTGGACACCCCGTGCTGAGGGGGCGGGCACTGGGTGAGTCTATGCTGTCCTCAGCCCCAGCCTCCGGGCTGCTTGGAGGCCTGAGGGAAAAATGGGGTCCACCACCCCACAGGCACACATCACCACCTGGTCACCAGCGTTTATTTTTATTAAGCTTCCCCCATGCCAGAAAGGAAGAAGATGATGCACCGACAGCAGACAGTGGGGTAAGTTCATGGAGGATTTCCAGAAGGAGGAAGGGGCTGGGACCAGCAGGTGGTAGTAGGGATCTCTGGAGTCAGTCTGCGCCATGCTACCTCCAGCTGGGACCACTGGGGATGGCATGGGTAGGAGTAGGCTGCAGGCGGGATGGTTTATGACAAGTGGACTGCAAAGGGTGCAGGGCATGGGGCTGTAGCCTGGGCAGCAGCAGAGGAAGGAGGGACCTGGCACAACTCTCAACTGGGAACCAGCAAAGGCCACTCCAGGACTGACAGTTGAGGGGCCAGGGCCTCTGGGAGAGTCGGGGTTGAGAAGGAGTGGGGCAGTGCTGGGGTCCCAGGGTGCACGGCGAGACACTGAGAGAGCTCCTTAAAGGGCAGGTCCAAGGTGAGGCCAAGGGGAAGAGGAGGGGCTGGAGGCACCCAAGCTGATGGGGACCGGCAGGGGAGGCAGACATTGCAGAGATGAAGAGGGCGGTCAGAAGCACTGGGGACACACGTAGGGTTGGAGACATGGGCATGAAGGACATGGGAGGGGTGGACACAGGTGCACCTGCCAGCAACTCAGTCCTCACATGCTCCACCTGGCCCTGCCTCACCTGTCCTGTCCTTTGACTTTCTCCCAATTCACCTGTTCCACCTTCCCCTGGTCCTGCCTCACCTTTTCCCTCTCACCTAGCCTCACACCCATCTTGCCTAGCCCCCTCACCTGTCCCCAGGAACATCATTGTCTTCATCTTCGTCTTCATTGAGGAAGCTGAAGCTCTCCAAGGCATGCTCCACAGTGATGCTGAGACTGGAGGCCCGGCTGCGAGTCAGACCTTGTCTCTGCTGAGGTTGTGAAGGGCATCAGAGCGGCTGCCGCCCCCTGGCTGCCCTCCCTGGTTGCCCTAGCCCAGCCCAGCCCTCCTCACCATGAGCAGACTTTCTAGGCGGGTCACCTCCTGCTCCAGGCCCTGCAGCTCAGGAAACTGGCCACGGTAGTCATCCAGGGCAGCCATTAGGGCCCCCAGTGCCTCCTCCAGGCTCCTGTCCCCAGACCCTCCGGCTGCCGTTGGGACTGGGGTCTGGACAGCCATGGCCAGGCAAAGGTCTGAATGCTGGGGTGCAGGGGTTGGGGGTGAGGGAGTGGGGCTTAGACTCTGAACCGTAGACTCTGAGGGATCTGGGGCAGGGCTTGTGAGGGGTTTCCTACTGGAATGGGCAGGACTTGGGTGGGGAGTTCTGGGGGCCATAGGGTCTGCCTGAGTGTAGGAATTGGAGACTGGGGGACTACAGGGAAGGGAGTCAGTGCCTGGGAGGGTGGGGTCTGAGTGTTTGGAGGGGCTGGAGAGGGTAGCAAGTTCTAGAGAAGTGGAAGGGCTTACATTTATAAGGATGGGGCTTGTGGTGGGATGGGTGGGGCTTGTGGTAGGATGGGTGGGACTTGTGGCAGTCTGGACTAGGCCCATACCACTGGGGGTAGGACTTGTAGTGGTGGGAGGTGACATACTGGTTTTGTGGGTGGGACTTGTGGGGGTATGGGTGGGGCTTGTGGAAGTATGAGTGGGGCTTGCTGTGGTATGGGTAGGGCTTGGCATAGTGTGGGTGGGGCTTGTGGTAGTCTGGACTGGGCCTATGATATTGAGGGTAGGGCCTGTAGTAGTAAGGGTAGAGATTATGGGCTTGTGGGTGGAGCCTGTAGTAGTGTGAGTGAGGGGGCTTGGAGCACTGTGGGTAGTGGTAATGGCACTATAGGTAGAGCCTGTAGTGGTGTGAGTGGGGCCTGGCAGTTCTGAAGGGCCAGAGTCTGTGGACTTATGAACTGAGTCTAGGTGTGCAGATGGGGCAGGGTCTGTAGATGTGGGGACAGAGCCTGTTGTACCGAGGGTAGAGCTTGTGGCAGAGTGGCCAGGGTCCAGGGCAGGAGGAACAGGACTGGGGTGCTCTCCATGGGTGGGAGCTGGGTGTGTAGGTGGGCTAGGTCCCCAGGCTAGGCTTTCTGGGCCAACGGCCTCCACTGAAGCCTCAGCCAAGGCAGCATCTACACTAGCCTCACTGATGTGGCTCAGAGTCCGACTGTAGGGTGCATGCCCATTTGCCAGGACTGGGGCCACGGCCCCCTCCTCATCCAAGGGCCCAGAGCTGGGGGTCTCAGGCCTGCGGAAGGCAACTTGGATGGGAAGGGGCTCGGGCTGCTGCACCAGGGGCCTAGGGGCTGGTGAGTGGCGGGCAGTGCCTGAGAGCTGTGGGCTGGATGAGTCGTCTGAAGATTCAGATGACAGGGACCATGCTGTCCCATTCTCCAGCTCCTCCTGCCGTCGCAGCATGTTCTGAGAAAGAGGAGAGGGCATTTCAGAACCACCCCCAGGGAGCCTCTGGGGGATGGTGAGGCCTGGACCTGGGCTATGACTCACATAGAAAGCCTGTTCCCGAAGTGAGGGTGTGTCCGGTGGGCTCTGGCTATAGGTGGAGAAGCGCTTGGTGACTGTGGAGGCCTTGTTGACAGAAGAAGCAGCTGAGGGCTGGTCATCCTTGTCGAAGGGGCTGGGAAGGGAAGAGGCTGTTGGCAGGTGCCACAGCCCTCCTGGCCCTCCTCCAAGCCTCTCAGCCCCACCAACCTCCATGTGACTTCCAGGCTGAGCTTGATGGTACCAAGGTCATTGATATCCACAGCCACAACCTGGGGCAGGGCGGCAAACAGGTCCTTGGTCTCACAGGAGACACTGCCCACAACCACATGGTTGGCCAGGCCCTTCAGTTCTGTCACCTGTAGCCAAGAGTGCATGGTAGGGTCACAAGGGTGCAGGGGCTATGAGATCATGGGAAATCTGAGGTCTGAATTTGCATAGAACTTATAAAATGGTCATGGGAGGCTGAGGCAGGAGGATCACTTAAGGCCAGGAGTTCAAGACCAGCTTGGGCAACATGGCAAGACTCTGTCTCAAAAAAAAAAAAAAAAAAAATTTTTAGCCAGGCATGGTGGTGCACCTGTAGTCCCAGCTACTTGGGAGGCTGAAGTGGGAGGATGGGTTGAGCCCAGGAGTTTGAGACTGCAGTGAGGTATGATTGCACTGCTGCACTCCAACCTGGGTGACAGAGTGAGACCCGCCAACTCCTAGATAGATAGACAGACACATGCATGCTCATGGAGCCATGGATGCTTGAAGCAGCCTGGGAGCATGGGAATCACAGAGGTCTGCATGGTAGGGTCACTGAGGTCATAGAGGTCACAGCCTCATGGGAGCTTAGGAGGTCAAATATTCACAGGGTCAGAAGATCATGAGGAGGTCACAGGGTCAGGAAGCCATGATGTCCTAAGAGTCACAAAGATTGTTCCTCTCAGGGCCACAGAGATCATGAAGGTCATGGAATCATATCTTCACAGGGCTATGGAGCTATGAGGGGATCACAGGAGTAAGGGACTCAGGGTAATGGGGGTCACAAGGGGTTCACAGGGCCATGGTGGCCTGCCGTCCTGGGCAGAGACATCACCTTAATAGACAGAAATTCCGTGAGTAGAGGGAGAAAGATGGTTTCTTCACTGTCCCACACCTGCTTTCCACTACCCTCAATTCGGCCCCGTAGTTTCCAGCGCTGACGCCCATATTTCATGCAGATCTGGGGGAACAGGTAGGATGAGGCAGCCTAGGTGTTGGGACCCTACCGACCCAGCCCTTCCCTGCACATTCTCATACCTCATACTGATCGCCTACACACAGCCTGGCGAAGCCAGCCAGCCCTGAGTTGGAGGAGAAGGGGAGAAGTCGGTGAGCCATATTGGGGTTCTTCAGCATACTCCCTCCAGCCCCCCACCTGCCCCCACAACTCAGTACCTTTCATTCGGAGATGAAACTCGCCCAGCTGTGCCTCCAGCTCGCTCTCCAGCAGACACATGCTCTGGGAGGGAGGGGCAGGGACAGGAGGGGGTCAAGGGCCAGCCACTAGCCCTGCCACACCCTGTGCCTCTGCCTCATGGGCCCCCATCCCTCACCTCCGTGTACTCGCGATGCCCCCGAGTGGCCTCTGCCAGGCTGTCCCGGGCCTCTCGGCTTCCCGGGGACCCAGTGGTGTAGGCACGGACCATGTTGTAGGCACCATCCCGGAGACGCCGCTGGACACAGTATGCCTCATACAGCTCATCGATCTGGGAAGGTGAGTGGGGTGACAGTAGGGGGACTGAGACTCACCTCTGGGGTTACTCACCTCTAAGGTTGCTCACCCAGGGCCTGGCACCACCCCTCTTCTCCCTATGATATCCAACCCCCCACCCCACTCTGCACACATGCTGCACTCGTACCTTGCTGGCATGGAACTCCAGTCGTCGCAGGAAGCGTTCAATGGACTTGACTTGCTGGGGGAGAGGTGGGTCAGGAGGGGCCTGAGGCCCAGGGTCCTTACCCTCCCTGTGAGCCAACCCCTTCCAGTACCATTCCATGCATACTCACCTTGTCCAGATCATACAGGAAGCCCTGCAGGGGTGGGGAGAAGGGGCAAATATTTAGGAGGGATGAGGAGGACTCCAGCAGAGGCACTCAGACTCGTCACAGCTCCCCTTTCTCACACCACAGTCCACAAGCACTCCTGTCACAGTAGCAACTGACGCCCCTTCCTGCTGGTCTAGCCCTTGGTGGATGCTGGTAGCACAGATCTGGTCCCTTCAGCCCCCTCCAGGACCCCTCCTTCCACCTCTTCCCTGGGATTCCTTTTCCTGCAGCCGCCTGGGGAGAGCTCTCTGCTTCCTTGTGCAAGGTTCCCTCTGCAGGGGAACTCCCATCAAGCCCCGGCAGAAGTGTTCCCTCCTCCAGGAAGCCCTAACCTCTTCCCAAGAAGCACCATGCAGCAGTACCACTGCTCAGTACCACTGCAGCAGAATCTCCTGCTGTCCATGTCTGTAGGGGTCCCACCTACCCCACTGGAAGCTCCTGGAGCAGGTACTGAGTCCCAAGCAGAAAGTATGCACAGCAAAGTTTGGGGATAGAAAAGCCCCTCAGCCTTTCCTGATATCCCCTTTTCTACTCACACCTGAACCAGATCACTTCAGAAAATAGCCCAGATATCACCCAGGGCTGCCCTTGCCCAGCCCTCCACACCAAAGAGGCAAAGGGCATCCGTACCTCCCGCCACTCACCAAGCGGGAATTCCTCTTGGACTCCCTTATCTGCCCCTGGAGTTTCTCTTGCTCCTGCTGGTGCACTTCCAAGTAGGCCCTGAGGAAAGGGGCGACCACAAGAATGAACTCGGCTCTCCAGCCTCATGCTGCCCAGGGTGCAGACAGCAGGGAGAGGGCATGGGGCTGGAGAAGGTTCCTGCTAGCAGGATGCGGGCTTGGGGAGGGATCCCGGGACAGGGCTGGGAACAGAGGAGCTGCTCACGTCAGGCCCCGCTTCAGCGCCGTGTACACCAGGTCCAGCCGCTCGGGCTGCGGCACCTTGGCGGCTGGGTGAGCCACGGAAAACATCCTGGACACTCGGGAGAGCGCGGGGGGCTTCCGTGGGGGCCCCGGCGGGCTGAAGACCGGGAAACTCCTGAAGGAGAGGCTGTCCTCAGAAAGAGGAGAGCAGGAGTCCCCCAGACTCTCACTACGCACCCCCAGACCCAGCCCCATCTGACGCCCTTTGACCCCACCAACCCTGCGCGGCCGCGTACCTGGGCCCCCGCTCGTGGCTGCCGAGGACGCCTGCGAAGGACTGGCTCCTATTGACCCGGGCGCTGAGCAGACGGCGCTGCGGCCGCACCGACAGGGACATCATAGAGTGAGTCCGCGCGGGGCTCCCTGCGGGTGATCGGGGGGGTGTCCAGTACCAGTCGGATCCCCGAAGCCCTCTCCCACGCAGCGGGATCCAGGGCTGGCGCAGGTCTTTCCTGTCGCTAGGCACAGCTGCCCCAGCGGGCTCCGGCCGGGTCCGCCTAGTCCCGCCGACCCGGGCACTAATGACAGGACAGCCGCAGGCGACTCGGCCTCGGACTCAGCGTGGCCTCGGCTCGGCCCCCACTTCCTGCCGAGGTGCGGGCTCCGCCTGCCGCGGGGCAGGAAGGGGGGTCGCGCGGGGACCCTCCTCCGGCTGGGAAGGGGCAGGAAAGGGGCGGCGCGCGCGAAGAATGTGCGGAAGCGCCTGTTTACCCGGGGGCGGGGCAGCCTCCCCAGCCCTGCCCCCGATTTCCCCCCCCAGGGCACCCGGAGCTCGGGGCCCCCCACCCCGGGAGCCCAAGGAGGTCACGGGGCGGGGCGGGGCCACGCTCGGAGCCCTGCGGAGCTGCCCGACAGGCCCAGCCGGTGCGGGTTTGTCGCCCGCCCCCCGCCTGCCAGCGTGACCTGCTGCCCCCAGCCCCCACCGGCCCGGGCGTCCCGGCGCCCTCCAGGCAGGGGGATTCCCAGAGCTGGGCGCGATGCCGAGAAGGGCCCCGCCCCCTCCTCTTTCCTGAGGCTCCCACCTGGAAACTGAGTCACGGACGTGCGCCTCCACCCCGGCATCGGCGGGGAGAGCTCCTCGGCAGACCCCCACCCCGCTTCGGCGAAACACACACTCCTGGCCCCCAAACCCGGCCTGCTTCCCCTGGGGCCAGTCCCTGAGCTTTCGCAGCCCCGAGCTGGGTCCTACCTCTCTTCTTGGTGTTCATGGTGGGTCCGGGACGGCCCCCGACCCGCGCTCGCCCCCCGCGGACCTTCCGGCCCTGGCCACTTCGAGCCGCCCGGCTGGGCTCCGGGCTCGCTCCCAGCGGCTCTGGCTCGGCTTCGGCTCCTCCCGGCGCCGCCCCCCGCCCAGTTCCTGCCGCCTGACTCAGCCCGCCTGGATGGGGCGGGACCGGTGACTGGGGTTCCCCTCGGGGAGGGGACCGACGGGGGGCGAGGGGTCTGCTCAGCTGGGGTCAGCAATGTGCGTAAAGGGATTTGAGCATGGGGATGAATATGAAGGGATAGAATGGAGACGCTAAGTGGAGGAAGTATCAGACATTAGAGTAGGGGGCTTAAAGAGTCGCTATTGAGGCCGGGCACAGTGGCTCACGCCTGTAATCTCAGCACTTTGGGAGGCCGAGGCGGGCGGATCACGAGGTCAGGAATTCGAGATCAGCCTGACCAACAAGGTGAAACCCCGTCTCTACTAAAAATACAAAAATTAGCCGGACATGGTGACGCGCGCCTGTAATCCCAGCTACTCAGGAGGCTGAGACAGGAGAATCGCTTGAACCCGGGAGGTGGCGCCACTGCACTCCAGCCTGGGCGACAGAGCGAGACTCCGTCTCCCCCAAAAAAGAGTGGCTGTTGAGCAGTGCTAAGGCTGAACACACAGAGGGCTGAGAGCTGGGGTTCTAAGTGTGAGAAGGTGGATAGTAGGGGGCTGAAGAGTGGAAAGATGGGCTAAGGGTGCTGATTGGAGGGGCTGTGCCAATGGAGGGCGGAGAGTTAGGGCACTGATCACCAGGGGACTGAGGCTGAGAAGAGAGGCTGAAAGTGTGAGGCTAGATCCACCCCATAGTGTGTGCTGCTGCGCCAAGAGAGATGCAGAGAAGGAACTGGATGCAGAGTCCCACAGCCCCATGCACCACCCCATCCCTACTCCCACAGAGGGAGTGCTCAGCCTGAGCACTCCCCTCTTCCCAGGACCCAGGGGAAAGGATCAGGTCTGGCTGCCAGCCAGGGCCTCCTCCCTAGTCAAGCTGCATCCTAGGCTAATGCCCCATCCTTCCTGCCCCCAGCTCACATGGGCCTCTCAGGTTCTGCGTTCCCATCCTGATCCCCATCCCCAGTACCTCTCTTTTTTTTTCTGTGTCTCCCAAGCTGTAGTGCAGTGGCACGATCTTGGCTCACTGCAACCTCTGCCTCTCAGATTCAAGCGATTCTCCTGCCTCAGGCTCCCAAATAGCTGGTATTACAAACACCCGCCACTATGCCTGGCTAATGTTTGTATTTTTAATAGAGACGGGGTTTCACCATGTTGGCCAGGCTGGTCTTGAACCCCTGACCTCAAGTGATCAGCCTGCCTCATTCTCCCAAAGTGCTGGGATTACAGGCATGAGCCACCGCGCCCAGCCTATCTCTTCTTTGAATATCCCATGTCCACCTCTAGCCTGGATAGATGCCACCATGCCCATCCCTCCCTTGACCTTGGAGGGGCTGGATGCTCCCCCATCCCATAAACACTCTTGCTCCTTGAGGCTCAGTTCTCCCATACTGTGCTTACTTTCTCCCCAAAAGGCTGGGTTGGGCCCAGGGGTCTGCATTTCCACAAGTTCCCCCTCCCCCCGACAGATTCAGATGCAAGAGGTCCAGGGACCTCAGTTTGAGATATGTTATTCTCCCCTCCTCCTTGAAGGCGAAGCCTGGGTACCCTGCACCCTACACTGGTGACCTGTGCATTCCCATGGATTGCCTGCCTATCGCTGGCCTCTCTGGTCCCTTCAGCCATCCCCAGCCTTATCACCTGCCTTTGGAATGCCCCCCTCCTAAACCACAACCACACTGATGCAACCCTCAGGCTTTCCATCACCCCCACCTCACCTGCCTTTTACCTGAGACCTCTGGCCCCTTGAGCCCTCACCCATTTATTCACCTATTCACTGAGTGGCAACCTTGTGCCAAGCATGTGCCAGTCACTGGAGATACAGCCCAGAATTTCACAGACACCACCCTGTGCAGAGCTCACAGTCCGCCTCTGCTTTCTTTTTTTCTGCTAGCTCCCTCCTACCTTCTCTTCTGTACCTTCCCTGCACAGCCTCCTCCCCAGCCTGGATCCACAGCCACCATCCCATCACTTGCCTGCTGCAAGTATCCTCAGCACTGCGCACCTCTCTCCCAGCTGGCAGAAACCAGCCCTGGGGAATCCAACTCCTGGACTTCTCTACACCTGCACACAGGTTGGCAGGAGTTGCCAGAGGTCTTGGCACAGCAGCCTGGCTGGAATCACAGAGCAATCCTCAACCTTGGCCAGGCCCTCACTGCCCACCTGGCAAATCCTCAAGTGTGACCCTAGTCATCTTTCTCCTTTTGGGGTGTTTCAGACTTTCTCCACAAGTCTCAGACAAGCTCAAGTCACTCCCACATGAAAAATAAAAACGGGCTGGGTGTGGTGGTTCATGCCTATAATCCCAACACTTTGGGAGGCAGAGGTGGGTGGATCACTTGAGGTCAGGAGTTCGAGACCAGCTTGGCCAACATGGTGAAACCCCATCTCTGCTAAAAATACAAAAATTAGCTGGGCTTGGTCGTGCACGCCTGTAGTGCCAGCTACCTGGGCGGCTGAGGCAGGAGGATCGCTTGAACCTGGGACGCAGAGGCTGCAGAGAGCTGCTATCATGCCACTGCACTCCAGGCTGGGTGACAGAGCGGGAGTCTGTCTCAAAAAAAAAAAAAAAAAAAAAAAAAGAAAAAAAGAAAACCCTAGAAACTGTCCAGATGCCTGTCAATGAATAATGGAATTACCACATAGCAAAAAGAATGAAAAATATACAGTGACATGCAACAATATGGGTGGATCTGAGAGCAAACCCAAGAGAGGACAAATGTATGACCTTGATAATAAGTTCAAAAGCAAGCAAAACTAATCTATGGTGATAGAAGTCAGCCTGGGAGTCTCCCTCCAGGTGTTGTGACTGAAGAGGCCACAAGGGTCTTCCAGGGTGCTGGTAATGTCCTATTTCCTGCTCTGGGTTAAATTTCCTGATTCTATATGAGTGTGTTCTCTTATGAAAATGTACAGAGTTGTACACTTAGGACATACACACTTTTTGTGTGCCTATTATATTTCAATGTAAAATTGGTTGTAAATAATTACAAAATGTTGGGCCGGTGCGGTGGCTTACGCCTGTAATCCTAGCACTTTGGGAGGCTGAGGCAGGTGGATCACTGAGGCTAGGAGTTTGAGACCAGCCTGGCCAACATGGTGAAACCCTGACTCTATTAAAAATACAAAAATTAGCCAGGTGTGGTGGCATGGCCTGTAGTCCCACCTACTCGGGAGGCTGAGGCATGAGAATTGCTCAACCCAGGAGGCAGTGAGCTGAGGTCGCGCTGCACTACAGCCTAGGTGATAGAGCAAGATTCTTTCTTAAAAAAAAAAAATTACAAAAAAGAAATGACTCAGCCCAGTGCAGCAGCTCATGCCTGTAATCCTAGTACTTTGGGAGGCCGAGGCAGGTGGATCACCTGAAGTAAGGAGTTCGAGACCAGCCTGACCAACTTGGTGAAACCCCGTCTCTACTAAAAAAAAAAAAAAAAAAAAAAAAATTAGCCGGGCGTGGTGGCGCATGACTGTAATCCCAATTGCTCAGAAGACTGAGGCAGGAGAATCGCTTGAACCCGGGAGGTGGAGGTTGCAGTGAGCCAAGATTGCACCATTGCACTCCAGCCTGGGCGACAAGAGCAAAACTCCATCTCAGAAAAAAAAAAAAAAAAAAGACTGCTTGTGGACCTTCTGTCTTTGTCCAGCTACCCCATTTCTTACTCCATCTTTCTCCTCTCCTTTCAAAGCCAAGTGTCTTGAAGAGATGTCTACCTGCATTTTCTCACTACACCCGCCTGCTCCTCTTCCCACCCTGGTCCAGTTTCTGTACCCACCACTGGACAAGGTCACCAGTGACCTCCCTGTTGCTGAACCCAGTGCCCATGTTTTATCCTTATCCTGCTTGATCTCAGCAAAGCTTTGGACTTCGTGGTTCCCCTCCTCTTCTTTAAGCCCTTCCTTCCCCTGAATTTCAAGAGACAATACGCTGGTTTTCTATCTACCTCTCTGGCTGCATATCTTACTTTCCCACAGAGGCCCCTTCTTTCCTCCCATCCCCGAATGGGCCTTATCCTCCCCGCCCTTGGGCTGTGCACAGATCCCGCAGCTCAATGCCATCTAAATGTTGCCAGCTTCCTTATCTCTCCTCCACCCAAGCCACTCTTCTGAGCACCAGGCCTCTGTATCCAACTGCCTGCTTGCTGCCTCCCCAGATGCAGCGTGCGCTGTCATAGTGCATGCTGGGTTTGAGGTTCCCAAACCAAATTCACCACTTTCCACCTGACTCTCCCTAGTCTCAACTTCTCCATGACACTCCACCATCTATGTACCCCGTTGTTCAAGACAGAAACTAGAAGTCGTCCTGGATGTCTCAGTTAGCCCCTATGACCAGTCACCCCCTCCTGCCAGGTCACCCCCTCCTGCCAGGTCTGGCTCTTAAATCTCTCTGCAATCTGCCCCCTCACCTCTACCCCTATAGCCAGAATTCAGGTCCAAGCCATCACCAACTCTCCCCTCGAGCCCTACAGCTGGGCTTCTGATGAGCTAGAACCTTCCTGAGGGACCTCCTGTCTCCACTCTAACCTGCAATCATCCATTCATTATTCAGTAACAACACTGACCTTAAAATTGTAGCCACTTGACAGTGCCAAAAACTGTCCTTTATTGAGAGCATTCTATATGCCAGGCATTGAGCTTAGCAAACATCATCTCATTTAATCCTGGCAACAGCCTTATGGGGTAAGTCCTATTAGCTCCACTTCGCACCTGAGAAACCTGAGGCTGTGTGACCTTGGGCAAGACACTTATTCAGCCTTTTGGGCTTCAGACACCCATCTGTAAAAAGAGGACAATAATAATAATAACAACAGCTATTTCCCAAGGCTGCTGGGAGGATGAAATGAGATCTCCTCTCATGAGGATGTCCCTCTATAGGAAGTGTTTGGGGAAGGGAGAATTGTATGTGGGGTAGGGACGTTGAGGTGGACTCACTATACCTAATTTTTTTTTTTTTAAGACGAGGTCTCACGCTGTCACCCAGGTCTCAGTGCAGTGGTGTGTTCATAGCTCACTGCAGCCTTGAACTCCTGGGCTCAAGCGATCAGTTTCAGTGCAGTGGTGCGTTCATAGCTCACTGCAGCCTTGAACTCCTGGGCTCAAGCAATCTTACTGCCTTAGCCTCTTAAGTAGCTGGAACCACAGGCATGCACCACCATGCCTAGCTAACATCTAACTGTGAACACACAACAAATACTAACTGCTATTATTTTTAACAGTCACACGGCCGGGTGCGGTGGCTCACGCCTGTAATCCCAGCACTTTGGGAGGCTGAGGAGGGCGGATCATGAGGTCAGGAGATCAAGACCATCCTGGCTAACACGGTGAAACCCCATATCTACTAAATATACAAAAAAAAAAAAAATTAGCTGGGCGTGGTGGCTGGCGCCTGTAGTCCCAGCTACTCAGTAGGCTGAGGTGGGAGAATGGCATGAGCCCGGGAGGTGGAGCTTGCAGTGAGCCAAGATCTCACCACTACACTCCAGCCTGGGCGACAGAGCGAGACTCTGTCTCAAAAAACAAAACAAAACAGTCACACAGGTGGTAAGTGTCAAGACCATGATTCAAACCCAGGCTGTCTGACCCCAGGACTCTAAATCTTTAATATCACTCTATTCAGACTGATGTGAAATAGCCACAGCCACTCTTGTCCCAGGGAGAAAGCCCAGACTCTCTAACATGACCCACGTAGGCCCTTCAGGATTTGTCCTGTCCCTCACATTCTTTCAACCACTCCTCTCCTCCCAGTCCCCTGCTTTCTCTGTTCCAGCAACTGAGACCCTCTCTCAATACCTGCAAGGTTCTTCAGAATCTGACCGGCAGCCCCCATCGCTCCTATTCCTTCTTCCCACTACTCAGCCCCAAGTCCCTCTCCTTCCTCAAGTCTACCCTATGACTTCTTCCTCCAGGAAGCAGGCCCTGGGTTGGTTCCCCCTTTTTGACTTCCTCCCTCTGAACCCCGAGACCACATAACCCAGTTGTCAGTTCTCCTTTAGGGCCTGTCTTCCCACCAGACTGAACCTTGTGAGACCTGGGGCATATCTGCTTGGCTCACCACAGCGCTCTGGGGGTCCTGTAGCACCTGGGAGATGAAGGGGGGGAACAGTGGGGGAAGCTGGGCTGCCTAGACACAGGAACAGCAGGTCCTGAGCTGTTTGTTGGTGGGGAGGATTTTAAGTCTATGTCCACCCCAACTCCCCTACCCGACATGCAATCCTCCCTCTCCCTTCCCACTGGCTGATGGTATCGTATACCATCAGCAAGTGGGGCTCTGCTCCCTGGGATGGTGCAGGGTGGGGATCCCCTGGGATTCTGGACTTGGAAACCGCTGACTGTTCCATCACTTTTCTCTCTCTGGTTGGCCCTCTGCTGCCACCATCCCCCGAGTCCCATAGGAACTAGGATGTCTAACTGTTGGTACAAATGACCATCATAATGTCCATCTGAGTGACCGCTTCGGGAGATGGGCGGGCAAGATTGCCCTTGCTGGGTGAGAGCAGGTAGGGAAAGAGCTGAACCCCTTGAGCTAAGGCAGAAGGGCCACCTCAACTGGTGGGGGACTGGCTGATAAGAACCAGGGGACTCTCTGGGCTCATGTCAGCCCTATAGTCTGTTCCCAGGATGGGAAATAACCCAGATCCAAGGTTCCAAAGGTTATGGGGCTTGCAGCACAGCCAGGTCAGGATGGCCGTGAGTGGAGGAGCCCTGACCTGTCCGCATGGCCCCAGATCTTGCAGCCCCGCTATACTTCCTACACACCAAGACTGGCACACCCGGGTGCGGCGGAATATCCCACCACCTGGGCTGCCCATCTCAGCACTGTGCCAGGCCAGCTGCCTCTCTGGGAGTCCCCGGGTCTAGCCCCGCCCCACCCCGGGGCCGCCCCGACCGAGGTAAACAGAGGCTAAAAATAACCTGGGCAAGGGGCGGCTGCAAGGGAGAAGGGGGTCCCTTCTGAGCCTGTCCTTGTCTCCATGGCAACTGCCCCCAAACCCGGCGGCTGACGTCATCTCGCAGCTGCCCAAGCGTATAGGAGGGAGGGGGAGCGGCACAGCCCCGGACCCCCCACCCCGGAACCGGGCGGAGGCTGTCGGGTGGCCTCACTTCCTGCCGGCCCCCTCCCTGGTCAGCTGGTTACATTCCCTGGCCGCGCGCTGGGAGCCAGGCGGCCTCCCCCGGGCCGGGCCTGGCCAGGGCTGAGTCCGAGCGGCGACGCAGAGGGGCCGCCGTGACTCACCCGCGCCCTCCCCGCCCGCTTCTCTCAAGCGGGACCCAGCCCAGAGTCCTGAGTCCTCCCCTCACCCGCACCCAAACCCAGACCCCTGGGGCGGCTCACCTTGCTCCTCTCTCCCGCCGCAGTCACAGGACCCAAGCCGGAGAGGGCGGTGGAAGAAGGAGCTATGCCAGTCCTCCTTGTCCCGCTGGAGTATTTTGTACCTCAGCCCCCAATTATCATTCCTCTCCTCCCTCCAATACCACGGAGGTGGGTGTCGCAGGGGCAAGGACTCAGATCTAATCCTCGCTTCTCCCAAACCAGCTGTGTGACCTTGAGAATACTACTAACCTCTCTGGGCCTGTTTCTGCATCTGCCAGATGGTCATAACCCTCCTCAGATGCTGTGCGTTGGCCGAATGCGGCAGGCCCAGGGCGCGGCCCCGCAGACTGCAGCCAGGGCACAAGTATTGTTACACGAGGCTGCGCACAGTAGGTGCTGGGGCGGCCAGCCTGGACACACGTTAGAACTGGCTGGGGAGGGTCTGTAGGGGAGGCCGGACTCAGGGCTCACCCTGGAGAGGAGGACAAAGGGTGCTGAATCTGGACTGAATCCGACCTCTAGCCCTGGTGAGCAGCCCCTTGCCCAAACCAGTTCTGCAGAGAGCCCAGGCCCGGCTGTTGCAGGAACCTTGCGCCAACCTCCATTTCCAGGGAAAAGCTCCGTTCCCCGACAAGGACGATCCTCTCCGGCTTCGGCTACGCCAGGTTTGGGCGGAGAGCCCGGCTCCAGCCCAGGCTCGGTCACCTCGGGGCCGGCCACAAAGCCGCTTAGGCCGGCCCCTAGAGCTAGGAGGATTAGCTCAGCTCCTAGGCCGGCCCGCACCCTTCGTCGCCCCCTCCCCATTTCCAGCCCAGCCTCCCCTGCGGCGAAGGCAGCAAGGGCTCCCAGGGAGCGCGCGTGCCAGGGCCCAGGCTGGCGCCTTGAGCCCGCTCTCTGGCCTGGCCCATCCCAGCGCCCCGGGGCACCGGCCGCCAGGGCCTTGCCGTGGGAGGAAGGCAGCAGCGCCAGGCTCTGCAGGCCCGGAGGCGGCGGCTTTTGTGGGAGAAGCTGCGTTCTCCACGCCCGGGGGGAGGGGAGGAAAGACAAGGCGCGGCCGGGGTCCGGGAGATGGGGTGAGGCGGGACAGAGCCGCAGATCCCGGACCCACCGGGCGGCGCCGGCGGGGGGGCACCAGAACCTCCGCGCCTGCTCCCCGCCCGGCCTGCAGCCCCGGAAACGGCGCGGGACACTCACATGGCTGCGCTGGGCTGCGCGGACCTCGCGCTGTCCTTGCGCTCGGAGGTGCCCGGCCTGGTCGCGCCGCAGCTGCCGCTGTCGCCGCCGCAGGCGCCGGCCCCTCCCTCCGCCCGCCGCCCCGCCGCCCCTCCCCTGGCCCGCCGGGCCCCACCCCCTGCGCTCCCGCGGCTCCCGCACCCCTAGAGGCGCCCACGGCTCGCTCCGCCCTCTCGGATAACGGGGCAGGCCGGTGGCCCACGCAGCCCACCAGCTTGCAGGGAGGGCAGACCCTGGGGGATGTGAGGGAGGCTTTCTCACGCAGACCCTAAAACGGTGAGCGCCAGGGAGCCCCGCCTGCTTGTCCCCTCCCCAGATCCCTCGGGCTCTGGAGACCTTGCGGGCCCCCTGTCCGTGACCACCTGAAACAGGTCCTGGAGCTGCTACTGCTGGCTTAGGCTGGTTGGTGGAAAGGATCCAGGGCTGTTGTGAAGGCCTTGGGGAGTCCAGAAGCCGCCTGGCACCTTCTGGGTCCAGACGCTGCCCTTCAGCCCTGCCATTTCAGCCAGCCTCAGCGTCGCTGTAGAGGCAGGCCGCCCTTTCTGCCACTGTCTGGCTGGTAAGTCCAGGCTCATAGCCGGGTCATGCATTCCCCACTCATTGGGTACTGGTTTTCGGGCAGTCTTGGGGTGGGGACGCTGGCAGGGTCCGGGTACAGGGCCATGTGTTGGGCAACCCAGTCCTTTCCAAAGCCGGGGCTAGAATGCTGGCCCTCCACACAGTCGGTAAAGGTGGGGCTGAGAGTCGACCCCATGTTGGGGTCAAAGGGCCAGTTCCACTCCCCCGCTCCTCCCATCAATCAGACACCCCTGGCCCTTCCAACCTGGACACCCCTGAGGCTTCTCCAGGCCTTGCACTCCCGCAGCCCTCATGTATGTCAGACCTACCCAGGAATGGTTTCAGGGACAGTAAGAGGTCCCTGAATATCTGTACCCCGCCCCCACCAGTCCTGAGGGCTGTTTTTTTGTGTGTTTTGCTTGTTTGCTTGGTTTTGTTTGGTCGGGTTTTTTTTTTTTTTTTTTGAGACAGAGTGTCACTGTCGCCCAGGCTGGAATGCAGTGCAAGCTCCACCTCCCAGGTTCATGCCATTCTCCTGCCTCAGCCTCCCGAGTAGCTGGGACTACAGGCGCCCACACCACGCCCGGCTAATTTTTTGTATTTTTGGTAGAGATGGGGTTTCACCATGTTAGCCAGGATGGTCTCGATCTCCTGACCTCGTGATCTGCCCGCCTTGGCCTCCCAAAGTGCTGGGATTACAGGCATGAGCCACCGCGCCCAGCCTGTTTGGTCGGTTTTTTAGAGATGGGCTTTCTTCATGTTGCTCAGACTGGTCTCTAACTGGGCTCAAGCGATCCTCCCACCTTGGCCTCCCAAAGTACTGGGATTACAGGCTTGAGCCACCTCTGCCTCACAGTTCTCCACTCTCCAGCCCCTCCTCTTGGGCTTCCTTTGTAGTGCCCTTTTCTTTCTTTCTTTTTTGTTTTTTTTTGGGGGACGGAGTCTCCCTCTGTTGCCCAGGCTGGAGTATAGTGGCGTGATCTCGGCTCACTGCAACCTCCGCCTTCTAATTTCTATATTTTTGGTAGAGATGTCCCGGCTAATTTTTATATTTTTGGTAGAGATGGGGTTTCACCATGTTGGCCAGGCTGGCCTCCACCTCCTGGCCTCAAGCGATCCACCCACCTTGGCCTCTCAAAGTGCTGGGATTACAGGCATGAGCCACTGGGCCGGTCAGTGCCCTTTTCTCTGAAGTCCTTAAACCTGGGCATGACTTCCAGGGGCTGAGTTCTTCTCTTTATTCACCCTACCCTAAAATATCATCCAGTCTCAGGGCTCCCATCCATTCACTGCTGACCATCCCAAACTTCCCTCTGTGCCCAGAGCCCTCTCCTGTTTCAGAGCCCCTGGCTGCTTTCTGGTTGACTCACCAGTCCTCAGCATTGTCCCCATCCCTACAAAGCACCACTGTCTACCCAGGCATCCACCTGAGCTAGAGACTGGGGTTTTCTGGAGTTCTCAAAGCTGGCACCAATTGGCCTCTGCCCACCCCTAAAGTCACCTCTCAGCCAGGCATCTTCTGAGTACTTTCTCTGCAGACACCCTCTGTTCCAGCCTCCTATTGACTCCTTTCATACTGCTCACCATGGCCAGGCAGCAGTGTGCACACCATGTGTGCTCATGGGCCTGACCCTGCCTGACTGTGTTGTCTCTAAGTAGTGTGCGGGTAGGAACCACAGAAGTCCTTATCATCAAGGTGCCTGGCTCATAGTGGGAGTTCAAGAAATATTTGTTGAATGAGCAAGTAACTGAACGTGTAAATGCATGAGCCCTTGGCATCCCCCTCTCCTGCCCTCACCTTCCTTTAGCTGCCCAGTCCTCTTGCTTCTTTCTCCTTAACATCTTTTGAATTAATTCCCTCCCCCTACCATGCCCACCCACTCCAGAAGATAGTCCATACTATGTGGTAGGGCCTCCAAGGCCCAGGAGATCTGGCCTCAGATGACCTCACCTCCTTATCTTGCACTTATTCTGCGGCCCCTGTGATCTGGCTTCCACTACACTCCCAGCCTGCAGCTCCCTGGATGCAGCCTCCACCCTCTGGCCTCTGCCTTTTTTCCCAGCCTCCCTTCTGCCTAGGATGCTTCTCCCCCTCATCCACTTGGAAAACAGCTCAGATGTCCCTTCCTCCAGGGAACCTGTGTCCTCTGAGCACCCATTACTGCCTATTGTCCTTGTCCATGGCCAGGCCTGTGACCACCAGACCAGGCACAGATGGCGCTGCAGTGATTAAATGGAACACCTGGGAGTTCACCTGGCTCTTCCCCCACATCCAAGGGGCCTCGAGGGAAGGGCAGCATCCCTCCGAGGGTCACAGGGTCCTGGTGGCTTTCAAAGCCTCTCCCTAACAATTGGTGAGCTAAGCACAGGGGAGGACACAGCTTGAAACCCACTTCAAAGAGGAGACACCTGAAGCTCAGGGAAGGCAAGAACTTCCCATAGAAACTGTCACATCGTTGGGAAGGGCAGACTCTGAGCTCCAACTTGGCTCCCTGGGTCGTGGTCAGCTCGGCCCTGTTTGAATCAGGCATCATTTCCTGAGCCCTGTCCTCTGCCTGGGACTCAGCTGGTAGCTGTGGTGTGTGTAGAAAGGAATTATGAGCACTTCTAACCACTGGGAGATCACATTCTCAGAGGGGTGGACTCAGGCCTGAGAAAAATCCCTGGGACAGACAGCAGAGGGTGGTGAGAGCCGCAATGAACCCCCAGTCCTCACACACGGCACTGCTAGTTCCATTTCAGAAGTAATGCAGTTCAAGTCCGAAACCCCAGAAAAACCGCGGCTTCCCTCACCCCACCCTACAGCCCCCGCGGATGACAACTCTCTGCCATGCAACCCCCACCCCCATCCCAGCTTTCTGTGAACAGATAGAATAGAAGCTTGCCCTGGACTGTGCCTGGGGCCACATCATTCATTCATTTGCCAGATATACAGCAAGCATTTGTGGAATGTCGGCTGTGCCCGGGCCACCCTGGGGTGACCAGAGGTGAGATCTCCCTAGTTCCTTCCCACAGGGCTCACAGTCAAAGAGAACAGGTATGTCCAAGTCTCTGCACCTCCCAAGTCCCCAAATGCTGAGGGTGTGTGTGTATGTGAGTGTGTGGGACTGTGTCTGTGTGCACATGTGTGCTAGTTAGGAAGGGCTTTGCAGAGAAGGGGCCCTTAGCGTGGCTCTTTGTTGGGGCTCCCTAGGCAGACAGTGGGTAGGTCCTGGAAGGAGCAGCTGAGGCTGGGGGAGCAAGAGTTTAAGCCACAGGAGAAAGGAGCAGCCTCTTTTGCTGAACCAGAGCAAAAGCTGGAGAATTGCGTGCGGGGCCTTGGGGCCGGCTGGGGAGCAAGGATTTTACCCTTGGGGTGATGGGGAGCCTGGGCTTTAGGCTGGGGGATTTTGTGGTCATATCTGTGCTTTGCAAACGTCACTCAGGCACTGTGTGTGTGTATGAGGGGAGGCAGGAGGCCTCAAGGAGGCTGGTGCAATTTCCAGCCCAGTGGATGGTGGCCTGGGCCAGGGTAGGGGCCGTGGGGATGGAGAGGAGACATTTAAGAGATGTTCAGGAGGCAGAATGCAGAGCTTGGTGACTGAAGGGATGTGGAGTCTGGAGAGAGGGAGACATCCCAGATGAGGCAGGGGCTTTGGGCCTGGGTGATGGGTGGATAGTGGGATAATGGTGTTTTTTAATGAGGTGGGGAGGCCTGAAGGATCTGGTTAAGGGAAAGGTAATATGGTCAGTTTGGGCAGGTGGCATCTGAGGGATCTAGGGACCACCAAGGAGGAAGTGTCCAGAAGGCAGCTGGACAGGCAGGGAGAAGAGAGAGGGGTCTGAGCTGGAGACATCTTCTGGGGGGAACAGTGGTCAACTGGGTCACCAAGAGATCAAGTAAGGAAAGGCCCAAAGCACCACGGCCTGTTGGAGCACTTCAGTGCATGGTGGGGCAAAGGCAGGCTTGGAGGAGGTAGGTATGAGGCTTGCGGGTATACTTGACCCACCACCAGCCTCCACACCCCTCCAGCCCCAGCCTGGACTCTACTTTCCTTTGTGTGTGTCAAAAGACAAGAGCCAGGGATGCTGCTCCACATTCAAGTCCTGGCTTTACCACTGTCATCAGGCTTCTCCTAGAGCCATTTCTCCTTTCTGATGCTTTAAGTGCACCCATCCGTTTAATCGTTAAAATTGCTATTTGAAGAAGTGCCGCATCTCATTAATAATCAACACAATGCAAACACAAACAACAGGAGACACTATTTTTTTTTGTTTGCCTCTGAGATGGGCAGTGATGAACATGATGTGTGAGGGGACACTCAAGAGAGTAGGAATTGGTTTAAATGTTTAAGGGTAGGCTGGGTGTGGTAGTGGCTCACACCCGTAATTTCAGCACTTCGGGAGGCAAGGTGGGAGGATGGCTTCAGCCCAGGAGTTAGAGACCAGACTGGGCAATATAGTAAAACCCAGTCTCTACTAAAAACACAAAAATGAGCACGCCATGGTGGCGCATGCCTGTAATCCCAGCTCAAGAGACTGAGGTGGGAGAATCGCTTGAGCCCAGTAGGTTGAGGCTGCAGTGAGCCGTGATTGTGCCACTGCACTCCAGCCTGGGCAACAGAGCGAGACCCTGTCTCAAAAAAAAAAAAAAGTTTAAGGGTAGTTTTTTCAGAATTTATCAGGATGGCAAGTGCAAACCTCCCTTTCACCAAATTTCAGCAAATTTACCCCAAAGAAATAGCTGTTCATGCAGGAAAACATCTGTGCCAAAAGATGTTGACTACTGTTTTTTTTTTTTTTTTTTTTTTTTTTTTATGGAGTCTTGCTCTGTCACTAGGCTGGAGTGCAGTGGCGCGATCTCGGCTCACTGCAACCTCTGCCTCCCGGGTTCAAGCGATTCTCATGCCTCAGCCTCCCGAGTAGCTGGGGTTACAGGCACGCGCCACCATGCCCGGCTAATTTTTGTATTTTTAGTAGAGACAGGGTTTCACCATGTTGGCCAGGCTGGTCTCGAACTCCTGACCTCAGGTGATCCACCTGCCTCGGCCTCCCAAAGTACTGGCTTGTTTAATCAGGGACAGAGGGATGACATAGTCCCGCAGTGGGAGATGGAGGGTAAAGGAGGTGCACATAGGCCTGAGATGTTCCATAGCCACTGCAAATGGATGGCAGGCATGGATTGAGCATGTGCTATGCGCCTGGCATCATTCTGGATGCTGGGGACACAGTGACAGACCAGTTCAGCAAGGCCCCTGCTCTCAAGTTTACACTCTGCCAAAGGAGACTGACAATAAATGAGTTAACATATAAACAAGATGATTTCAGAGAGAGGGAGAGAGGAGAGCTGTGAAGAAGCCAAACCAGGTAATGTGGTTTGGAGTGGTGGGGCTGAGGGGCTGCTTTCGTCAGGTTGGTCAGGGAAGGCCTCTTTGAGGCAGTGACATTGGAGCTGAGACTTGAGTGACAGGAAAGAAACAGTCACTGAACAACCCAGAGGAAGAGTGTCCCAGGCAGAGGGAACAGCAAAGGCGGGGGGTTGGGGGGCTGGGAGGTGAGAATGAGCTAGTGGTAGTTGAGCCATGTGGGCTAGAGGAGAGGTCAGGAGGTGAGGTCTGAGAGGTGAGTGGGGTGAGGGCGGGGTAGGGAGTGAGGGTTTTATATCTGAACATGGAAAGGCACTCAATATAATAAGCATGGTGGAGGCCGGATGCAGTGGCTCATGCCTGTAATCCCAACACTTTGGGTGGCTGAGGCGGGCAGATCATGAGGTCAAGAGATCGAGACCATCCTGGCCAATATGGTGAAACCCCGTCTCTACTAAAAATACAAAAATTGGCCAGGCGCGGTGGCTCACGCCTGTGATCTCAGCACTTTGGGAGGCTGAGGCAGGTGGATCACCTGAGGTCAGGAGTTCGAGACCAGCCTGGCCAATATGGGGATACCCCGTCTCTACTAAAAATACAAAATAAGCCAGGCATGGTGATGTGTGCCTGTAATCCCAGCTACTCGGGAGGCTGAGGCAGGAGAATTGCTGGAACCTGGGAGGCGGAGGTTTCAGTGAGCCGAGATCGCGCCACTGCACTCCAGCCTGGGGAACAGAGCAAGACTCTGTCTCAAAAAAAAAAAAAAAAAAAAAAAAAAAAATCTGGGCGTGGTGGCACACGCCTGTAGTCTCAGCTACTCGGGAGGCTGAGGCAGAAGAATCGCTTGAATCCGGGAGGCAGAGGTTGCAGTGAGCTGAGATCGCACCACTGCACTCCAGCCTGGCGACAGAGCGAGACTCTGTCTCAAACAACAACAACAACAACAAAAAACATGGTGGAGTGGAGAAAGTTCCAGAACAGCCTGCATAGCAGGAATCTCCTCAGGTGAGACCTGCATCCATCGGTCCTGAGAGCCACAATGCCCGTCATCTCTGGGCGTTGTACTTTCATTTGGTTTATTTTCTTCTTTGTATTTATTCATACAAATAATGGTTTGCAATCAACATGGCATCGTTTTCAAAAGCAACATGGCCATTACTTATTGGGCCATCTCCAGGCTGGCCTCTGCACTGAGGAGGTGTAAATTTCTAGGCTTGGCAATCGCTTCCCTGGGGACACCGCCTGAGGCTGGCCAGTGTCGCTGTCATTGTCCCCGCTAGTCCAGCCTCGGCCTCCAGGGGGAGCTGTGAGCTGGGCGGTGCTCTGCTGGTTTGGGCAAGGGGTGGGGCGATTGACTGTGTGTCTCGCGGTCTGGGCTGGGCGTCCTTCCTTCCTTCCTGACTCCTTTCTCCTAAGGGACAAGTGGGAGGGACGTCTTCGCCTCTCCCAGCTCATGGGATGAACTGCTCCCCTGGGACCCTTTCAGCCCAGGCCCCCTGACAAAGGAAGGCTGCAGTGTGTGGTGCATAGTTTATTTCTGTGAGTTGCTAACGCTAGGTGAACTGCTCTGACAGAGATTTGGAGGGTGTGGTGGTAGGAGAGACCCGGCCACCAGGCATCTGGAAATTCCCCCGTCCCATCGGATGACGACCTGGGGCTGAGAATCCCCAGGCGGAACCCGACTCTGCTCCTAAGAAGTAAAGTTGGTCTTTGGCGCCACCGTCTGGGAAGTGTCTACACTGCAGTTACGGACTTGGCAAAATACCGCCAGCTCAAGGGGGTGCCCCTGGCGGCCAGTCCTGGATTCAAGAACAGTCACTGTAGAGTGCAGTGCACAACCTGTTCGGTTCTGTGTGACAGCTCTGCTGACACTCAGACCTGATCACGGATCCTGGGAACCCCACCACTACCATTAAAACCCCCTCCATATGCCAAAGCCTCTTCAAGAGGGAGAAATGCTCCCTGTCCCTCCACTTCTCAGTCCTCTCCTCCTTTGACCTTTCCAGGTGTGTTGGGCACAGCTGGTCCTCCCCATCTTCTGAAGCGTCCTTTGGCTTCTGTGATCCAAGAGAAGGATTTCTAGCTGCTTCTCTGGCTATCTCCCTTCATGCCCCTCAGTGAGCTCCTCCAGGAGCTCAACCCCCTTACCTCATTTTTTTTTTTCTTTTTTTTTGAGATGGAGTCTCACTCTGTCGCCTAGGCTGTAGTGCAGTGGCACTATCTCGGCTCACTGCCACCTCTGCTTCCTAGGTTTAAGCGATTCTCCTGCCTCAGCCTCCTGAGTAGCTGGGATTACAGGTGCACACCCCATGCCCAGCTAATTTTTGTATTTTTAGTAGAGACGGGGTTTCACCATGTTGGTCAGTCTGCTCTCAAACTCTTGACCTAATGATCTGCCTGCCTCGGCCTCCCAAAGTGCTAGGATTACAGGCGTGACCCACAGCACCTAGCCACACCTCATTCTTGATACTTCTCTCCAGGGTACAACTTCAGGGCCTCTTTTCTTTTTTCTCTTCTCTTCTCTTCTCTTCTCTTATCTTCTCTTCTCTCTTTTCCATCCCTTCCTTCCTTCCTTTTCTTTTCTTTTTTTTTTTTGAGATGGGGTCTCACTGTCACCAGGTTGGAGTGCAGTGGCGCGATCTCAGCTCACTGCAACTTCTGCCTCCCAGGCTCAAGTGATCCTCCCACCTCAGCGTCCTGAGTAGCTGGGACCACAGGCACACACAACCATGCCCGGCTAAATTTTTTTGTATTTTTGGTACAGACAGGGTTTCACCATGTTGTCCAGGCTGGTCTTGAACTCCTGAGCTCAAGTGATCTGCTAACCTCAGCCTCCCAAAGTGCTGGGATCACAGGCATGAGCCACTGCACTCGGCCCTCAGAGTCTTTTTTTTTTTTTTTTTTTTTTTTGAGACGGAGTTTTGCTCTTGTGACCCAGGCTGGAGTTCAATGGCGCCATCTCGGCTCACTGCAACCTCTGCCTCCCAGGTTCAAGCAATTCTTCTGCCTCAGCCTCCCGAGTAGCTGGGATTACAGGTGCCCGCCACCACACCCGGCTAATTTTTGTATTTTTAGTAGAGACAGGGTTTCACCATGTTGGCCAGGCTGGTCTCAAGCTCCTGACCTCAGGTGATCCATCTGCCTCGGCCTCCCACAGTGCTGGGATTACAGGCGTGAGCCACCGCACTGGCCAGAGCCTCCTTTTTGTTCCCACAGTGATGACTTGAGTCTCATCCCCCACATCTCTTGCTCCACTTCCCCCACTTAGGATGACCTTCGGACACCTCCAAATCCATTGTGTAAAGTCAGCCCCATCTCCTCCCTTCAGAACTGCCCTCCCTCCTGGGTCCCCATGTAATCTTTCCCCAGACCTCTTCCCTGACACCCTCCAGCCACCAAGTGAGTCCCCTCTTCCCTATGCCCACTTTCCTGCCCTTGGCTAGACTATCACTTGCCAAGGATACACATCACTCGGTGTCCTTGTTCATTGTCCACGCAGCAGCTGGATGACCTCTGCCCGTGGGACCTGTCTCTCCTCACTTCCCCACTGGCCCCTCACCCCTGGCCAGTTCCTCCTTAGGAGGGCGTAGTTCCAGCTGGACTGAACTTCTTTGTGTCCCTGGATACACCCTGCCTTCCCTACCTCTCCATCTTTGCACAGGGTGGGCCCTGAAGTGTTTTTTTTTTTTTTTTGAAACAGAGTCTTTCTCTGTTGCCCAGGCTGGAGTGCAGTGGCACAATCTCCACTCACTGCAACCTCCGCCTCCCAGGTTCAAGCAATTCTCATGCCTCAGACTCCCAAGTAGCTGGCACTACAAATGTGCATCAGCACGCGTAGTAGTGCATTTTTAGTAGAGGCCGGGTTTCATCGTGTTGTCCAGGCTGGTCTCAAACTCCTGACCTCAGGTGATCCACCCACCTCAGCCTCCCAAATTACTGGGATTACAGGCATGAGCCACTGCGCCTGGCCTGGGCCGTACAGTTGAATGCCTTTTCCTCTTTCCTTCGCCTAACTGCTGCTCACCCTTGAGGTCTCAGCCGAGACCCACTTCCTTTGAGACAGTTTCCTGGACCGCAGGCTGGGTCCGGAACCTCTCCTTCTCTCTTACAAAGCCCTGTGCAGCCCCCTTCTCTGCCCTTGTCTGCCTCCCCTTCCAAGAGCGCCACCTGCTCTGCTCAGGGTTCCACACCCCAAGACCGGGTGCAGGTTGAGTCACCTGACTCTGTCACCCTGCCCAATTCCCAGACTCAGAGGTCCCAGATCTCAGAGGTCACTGAGTTCCAGAGGGAGCAAGGCCATGCTTGAGGGTCGCCACAGTGAGCCAGTGGCCAGGCTGGGCTGGGACCCAGGACTCTTACCTTCCCCTCCAGGGCTCCCGCGCTCCCCCAGATGCCATCATGAGCAGAGTTGGGATCCTTGAGGGCCCAAGGGTCCTCAACCAGAAGGGACTTGGTGGGCTCCTGTCCTGGGGGGATGGCAGCCACCAGCCCAGGCTCTTGAGAGCCCAGGATGCTGGTGAGGGCTGTCCCAGGAAGCCAAGAGAGCCAATGTCAGCACATCTAATGAACTGCCTCCTTCTTCAACAGGGCTGGGCCGTGGGAGTGCTGGCCAACGTGCCAGGCAGGGAGGACCTGAATTCCTGAAGGTGGTGGTGGCAGCTGTTAGGGTCCACAGGTTAATGATCTCCAACGTCACACAGAAGAGAATGTGCTGAGGTGTGACCTCCCTCACCCTGCCTTGGCTGCGTGGGGCACCGTCTCTCCAGGACTCACCCTGCCCCCCAATAGACTGAAGTCTGAAGATCAGCCCAGTCTTCCTTCAGGCCTCAATGCCCTCTCACTTCCCCAGCCCGAGGGACTCCTGGCTCTTCTCGGAGGCTGCTCTGTGGGGTCCCTCCCTTGGGCCTTTGCTAATGCTGTGCCCTCTGCCTGTGCCAGAGGTGGGCCTGGGCCCGTTTCTCAGGGAGCTCCTGAACACCAAGAAATTGAATTGCTTTGTAAATAAACAAAAAGTGCCAAACAAGCCTGCCTGTCACTTGGGAGATGGCCCGTCTCTGCCCCACCAAATTTGCTAATCAAACAAATAACCTAAAATAGAATAGAAAGAACTCATCTAGACTTTTCTTGTACCTCTGCTCCCCAAACAGCTTCTCTTTTCAGGTCTCCGGAGCAGCCCTGTTCTCTCTAGCCCAGGCCTCTGTCAAAAATTCAGCCTGACCTTAATTAATTAATTATTATTATTTTTAATTAAAAAATTTTTAAATATATACAGACGGGTGGGTGTGGTGGCTCATGCCTGTAATCCCAGCACTTTGGAAGGCTGAGGCTGGCGGATCACCTGAGATCAGGAGTTTGAGACCAGCCTGGCCAACACGGCGAAACCCCATCAACTCTACTAAAAATACAAAAATTAGTTGGGCATGGTGATGCATGCCTATAACCCCAGCTACTAGGGAGGTTGAGGCAGGAGAGTCGCTTGAACCCAGGAACCCAAGCAATATATATACACAAACGAGGTTTCACCATGTTGCCCAGGCTGATCTTGAACTCCTGAGCTTAAGCAATCCACCCGCCTTGGCCTCCCAAAGTGTTGAGATTACAGCCATGAGCCACTGTGCCCGGCCTTATTATTTGAGTAAAGGTCTCACTCTTTCACCCAGGCTGGAGTGCAGTGTCATGATCATGGCTCACTGCAACTTTTAACTCCTGGGTTCACGTGATCTTGCCTCAGCTTCCTGAGTAGCTAGGACTATAAGTGTGTGCCAGCATGCCCAGCTAATTTCTTTTTTTAAATTTTTTTGTAAAGACAAGGTCTCACTATTTTGCCCAGGCTAGTCTTGAACTACTGCGCTCAAGCAATCCTCCCGCCTCAACCTCCCAGAGTGTTGGGATTACAGATATAAGCCACCGTGCCCAGCCTCAGCTTGAACTTTATATCTGAACGATCCTCCCGTAGGTGTTGGAGAAGCCTTCCAGGACCCCCATCCCAAACCTTCCTCCTTCTCACTTAACACAAGTGCAATGA
The DNA here is from genome assembly GCF_000001405.40 of Homo sapiens. Taxonomy (NCBI): domain Eukaryota; kingdom Metazoa; phylum Chordata; class Mammalia; order Primates; family Hominidae; genus Homo; species Homo sapiens. The sequence goes on along the minus strand of NC_000016.10, from coordinate 67,516,947 downwards.
CTTGCTCAATGGCTGTGAGCTCTGTGGGGCCAGGGATGGTGGTGCCTCATTCACCAATCCATGTGCACTGCCTTCCATAGGAACTGGATGGATGCTCAATGACTCTCTGTTGGATTATGAATGGCAGGGGGCCTTGGGCACTGGGATATTGTCTTCCTCTCTGGAGCTGCCCAGTTTTTTGTTTTTTGGTTGTTTTTTTTTTTTTTTTTGCTGAGTAGGTGCATCTCAGTCTTCTATTAATAAATTGCCCGGAGGCACAGACTCTCTCAGGCAAGCCGTCTGGTTCCTTGCTATTTCGCTAGTCTTTCTCACTGTTGTTTTTCTCCCTGAGTTTCCACCGGAGCAAGCGGCTTGACAGTTTCACACTAAAACTAAACACTTTCCCCAAGATTCATCCTTCCTTAGTTCCTGGAATCTGCTTTTCATCTTTCTTGGCTTAGAAAGCCAGTGACTCATTTACTGATCCAGGATTCACTTCTCCACTGGAATTTCTTGCAGGAAATCTGAGAGTGGCAGGTGACATCATTTTTCACTCCGCCTGCCCCCTCTTGTCTCTGAATTTACTTATCTAAAACTCCAGATTTGTTGAATTGTAAGAGGCAATGGAGTTGTTAGTTTTTCCTTTAATTTAGGTAGCCCTCATTACACCACGGCCCTGTACTCCTAGGGGCTCACCCCAGGGCCTTTGTAGAGCTTCCAAGGCCCCCAACCTCCAAACCTTACAAAATCACCTGTGTTTCCTTGCTAAGTTTCCACATAATGACAACAACTGGCTCTCACTGGAAATCTAGAAAGCCATAGGTTTATTTCTAATGTACTTTCAAAATGCCAACCCTTCTCACCCTTTCTAGCTACCCAGAAATCACACATACACACAAGTACAATTCCTAATTTGTAATAATCTAAAAGCTCAAATGAAAATTATAGAGTCCATAGCCTGAACATAGTCAGTGTTTATGCTGTGACTGAAATGACCTAGGGGTTTGGTCTAGGTCCTGCTGCTCGCCACACAGAAAGCCAATCACTGAAACGAGTATTGCCAGGAAAGAAGGCTTTATTCATGTATTGCAGCTGAGATGAGAGATCAGTCTCAAATCCGTCTCTTTGACTGAACGAAATTAGGGGTTTAGGCCAGGTGTGGTGGCTCATGCCTGTAATCCCAGCACTTTGGGAGGCGGAGGGGGGGCAGATCACGAGCTCAGGAGTTTGAGACCAGCCTGGCCAACATGGCAAAACCCCGTCTGTACTAAAAATACAAAAATCAACCAGGCGTGATGGTGTGTGCTGATAATCCCAGCTACTCAGGAGGCTGATGCAGGAGAATCACTGAACCCAGGAGGCAGAGGTTGCAGTGAGCCAAGATCGTGCCACTGCACTCCAGCCTCAGTGACAGAGCCAGACTTTGTATCAAAAAAAAAAAAAAAAAAAAAAAAAAAAAAAAAGGCCGGGCGCAGTGGCTCACGCCTGTAATCCCAGCACTTTGGGAGGCCGAGGTGGGCAGATCCCCTGAGGTCAGGGGTTCGAGACCAGCCTGGCCAGCATGATGAAACCCCATCTCTACTAAAAATACAAAAAATTAGCCAGACATGGTGGCAGGTGCCTGTAATCCCAGCTACTCAGGAGGCTGAGGTGGGAGAATTGCCTGAACCTGGGAAGCAGAGGTTGCAGTGAGCCAAGATCATGCCACTGCACTGTAGCCTGGGCAACAAGAGCGAAACTCTGTCTCAAAAAAAAAAAAAAGATTTTAAGGGTTTATATAGCAGGCTAGAAATGTGATCTTGTATGGGAAAACAGGAATTAGGGAAGGGCAAGGAAGAGGAGTTGGTCAATAGGAAGCAGGTGGCTGGTTAGGCAGTTATTTATTTATTTATTTAGAGACACATTCTTACTCTGTCACCCAGGCTGCAGTGCAGTGGCGCGATCTTGGCTCACTGAAACCTCTGCCTCCTGGGTTCAAGTGATTCTTGTGCCTCAGCCTCTCAAGTAGCTGGGATTACAGGCATGCCACCATGCCTGGCTAATTTTTGTACTTTTAGGAGAGATGGGGTTTTGCCATGTTGGCCAGGCTGGTCTCAAACTCCTGACCTCAGGTGATCCGCCTGCCTCAGTCTCCCAAAGTGCTAGGATTACAGGTGTGAGCCACTGCACCCAGCATGATTAGGCAGTTATGATGGGTATGGGGTCTGGTAACATATTGTCCAGATGCAGTGATCTGTAAAGTTTCAGTTCCTTGATACTACCTGGGAGGCCTGATGGTTGGTTTCCTGAGAAAGGAACTAATCAATAGATCGGAGCAAGAACAGAGCTGTAGGGCTATAACCCCCGTGAACTGAGAAGACCAAGTGAGAAGTTCCCAGGAAGTCCCAAAAGGAGAGCAAGCGTAAACATGCACCCACAAGGGGGCGTGCATTTACTGTCTTTCAATTAAAAACAATTTTTTTTTTGAGTCAGCGTCTTGGTCTGGTGTGCAATGGTGCAATCACAGTTCACTGTAACCTCCAACTCCTGAGCTCAAGCGATCCTCCCGCCTCAGCCTTCCAAGTAGCTAGGACCACAGGCTCGTGCCACCATACCTGGCTAATTTTATTTTTTAATTTTAATGATTTTTTTTTTTGAGACAGGGTCTTGCTCTGTCACTCAGGCTGCAGTGCAGTGACATGATCATGGCTCACTGCAGCCTCAACCTCTTGGACTCAAGCAATCCTCCCATCTTAGCCTCCAAAGTAGCTGGGATCACAGGCATGTACCACCACACCTGGCTAATTTTTGTATTTTTTTGTAAGACATGGTCTCGCTATGTTGCCTAGGCTCATCTCCCATTCTGAGGCTCAAGAGCTCCACCTGCTTCAGCCCCTGCAAAGTGCTGGGATTACAGGTGTGAGCCACAGTGCCCAGCCCATTTGAGTATATTATTTGGATAAATATTTATTTTACACAGTTTTTTTTTGTAGAAATGGGGTCTTGCTATATTGCCCAGGCTGGTCTCAAACTCCTGGGCTCAAGCAATCCTCCCACCTCAGCCTCCCAAGTAGCTAGGACTACAGGTGTGTACTACCACACTTGGCTCTTTACCCACTTTTGCACTGAGTTGTTTGATTTGCAAATATTTTTTCCCATCCTGTGGATTGTCTTGTCTTTTCACTCTCTTTTTTTTTTTTTTGAGCCGGAGTCTTGCTCTGTCACCCAGGCTGGAGTGCAGTGGCACAATCTCGGCTCACTGCAAGCTCCGCCTCTTGGGTTCAAATGAGGCTACTCCTCCTGAGTAGCTGAGATTACAAGCGTGTGCCACAATACCCAGCTAATTTTTGTATTTTTAGTAGAGACAGTATTTCACCATGTTGGTCGGGCTGGTCTTGAACTCCTGACCTCATGATCTCCCCGCCTCAGCCTACCTAAGTGCTGGGATTACAGGCTTGAGACACCGCGCTACCATACTCAGCCTTTTTTTTTTTTTTTTGAGATGGAGTCTCGCTCTGTCGCCAGGCTGGACTGCAGTAGGGCGATCTTGGCTCACTGCAACCTCCACCTCCTGGGTTCAGGTGATTCTCCCGTCTCAGCCTCCCAAGTAGCTGGGACTAAAGGCGTGCTCCAACACACCCGGATAATTTTTGTATTTTTAGTAGAGATGGGGTTTCACCATGTTGGCCAGGATGGTCTCAATCGCTTGACCTCGTGATCCGCCCACCTGGGCCTCCCAAAGTGCTGGGATTACAGGCGTGAGCCACCACGCCTGGCCGAGTCTTTTCTTTTTAAATTATTTTTAAACTTCTTTTTTTGTTTGTTTTTTTGAGACAGCATCTCACTCTGTTGCCCAGGCTGAAGTGCAGTGGCATGACCATAGCTCCTTGCAGCCTTGAACTCCTGGGCTCAAGGGATCCTCCCACCTCAGCCTCCCGAGTAGCTGGGCCAACAGGTGCATGTCACCACTCCTGGTTAATTTTTTTTTTTTTTTTTTTTTTTGAGACGGAGTTTCACTCTATCGCCCAGGCTGGAGTGCAGTGGCGTGATCTTGGCTCACTGCAAGCTCTGCCTCCCGGGTTCACGCCATTCTCCTGCCTCAGCCTCCCAAGTAGCTGGGACTACAGGCGCCCGCCACCACGCCCGGCTAATTTTTTGTATTTTTAGTAGAGACGGGGTTTCATCGTGTTAGCCAGGATGGTCTCGATCTCCTGACCTTGTGATCCGCCCGCCTCAGCCTCCTAAAGTGCTGGGATTACAGGCGTGAGCCACCGCGCCTGGCCCACTCCTGGTTAATTTTTAAATATTCTGTAGAGATGGGATCTTCCTATGTTTCCCAGGCTGGGCAACATAACAACATAATAACATAACATAAAATAATTTTAAAGGTGATAGGCCGGGTGTGGGGACTCATGCCTGTAATCCCAGCATTTAGGGATGCTGAGGTGGAAGGATTGCTTGAGCCCCGGAGTTCGAGACTAGCCTGGGCAACATAGAGAGCCTCAGCCTCACCTGATCTCCCTTCCTTCTCCTCCCTGGGGTTCACGGCTGGCCACCAGCCTGTCCTGTCATTCCTGTCATCTGCCTGACTCCCTCCTGCACAGAGGTTCAACAGCAGGCCAGCTTCAGGTTCCTGCACCTCTGGCAAAACATCTTGCCTCTTTTTACTTGTCAAAATGATGACAGAATGACTTCAAAGATACATTCACAAAAGCCACCTTCCTATCCCATCACTGAGGCTTCACCAGAGAGCTTACTACCCCAGGGCTGCGTACACCGTCGCCCTCACAGCAGGGTTCTAACTTTGCCTCCCCCATCGCCTGAGAGTGAGATGGAGAGCTCTGGGCAGGTGGACCCCCTCCAGATTAGTTCAGAAAGTCTGCATAACTACAATTGTTTTTTAAAAAAAAACCTTGCAATGTGGGTATAAATTTTTGCCCCAGGACCAGGCACAGTTACTCATGCCTGTAGTCCCAGCACTTTGGGAGGCCAAGGCAGGTGGATCGCTGGAGGCCAGGAGTTCAAGACCAGCCTGGCCAACATGGCAAAAACCTGTCTCTGCTAAAAATACAAAAATCACGGCCTGGCGTGGTGGCTCATGCTTGTAATCCTAGCACTTTGGGAGGCCGAGGCTGGCAAATTGCCTAAGCTCAGGAGTTTGAGACCAGCCTGGGCAACACGGTGAAACCCTGTCTCTGCTAAAAAAAAATACAAAAAATTAGCTGGGAGTGGTGGCGTGCACCTGTAGTCCCAGCTACTCAGGAGGCTGAGGCAGGAGGATTGCTTGAACCCAGGAGGTGGAGGTTGCAGTGAGCCGAGATCACACCAGCCTGGGCAACAGAGCAAGACTCCCTCTCCAAAAAAATTAATACTAATAACACAAAAATCAGCCAGGCATGGTGGCATGTGCCTATAATCCCAGCTACTTGGGTGGCTGAGGAATGAGAATTGCTTGAACCCGGGAGGCAGAGGCTGCAGTGAGCCGAGATTGCACCATTGCACTCCAGTCTGGGTGACAGAGCGAGACCCTGGTCTCAAAAACAAACAAAACAAACAAACAAACAAACAAACACATCAGGCGCAGTTGCTCACACCTGTAATTCCAGCACTTTGGGAGGCCAAGGCAGGTGGATCATTTGAGGTCAGGAGTTCGAGACCAGCCTGGCCAACATGGTGAAACCCTGACTCTACTAAAAATACAAAAAAAATTAGCCAGAAGTGGCCAGGCGCGGTGGCTCACGCCTGTAATCCCAGCACTTTGGGAGGCCAAGGCGGGCAGATCATGAGGTCAGGAGATCGAGACCATCCTGGCTAACATGATGAAACCCTGTCTCTACTAAAAATACAAAAAAAAAAAAAAAAAAAAACCCGGGAGGCTGAGGCAGGAGAATGGCGTGAACCAGGGAGGCAGAGCTTGCAGTGAGCCGAGATTGCACCACTGCACTCCAGCCTGGGTGACAGAGCGAGACTCTGTCTCAAAAAAAAAAAAAAAAAAAAAAAAATTAGCCGGGTGTAGTGGCAGGTGCCTGTAGTCCCAGCTACTTGGGAGGCTGAGGCAGGAGAATGGGGTGAATCCAGGAGGTGGAACTTGCAGTGAGCCGTGATCGTGCCACTGCACTCCAGCCTGGGTGACAGAGCAAGACTCTGTCTCAAAAAAAAAATTAGCTGGGAGTGGTGGCGTGTGCCTGGAGTCCTAGGTACTTGGGAGGCTGAGGCAGGAGAATCGCTTGAACCTGAGAGGAGGAGGTTGCAGTGAGCCAAGATCACTCCACTGCACTCTCCCATGCCTGGAAGACAGAGCAAGACTCCATCTCAAAAAAAAAAAAATTTCTCTTCCAAATACCACCTTTGTGCAAGAAACATCAATCTGAATCTGAATTCCCTTCTGCCAAGTAATTACAGTCATGCAGCACTTAACAATGGTAATATGTTCTGAGAAGTAAGTCCTATTTTATCATTGTGTGAACATCACAGACTGTACTTACACAACCCCAGATGGTATAGCCTACTACACGCCTAGGCTACAAACCTGCACAGCATGTTACTGTGCTGAATACTGTAGGCAGTTGTACCACAACAGCTAATATCTGTTCATGTAAACATATCTAAACATAGAGAAGGTTCAGTAAAAATACAGTATTATGATCTTATGCGACCACTGTCATATATGCAGTCCACTGTTGACCAAATCGTCGTTATGCTGTGCATGACCCCGTTGGGGTCCCCTCCCCTCCTCTGGCTGAGAAATGACCCAGGTCTTGCTTGGAGCAGAGCTTTGGCTTTGTGTCCCTTTTGGCCCACCACTGAGGGTCTGTCACTGCCCACACTCACAAGGCCCTAGAAGGGGCAGCTGAGATAGGACTCAAGGACATTAGTCAAGACTGGTGCCTAATTCTTTTTCTTATTTATTTATTTATTTATTTTTATTTTTATTTTTATTTTTTTGAGACAGAGTCTCACTCTGTCGCCCAGGCTGGAGTGCAGTGGTGCCATCTAGGCTCACTGCAAGCTCCGCCTCCCGGGTTTACTTACACCATTCTCCTACCTCAGCCTCCTGAGTAGCTGGGACTACAGGCGCCCCCCAACACGCCTGGCTAATTTTTTGTATTTTTAGTAGAGACAAGGTTTCACCGTGTCAGCCAGGATGGTCTCAATCTCCTGACCTCGTGATCTGCCCGCCTCAGCCTCCCAAAGTGCTGGGATTACAGGCGAGCCACCGTGCCCGGCCTTTATTTATTTTTTTGAGATGGAGTCTCGCTCTGTTGCCAGGCTGGAGTGCAGAGGCACGATCTCAGCTCACTGCAACCTCCACCTCCTGGGTTCAAGCAATTCTCCTGCCTCAGCCTCCCTAGTAGTGGGGACTACAGGCACGCACAACAACACCCAGCTAAGTTTTGTATTTTTAGTAGAGATGGGGTTTCACCATGTTGGCCAGGATTGTCTCGATCTCCTGACCTCATGATCTGCTCGCCTCAGCCTCCCAAAGTGCTGGGATTACAGAAGTGAGCCACCACGCCGAGCTGACTGGTGCCTAATTCTTAGGGTTCAGCCTCACTGGGTGCACTCTGTACTTGCTCCCCACTGAGGTCTTGCCACTGTTCTGGACTTGGTGAGGGAGGGGGCACCGTTCCCACTGCATTGAGCCATGCCAACCACTGTCTACTCCCACTCCTTGTTGTGCCAGTGACATCCCACCAAGAGGAGTTCAAGTGTCTGTTTTTCCTCTGCTATCATACTTCTTGATCTTTGCCAATAGTCTAGGGTAGAGGGGTTGGCTCATGGCCAAATCTAGCCCACTGCTAGTGTTTGTGCAGCTTGTGAGCTAAGAATGTTGGTTTTGTTTTTAATTTTTTTTGAGACAGGATCTCACTCTGTCACCCAGGCTAGAGTGTAGTAGTGCGATCATGGCTCACTGCAGACTCAGTCGCCTGGGTTCAGGTAATCCTTCCACCTCAGCCTCCCGAGTAGCTGGGACTACAGGTGTGAGCCACCATGCCAGGCTAATTTTTAAATTTTTCTGTAGAGACAAGGGTCTCAGGCTGGTCTCTCAAGCAACCCTCTTGCCTTGGCCTCCCAAAGTGCTGGGATTACAGGTGTGAGCCACCGTGCCCAGCCAAGAATTTTTTTTTTTTGAGATGGAGTCTTGCTCTGTCACCAGGCTGGAATGCAGTGGCGTGATCTTGGCTCACTGCAGCCTCCCCCTCCCAGGTTCAAGCAATTCTCCTGCCTCAGCCTCCTGAGTAGCCAGGATTACAGGCGCCTGCCACCACACCCGGCTAATTTTTGTATTTTTAATAGAGACGGGGTTTCACCTTGTTGGCCAGGCTGGTCTCGAACTCCTGACCTCTTAATCCGCCCGACTCAGCCTCCTAAACTGCTGGGATTACAGGCACAAGCCACCACACCTGGCATTAGAGATCCTGTCTTACAAAAAAAAAAAAAAGTACTGGGGGCGGTGGCTCATGCCTATAATCCCAGCATTTTGGGATGCCAAGGTGGGTGGATCACTTGAGGTCAGGAGTTCGAGACCAGCCTGGCCAACATGGTGAAACCCTGTCTCTACTAAAAATACAAAAATTAGCCGGGCATGGTGGTGGGTGCCTGTAATTCCAGCTACTTAGGAGACTGAGGCAGGAGAACTGCTTGAATCTGGGAGATGGAGTGTCTTGCAGTGAGCCGAGATTGCACCACTGCACTCCAGCCTGGGCAACAGAAGGAGACTCCATCTCAAAAAAAAAAAGGTCTGAAGTAGATAGTGGCAATGGGTATACAACATTATGAATGTACTTAATGCTACTGACATACGCTTAAAAATGGTTAAATGGTAAGTTTTGTTTTTTAAAATCACAATTTAAAAAAATTACTTTAAAGAAAGAAGTGGCTGAACCCTAGATCCCTTCCTCAACTCAACCCGGATGGTGCTGCCCTTCTCCCACACCAGCAGATGATAGATAATAGAGTGTCTCTAGACTGGGGAGCACCAGGCAGTTAGGAGTCAGATTATCATCCGAAAAGCAGAATGATTACAGAGAAGTTTATATACTGAATATGTAGGCACTGCTCTTCTTCTCTAGGAAGGATCTAGAATGCCAGCAGCCAGAGTATACCTGCAGGCAGGAGATTGGCAGACACCTCAAGAGAAAATAATAAACACATTGACATTGACATTGAGCAGAGTGGAGAAGGAGGTTCTAAAGGAAATGACCACTCACTATGACACTGAAACTGTGCACAAGCCCCACTCAATGCCTACTACTGCCAATCAGTTTTCTAGGGCCTGACTCTTCTATATAAGGAGAAAACCAATAATCAGCAGATATTAGAGAAATAAAGGTAACACGGTAAGCAGAGATGAAAACAACAATAACAAATCAGAGGAAATGTACATTCTGCATTAATATTCTCAGAGATATTAGAGAAGACATTACATCCATAAAGCAAGAACAGCATGCCTCAGGAATAAAAGGGGGAAAAAAATTCCAGAGAGCAATGTTAAAGCCTTGAAAAACGAAACATATGATAGCAGAAGTGAGAAACTCAATATAAGGGTTGGAAATAGAGTTGAAGAAATCTCCAGGAAGTAGAGCAAAATGACAGTAATGGAAAGTGTAAAGTGAAAGGGACCGGGTGCCGTGCTCACGCCTGTAATCCCAGCACTTTGGGAGGCCAAGGTGGGAGGATTACTTGAGGTCAGGAGTTCGAGACCAGCCTGGCCAACATGGTGAAACCCCGTCTCTACTAAAAATACAAAAATTAGTTAGATGTGGTGGTGCACATCTGTAATCCCAGCTACTCAGGAGGCTGAGGTGGGAGAATCACTTGAACGCGGGAGGTGGAGGTCGCAGTGAGCCCAGATCGCGCCACTGCACTCCAGCCTGGGTGACAGAGCGAGACTCCATCTCAAAAGAAAAAAAAAAAGAGACAGAGAGAGAGAATTTCCCATAATTGAGGTACTATGTGTGTTTCCAGATTGAAACGGCCTGTCCCAGGGTGGCTAGCTGTCACAGAGCAAAGGGTCTCAAACCTTTTGGTCTCATGACGTCTTTTCACTCTTCAGTATTTTTGAGGATTCTAAAGAATTTTGTTCATGTTGGTTATATCTATTATGAAAGGAAAATAAAATCTTGGGACCCCAAACTCATTATGTCAAAGGGAAAGTTAAGCTTGGGAACCACAAAAACTGCCTTCCTTTCCCAAACGGACAGCTGTAATTTCACAGGCTTAGTTATGTAAAATGTAGATCTACTAAGCCCGAGACAATGCATAGTTGACTCCCCCGACCCCTTTTCACATATAAAATGTAGAGTCACTGAGCTGCTAATCACAGCCTCACAACAATGTCACCACTTGCCGCCCTGCCTACCCTCCTGCCCGCTTTTTTCCCCTTTCCTCCCTCCCCTCCTGCTGCCTCTTTCCTCTTTGGAAAAAGCACAGGACACAGATCGTACTGTGACTTGTGTCTCTTTTTCCCCGGGCGTGTCCTCAACCTTGGCAAGATAAACCTCTAAATTGATTGAGATGCCTCAGTCACTTTTTGGTTCACACCATTAATATTTACCATGTGAGAAATTAAAACAGAGAAAATGTTTACATGTTTATTAATTTATTTAAAATGATATCATGAAACCATTACATGTTAACACAACTTTTTTTTTTTTTGAGAAGGTGAAGGTGTCTTGCTCTGTTGCCCAGGCTGGAGTGCAGTGGTGCGATCTTGGCTCACTGCAACCTGCCCCTCCCAGGTGCAAGCAATTCTTCTGCTTCAGCCTCTCAAGTAGCTGGGATTATAGGCGCATGCCACCAAGCCCAGTTATTTTTTTTTTTTTTTTTTGAGACGGAGTCTTGCTGTCGCCCAGGCTGGAGTGCAGTGGCGCGATCTCTGCTCACTGCAGGCTCTGCCCGCTGGGTTCACGCCATTCTCCTGCCTCAGCCTCCTGAGCAGCTGGGACTACAGGCGCCCGCCACCTCGCCCAGCTAATTTTTTGTATTTTTAGTAGAGATGGGGTTTCACCATGTTAGCCAGGATGGTCTCGATCTCCTGACCTCATGATCCGCCCGCCTTGGCCTCCCAAAGTGCTGGGATTACAGGCGTGAGCCACCGCGCTCAGCCAGCCCAGCTAATTTTTATATTGTTAGTAGAGATGGGGTTTCATTATGTTGGTCAGGCTGGTCTCGAACTCCTGATCTCAAGTGATCCTCCCACCTCAGTCTCCCAGCGTTGAGATTACAGGCATGAGCCACTGTGCCCAGCCAACACAACATACTTTTAATGAAAAATAACTACATTTTTCCAAACCAAAAAGAAAGTGAAAACAGTGGTATTGTTTTGTATTTTTTGCAAATCTCTTCAATGTCTGGTTTAATATTCTGGTTTAATTCCCATATCTGCTTCTATACTCAACCTGTTTCAACATCACATGTCACAAACAGCCAGGCGCAGTGGCTCACACCTATAATCCCAGCACTTTGGGAGGTGAAGGCGGGAGGATCACTTGAGGCCAGGAGTTGGAAGACCAGTCTGGGCAACATAGCAAGACCCCTCTGTCAGTATAAAAAACAAAATAAAAAAACACATGTCATGTAGCCTCTGGAAAATCCCACTGTACACTCATGAAAGACAAATAATATCTTTTTTTTTTTTTTTGAGACAGTGTCTTGCTCCATCACCCAGGCTGGAGTGCAGTGGTGAGATTTCAGCTCACTGCAATCTCTGCCTCCCGGATTCAAGCAATTCTCCTGCCTCAGCCTCCTCCTGAGTAGCTGGGATTACAGGCATGCATCACCACACCCAGGTAATTTTTGTATTTTTAGTAGAGACTGGGTTTCACCATGTTGGCCAGGCTGGTCTGAAACTCCTGACCTCATTATCCATTTGCCTTGGCCTCCCAAAGTGCTGAGATTATAGGCGTGAGCCACCGTGCCCAGCTGACAAATAACATCTTAATATTACCGTGAACCTAGTGTAGACTTTATGGATACTTCAAAAGGACCGCACTTTGGAAACCACAGAGTTAAACAATATCAAGTCTCATTGGCTTCATGCAATAAAAATGTACTCCAATGAAGACTGGCCAGCTTCCCATGGAGAGCTGGCTTTTTCCATCATGCTGTAAATTATACCATCTGGAATGCGTGGTTTCCAAGTTTACTGAGAGAGAGAAGGGGGCTGGTGAATCAGGTGGGATGCTTTTAAGGGTAGGGCCTGAGCCAGGCACACTGGCTCATGCCTATATGACATCAGCTATTAGGGAGGCTGAGGTGGGAGGATTGTTTGAGCACAGGAGGTTGAGGCTGCAGTGAGTCATGATCACAGCACTGCACTCCAGCCTGGGTGACAGAACAAGACTCAGACCTTTAAATAAAAAAAAGACTAGGGCCTAGAGGTGGGGCATGTCACTGGAAATGTCATCTTCCTGTGTGTCCAGGAAGAGAATTGGGTGTGGTGAACACTTAGCATCTGCTCCACCCCTGGGGTGATCGTGGCGCTCACATGATCCTGTGACCGGAAGCCTCCACAGGGTCACTTCATGAACATTTCTCATGTTTCTGCAGCATTTTCAAACAGTTGCCCTGTTAGTGACAGCAGTTATAACAGGTGACTTTGACTTCGAGCATTTGTCCCATTCAAATTAATTTTTCTATTTTAATTATAAAAGTAATACATGTTCACACACACAAAGCATCATTTCAATGATCAGAAGGACAAAAGAGAAAGATAAACATTACACCCCATGGAACCTCCTTGAACTGTGTCACCACCCGCGAGAAGCATAGTGAATTCTCTCAAAAAGTTTCTTTGCATCTCTAAGCTTACATCTACATCTATTTTTTGGAATGCAGTTGGGGTCATATTATGCATACTGTTCTATAAATCCGGAAGGAGGGGCATTAAGTAGACAAGATGATATGCAGAAGCAGATGGAAGGTAGAAAAACTCCTCTGCATGAATTCAGGGCTCCCTCTGGCTGAAAGAAGAAAAAGAAGAGCGTGGCTGGGGATGTGGCCGTAGAGCAATGACAGTCAGGCCTAGCCTCCCAGCAGCACGCAGGAGAGGCAGCCAGACCCCCAGATGGACTGCCCAGTCCTCACAGGCAGATAGGGTGTGGACAGCCTCACAAAAATGCCTGGGTCCCCAGCACTGCAGAGTCTTCAGCAAGTTGCTGGGCCTAGAGTCGTGACGACTAGGCATGGTGGCCTTCTCAGTGGTCATCTGTGAGGACACATAACCATGGACTAATTCCCCTCCTACCCTCTGCGTGGCATAACCCTGAACAGAGAACAAACACAAGAACAAACCTAGTGCCAGGAGTGGAACCCTGCCTGTTTTTGTATAACCCACAAGTCAAGAATGGTTCCTTCCTTCCTTCCTTCCTTCCTTTCTTCCTTCCTTCCTTCCTTCCTTCTCTTTCTTTCTTTTCTTTCTTTCAGAGGGTGTCTTGTTCTGTCGCCCAGGCTGGAGTGCAGTGGTGTGATCTTGGCTCACTGCAACCTCCGCCTCCTGGGTTCAAGCGATTCTCCTGCCTCAGTCTCCCAAGTAGCTGGGATTACAGGCATCTGCCACCACACCTGGCTAATTTTTGTATTTTAGTAGAGACAGGGTTTCACTATGTAGGTCAAGCTGGTCTTGAACTCCTGACCTCAAATGATCCATCCGCCTCGGTCTCCCAAAGTGCTGGGATTACAGGCGTGAGCCACTGTGCCCGGCCTTATTGATTGATTGATTGAGACAGGGTTTCATTCTGTCATGCAGGCTGAGTGCAGTAGTGGGATCACAGCTCACTGCAGCCTCAACCTCCTGGGCTCAAGGGATCCTCCAGCCTCAGCCTCCCAAGGATTTTTTTTTTTTTTTGAGTCGGAGTCTTGCACTCTCGCCCAGGCTGGAGTGCAGTGGCGCAATCTGGGCTCACTGCAAGCTCCGGCTCCAGGGTTCAAGCCATTCTCCTGCCTCAGCCTCCTGAGCAGCTGGGACTATAGGCGCCCGCTACCATGCCCGGCTAATTTTTTGTATTTTTAGTAGAGACAGGGTTTCACTGTGTTAGCCAGGATGGTCTCAATCTCTTGATCTTGCGATCCGCCTGCTCGGCCTCCCAAAGTACTGGGATTACAGTCATGAGCCACCATGCCTGGCATTTTTTTTTTTAAACCAACTAAGAAGCACTGAAGTTTTTCTAAAGTTTTTACATTTCTCTCCTTCTCCCTCCATCTCTCTTTTTCTCTCTCTCTCTCTCTTTTTCCAAGATATGGTCTCCCTCTGTTGTCCAGGCTGGAGTGCAGTGAGCTCCTGGCCTCAAATGATCCTCCTGCCTCAGCCTCCCAAAGGGTAGGGACTACAGGTGCGCACCACCACACTCAGCTAATTTAAAATTTTTTTTGTAGAGATAGGGTCTCCTGATGTTGCCCAGGCTGCGTCTCCAACTCCTGGGTTTAAGTCATCTTCTTGCCTTGGCCTCCCAAAGGGCCAGGATTACAGGCGTGAACCACAATGAAAAAAAATCGAATGGAGGCTATTTTGTGACACATTAAAGTTATCTAAAATTCTAATTTCAGTGTGCAGACATGGAGTTTTATTGAAATGTAGCCTGGTTCATCTGTTACATGGTGCCTGTGTCTGCTTTTGGGTTCCAACAGCAGAGTCGAGTTGTTGGAACAGAGATCGTAAGTGGTGCTCTCGTCACTTTTCTTTGCTGCTCAGTGCACTATAAATTGCAGTTTTGGGCCGGGTGTCGTGGCTCATGCCTGTAATCCCAGCACTTTGGGAGGCCGAAGCAGATGGATCACCTGAGGTCAGGAGTTTGAGACCAGCCTGGCCAGCATGGTGAAACCCCATCTCTACTAAAAACACAAAAATTAGTTGGGCATGGTGGCGGGGGCCTGTAATTCCAGCTACTTGGGAGGCTGAGGCAGGAGAATCGCTTGAACCCGGGAGGCAGAGGTTGCAGTGAGCTGAGATCGCACCATTGCACTCCAGCCTGGGTGACAAGAGCGAAACTCCGTCTCAAAATAAATAAATACATAAATAAATTTCAGTTTTGAAGTTACAACTTGATAGTTTTGTTGTTGTTGTTGTTGTTGTTTGAGATGGAGTCTTGCTCTGTCGCCAGGCTGGAGTGCAGTGGTGTGATCTCGGCTCACTGCAACCTTCACCTCCCAGGTTCAAGCCATTCTCCTGTCTCAACCTCCTGAGTAGCTGGGATTACAGGTGCACACCATCACGCCCACCTAATTTTTGTATTTTTAGTAGAGAAGGGGTTTCACCATGTTGGCCAGGCTGGTTTCAAACTCCTGACCTCAGGTGATCCACCCACCCTGGTCTCCCAAAATGCTGGGATTACAGGCATGAGTCACTGCACCTGGCCACAACTTGATAGTTTGGAGTACCAAATGTATCATCATACAATGACGATTTATTTTATTTTATTTTATTTTGCTTTATTTTTGAGACAGAGTCTTACTCTGTCCCCCAGGCTGGAGTGCAGTGGTGCAATCTTGGCTCACTGCAGCCTCTGCCTCCTGGGTTCAAGCGATTTTTGTGCCTCAGTCTCTGAATACCTGGGATTACAGGCACGTGCCACCATGTTTGGCTAATTTTTGTATTTTTAGTAGAGACTTGGTTTTGCTATGTTGGCTAGGCTGGTCTTGAACTTCTGACCTCAGGTGATTCACCCACCTCAGCCTCCCAAAGTGCTGGGATTACAGATGTGAGCCACTGCGCCCGGCCTATTTTATTCCATTACCAGTTCATACCTATCATGTGAAAAGAAGAAAGTAGGCTGGACGTGGTGGCTTACACCTGTAATCCCACACTTTGGGAGGCCGAGGTAGGCGGATCACCTGAGGTCAGGAGTTGCATTCCAGCCTGACCCACATGGTGAAACCCCGTCTCTATTAAAAATACAAAAATGGGCGTGGTGGCGGGCGCCTGTAATCCCAGCTACTCAGGAGGCTAAGGCAGGAGAATCACTTGAACCCGACAGGCAGAGGTTGTGGTGAGCCGAGATCATGCCATTGCACTCCAGCCTGGGCGTCAAGAGTGAAACTCCATCTCAAAAAAAAAAAAAGAAGAAGAAGAAGAAGAAAAGGGACAAGAGTCAGTCATTATACTGGGGACCTGCCTTATGCTGGAGCCTAGAGATCTTAGGGCTTTCCTGACTTTCCAAGGATGGGATTCAGTATGGCAAAGGCAGAGTGGGATACAAGTGAGTGGGATGGGGGAATGGAAAAGGATTAACTAGGCTGCTCGTAGGGCCTTAGACAAAGGTGCTTCCAGGTCTGGTCAGCTGCTTGGGGAAGCCCACGAGGGCACCACGTGGCCCTCCCATTCGATAACATCCCTGTTCCTTTAGTCATGCCAGCATCGAAGCATGGACTGGATGGACTCTTGTTATCATCATGAGGACTGCAGAGCACATGACATCCAAGGACACAGCTGAAATCTCCATGCCACCCATCACTTTATCTTGGTGGCAGCAGGAATGAGGACCTAATAGGAAATCAGCTCACCCAGGCAACCCCATGCAGAAGGTTTTCCCACTTTTCCCAACAACCACCAGTTCTGGAGCCTATATCCACCTATTTGTTCAAGACATCCTACCTGCTTTCCCTTCTTTCTTTCCTTTTTTTTTTTCTTTTTTTTTCTTTTTTTAGATGGAGTCTTGCTCTGTCACCCAGGCTGGAGTGCAGTGGCGTGATCTTGGCTCACTGCAACCTCTGCCTCCTGGGTTCAAGCGATTCTCCTGCCTCAGCCTCCCGGGTAGCTGGGACTACAGGTGTGCACCACCACACCCAGCTATTTTTTTTTTTTTGAGATGGAGTTTCACTCTTGTCTCCCAGGCTGGAGGGCAATGGCATGATCTCAGCTCACTGCAACCTCCGCCTCCCAGGTTTAAGCGATTCTCCTGCCTCAGCCTCCTGAGTAGCTGGGATTACCAGCATGTGCCACCACCATGCCCAGCTAATTTTGATATTTTTAGTAGAGACGGGGTTTCACCATGTTGGCCAGGCTGGTCTTGAACTCCTGACCACAGGTGATCCACTCGCCTTGGCCTCCCAAAGTGCTGTGATTACAGGAGTGAGCCACTGTGGCTGGCCCCGGCTAATTTTTTAATATATATATATATTTTTATAAGAGACAGGGTTTCACCACGTTGGCCAGGCTGGTCTCCAACTCCTGACCTCAAGTGATCTGCCCACCTTGGCCTCCCAAAGTGCTGTGATTACAGGCATGAGCCACCATGCCTGGCCCCTTCTTTTTTTCTTGCCTTTCCTCATCAGCTTGGACCCCAGGGTCGAGACCTACAACCTCCCTCTGGGTCATTATCTAGGGCACCATGCCCAGTGGTAGTATGTGTCCCTCCTGTCTATGACATGCCTGATCGGGGTCCACCTCATGTCCCATTCTCTCTCATACTCCATTATCAGAAGAATGAAGTGCCAGGGAATAGGCAGCAGGTGGCCTAGTGCCTCATCACCCTGTGATATCCACGGATCTGCTGTAACCTCAGTCTTCAGTTGGGGGTTGAGCATGGGGTGATGAGGGTGCATTCATAGTCCAAAAAGCAAGAATCGTATCCTAAAGTGGTGACTCAGCTTGGCCCTGATCAGGCCAGCAGCATCTGGGCTGTGCAGTATTTGGTGGAACCAGTGATTTCTATGTCATGTGTCTGCTGCCAAGGGAATAAGGGGAGGGAGGATCAGGCAAGGGCCTGAGGCCAGCTCTGCCTCCGCTCCACGTGCTGGCCCAGAATAGACCCTGCCCCTGGTCTGATGCTCTTCCTCCATCCCCAGGGTCCTCAGGCAACGGGGGAAAATGAGCAGGGCCAGGTTGGGGAGGGAGTCTGGCCCCAGTGCTCCTGACACTTGCTCCCCAGCTGAGAAAAGTAGACTTTTCTGTGAAATGAGAATATCATCATCTTGGTTGCCAGGTTTAGATTTGCCAAGAATGGGAGGCTGAGGCCTTGTTCCTTCTTGTCTGCACCCCCTCTCCTCTGTCCTAGGCCTTTGGATCACTGCTGAGGAAGGCTTCCCAAGCCCACCCCCAGAAAGAACTGAGCTTGGCCAGGTGCAGTGGCTCATGCCTGTAATCCCAGCACTTTGAAAGGCTGAAGCAAGAGGATTGCTTGAGCCCAGGAGTTCAAGAGCCTGGGCAACATAGCAAGATCCTGTCCTTAAATTAAAAAATTAAAAAATATATATATATACACATATATATGTATATAAATCACGCCCTTGCCTGATCCTCCCCCCAACCTTATTCCCTTGGCAACAGACACATGACAAAAAAAAAAAAAAATGTAATCCCAGCACTTTGGGAGGCCGAAGCAGGTGGATCACCTGAGGTCAGGAGTTTGAGACCAGCCTGACCAACATGGTGAAACCCCATCTCTACTAAAAATACAAAATTAGCTGGACATGGTGGTGTGCTCCTGTAATCCCAGCTACTCAGGAGGCTGAGGCAGGAGAATCACTTGAATCCAGGAGGCAGAGTTTGCAGTGAGCCGAAATCGTGTTATTGTACTCCAGTTTGGGCAACAAGAGCGAAACTCCATGTCAAAAAAAAAAAAAAGGCCAGGTGCAGTGGCTCACACCTGTAATCCCAGCACTTTGGGAGGCCGAGGCAGGCAGATCATAAGGTCAGGAGATTGAGACCATCCTGGCTAACACGGTGAAACCCCATCTCTACTAAAAATACAAAAAGTTAGCGGGGCGTGGTAGTGTGCGCCTGTAGTCCCAGCTACTCGGGAGGCTGAGGCAGGAGGATGGCGTGAACCCGGGAGGCAGAGCTTGCAGTGAGCTGAGTTCACACCACTGCACTCCAGCCCGGGTGACAGAGCGAGACTGTCTCAAAAAAAGAGAAAGAAAGAGAAAGAGAGAAAGAAAGAAAGAAAGAGAAAGAAAGAAAGAGAAGGAAGGAAGGAAGGAAGGAGAGAAAGAGAGAAAATAAAGAACTGAGCTGGGTATAAGCCACTGTCTTCAACCTTTGCAGCACTACAGGCTCCACGACAGAAGTTCTGAACTGGGACTGTTCAGACAATGTGTCTTGTCTTACCACTGTAGAAAGGTGACAAGAGCAGGAGGACCTGGGACTTGGTGTATTTGGGGCCTCCCTGGGTTGGCCACAGCTCTTTCCAGCTCATTCCTCTTGTAGGCTGCCCTGAACTTGCTAACCCAGGGCCAGACTCTGGCCTATGATGAGGAAGCCATCCTGTGTGCTGGCACTCACCCTGGCTGTTCCAGTTTGTACCTTGGGAGTCAGTTTTCTGACCCCCAATGTTATGTCCGAGCTGGAATCTGAGGACAGGGCTGCTCAGTTGGGTTCTCAGGAGCCTGGTGAAGATATCAGGTCCAATGGGGCCTATGACCTTGAACTCCATTTTTTCAGGGCTGTCAATAACAGGAGGAGCATAGGTTGTCATTGGGTGAAGTTGCCCAAGATGGTTGCCTAGAAGGAGTTTAGGGGGTTGGATCCTGGGGTCCAGGCCACAGATGGAGGCTGCAGAGAGTGGAACTTGGGAAGCCAGTGCTGGAAAGGTGGGAGACTCTGGAGAGAGGAGTGAGGGGTGCTCTAGAAAAGGTGATGGGTTGGAGGAATCATAGGAATCCCTGGGGTGTCCACATAAGTGTCATCTCCTGACATGGGGAAGTGGTGGGTGGCATTCAGACCCAGCTTCTCTGGACCCTTCCTTGACTTTGGTTCACCCTGCAAGTACGGCTGTGGGCCGGCCTGTGGCCAGGTGGTCTTAGCTGGACCACGAGGGCTGTGTGCTTTGCAGGCCCCAGTAACAGTGACAAAATCCATTCAGGACATGCTGAAGGCAATAAGGTGATGGCTGGGCTCACAGAAAAAGAGGCGGGGGCCTTCCTGGACTAGGAAGGCTGAGTCATCTCCTGGTGGGTATCTCCAAGGAGTGGACCAGACCACAGGAGCCCCAAAAGACCCAAATTCTTTGTGTTCAATACCCAGCCTTCACATCAACCCTGCTCCCTCCACCCCCAGGTTCCTAGTAAGCCCTAAGCATTTGCACCAGGCTCTGGCATGCAGTAAGTGCTCAGGACATATTTTAAGATAAAGGAATGAGCGCTGCCTCCTCACTGGGTTACAAGGGCCAGCACCTATTTGGTGTCCCCGGAGCTGAGTGTCAGGCCGCTTATTCCTCTGCCTCTAACATCCCCAGCAGCCCTTCCCACTAATTGGCTGCAGGCCTCAGCCATCATCTAGTACCAGAAAGACCTTGGGCTTTGGAGTTAGAAATGGTGGGTTAGGGCAGAGATTCTCAAAGCTCAGTCACATCAGAGCCACCTGAAAGGTCTGTTAAAACTCTAGCAGTTGGCCGGGCGCGGTGGCTCACATCTGTAATCCCTGCACTTGGGGAGGCCGAGGTGGGCGGATCACGAGGTCAGGGGTTCGAGACCAGCCTGGCTAATATAGTGAAAGCTTGTCTCTACTAAAAAACACAAAAATTAGCCGGGCATGGTGGCTCGTGCCTGTAGTCCCAGCTACTCGGGAGGCTGAGGCAGGAGAATCGCTGGAACCTGGGAAGCGGAGGTTGCAGTGAGCCGAGATGGAGCCACTGCACTCCAGCCTGGGCGACACAGTGAGACTCCATTTCAAAACAAACAAACAAACAAACAAATAAACAAACAAACTCTAGCAGCTGAGCCCTACCCCAGGAGTTTGTGATTCATTATGTTGGGGCAGAGCCAGACTTAACATCCTCCCAGGTTCCTACCTTAGGCTGATGCTGTTGGTGTGGGCGCCACATTTTGGGGGATAAGTATGCTTAGACACACGTGGAACAGACTCTTGGTGTCCACTGCTGGTATCTGCCTCTGATGTGTCTGGGGCTTTCTGAGCTCACTCTACAAGTTGGTCAGAAGTGCTAGGAGTTAACTCTCCCCCAACAACCCTCCAAGGGACTGAGACAGGGTTGCTGTATATCTACTCACCTTCCTCCTGCCTTGGGTGGAACTTCTCTGAGACATGCATTCTGCACTGCAGCCCAGAGTTCCCCACCCACACCCCGGGGGGACCAGGCATCCCTGGTGGAACCCTGCTTATGACCCACTTTATAGTGGCTGTCTTCCCTCCCTGTATTTTTGTACGCTTGTTCTTTGTATCCTCTTTTATTTCCTTATTTATTTTTGAGACAGGGTCTTGCTCTGTCGCCCAGACTGAGTGTAGTGGCATGCTCACGGCTTACTGCAGTCTTTTTTTTTTGAGATGGAGTCTTGCTCTGTCGCCCAGGCTGGAGTGCAGTGGTGCAATCTCAGCTCACTGTAAGCTCTGCCTCCCGGGTTCAAGCCATTCTCCTGCCTCAGCCTCCTGAGTAGCTGGGACTACAGGCGCCCGCCACCACACCCGGCTAATTTTTTTGTATTTTTAGCAGAGACAGGGTTTCACCATGTTAGCCAGGATGGTCTTGATCTCCTGACCTCATGATCCGCCTGCCTCGGCCTCCCAAAGTGCTGGGATTATAGGCTTGACCCACCGCCCCCGGCTGGCTTACTGCAGTCTTGACCTCCTAGGCTTAAGCAATCCTCCCACCTAAGCCTCCCTAATAGCTGGGACTGCAGGTATATGCCACAATGCCAGGCTATTTTTTTTTTGAGACAGAGTCTCGCTGTCACCCAGGCTGGAGTGGCAGTGGCACGATCTCAGCTCACTGCAACCTCTGCCTCCCAGGTTCAAGTGAGCCTCCTGCCTCAGCCTCCCAAGTAGCTAGGATTACAGGTGCACACCACAACACCTGGATAATTTTTGTATTTTTAGTAGAAATGGGGTTTCATTCACCGTGTTGGCCAGGCTGATCTCAAACTCCTGACCTCAAGTGATCCAGCCATGTCAGCCTCCCAGAGTGCTGGGATTACGGGCGTGAGCCACTGCGCCCAGCCTAAGTTTTGTATTTTTTATAGACAGGATTTCCCCATGTTGCCCAGGCTGGTTTTGAACTCCTGGGCTCAGGCAATCTGTCCACCCTGGCCTCCCAAAGTGTTGGGATTACAGGCGTGAGCCACCATGCCTGGCTTGTATCCTCTTAATAAACTTCCTGTGCTACAATGTTTGTCTCAAGGTTTTCTGAAGTGGGAACTCAAACTAAGACAATGTCTCTGCCTCTTGTTTGTCTACGACTATGGTCAGGTTCATGCCATTGCACTTGATCTTAGCCAAAAGGCCAAGAAACGACAGGTTCATGCCATTGTTCTGGGCCTCCATTCATTCTTCTGTGAAGTGGAGAGAAGTCCACCAACGTTCTCATTGACTTGCAGTAACAGCACAATGGGTATGAGCATTGCAGAGCAGGGACTCACTGGGGCTCTGCAAGTATGGAGGAGGAAACTCATTTCTTTTTCTTTTTTGACGTAGTTTCTTTCTTGTCACCCAGGCTGGAGTGCAATGGTGTGATCTCAGCTCACTGCAAGATCTGCCTCCTGGGTTCAAGCGAGTTTCCTGCCTTAGCCTCTCAAGTAGCTGGGATTCCAAGCACATGCCACCACGCCCGGCTAATTTTTGTATTTTTAGTAGAGACGGGGCTTTACCATGTTGGCCAGGCTGGTCTCAAACTCCTGACCTCGAGTGATCTGCCAGCTTTGGCCTCCCAAAGTGCTGGGATTACAGATGTGAGCCACCGCACCCGGCCTAATAACATTTTTTATTGGGAAAATTTACATGATATAAAATTCACTATTTTAACCATTTTAAAGGGTACAGTCCAATGGTTTTTGTATATTCACGATGTTATTCAACCATCACCACTACCTATTTGGAGAACATTTGACGTTTTTTAGTTGTTGCAACTAAAGAGGTGTGGTGCTACTGACACCTAGTGGGCAGAGAACAGAACTGCTGTTAAACTTCCCACCAGAAAGAATTATGTGGGCCTGGGGTTGCTGGTAATCCCAACACTTTGGGAGGCAGAGGTGGGAGAATCACTTGAGTCCAGGAGTTTGAGACCGGCCTGGGCAACAAAGTGAGACGCCATCTTTACAAAAAATACAAAAAATTAGCCGGGCGTGGCAACGTGGGCCCGTGGTCCCAGCTACTCGGGAAGCTGAGCTGGGAGGATCACTTGAGCCTGGGAAGGGGAGGTTGCAGTGAGCCATGATTGCACCACTGCACTCCAGCCTGGACAACAGAGCAAGATCCTGCCTCAAAAAAAAAAGAAAAGGAAAATTATCTGCACCAAAATGTTAACAGTAGAGGTTGAGAAACCTTGCTCTACACAATGAAAACACCATCACCACACCAACAGTAATTCAGCAGTATCACCCTGACTTGTTCCAAGAATGCCATTTTACCATGTTTTTTTCTTTTTTTTGAGACGGAATTTTGCTCTTGTTTCCCAGGCTGGAGTGCAATGGTGCGATCTCGGCTCACTGCAACCTCTGCCTCCCGGATTCAAGCAATTTTCCTGCCTCAGCCTCCCGAGTAGCTGGGTTTACAGGCATATGCCACCATACCCAGCTAATTTTGTATTTTTGGTAGAGATGGGGTTTGTTGGTAAGGCTGGTCTCAAACTCCCGACCTCAGGTGACCCGCCCACCTCAGCCTCCCAAAGTGCTGGGATTACAGGCGTGAGCCACCACGCCCAGCCCATTTTAGCATTCTTATTTTAGTCCAGGAGTGAAGCAAGGTTCATGAATTGGATTTGGTTATGTCTCTCTAGTGTCTTTTAATATAGAAGAGTATCCTCTGCCCCACACTCAGCCTGTTTGTTTTTCATGTCATTGATTTTCTTTTTAGGAGTTTAGGCCAGGCCACTTTTCTAGTATATTCTGGATTTACCTGATTGCTTCTTCAAGATTGGATTCATGGTAAATACTTTTGTCAAGAATACTACTTTGGTGATTTTTGCATCACATCAGGAGGCCCATCATATAAGATTGCTGTGCTATTTATGATGTTGAAACTGGAAGATAACATAGTTCAGAAGACAGAATCCGGTGCAGCCTCCCCCTCCCCTTCTCCTCCAAGTATGGTGTCCAGGCAGCTACTGTAGTTTGTCTACCCTTTCTGAAAAGTAGCGAGCTGGGAGAGGTAGTGCATGCCTGTAGTCTCAGCTACTCAGGAGGCTGAGGTAGGGAGATTACTTGAACCAGGGAGTTCAAGGCTGCTGTGTTATGCACATCAGCCTGGGCTACACAGTGAGACTATCTCAAAAAAAAAAAAAAAGTGAAAAACAGTGAAAAAGTCAGGGTAGCCTGAGGCAGATAACACTCAGCCAGCAGGAAGTCTTCAGACCCTCCTCTCTTCTCTCTCTTTTTTTTTTTTTTTGAGATGGTGTCTTGCTCTGTCGCCCAGGCTGGAATGCAGTGGTGTAATATTGGCTCACTGCAACCTCTGCCTCCTGGACTCAAGCAATTCTCCTGCCTCAGCCTCCTGAAAAGCTGGGACCATAGGCATGTGCCACCACACTGGCTAATTATTTTGTACTTTTAGTAGAGACAGGGTTTCACCATGTTGGCCAGGCTGGTCTCAAACTCCTGACCTCAAGCCATCTGCCTATCTTGGCTTCCTGAAGTGCTGGGATTACAGGCGTGAGCCACTGCACCCAGCCTTCTCTTCTCTTTATTACAGCTGTAAGAGGCCTCACCTTTGGGCCGGGCGCGGTTAGGAAGTCCTGATCATGAGGTCAGGGGCTCGAGGCCAGCCTGACCAACATGGTGAAACCCCATCTCTACTAAAAATACAAAAAAAATTAGCCGGGCGTGGTGATGCACATCTGTAATCCCAGCTACTCAGGAGGCTGAGGCAGGAGGATTGCTTGAATTCAGGAGGGGGAGGTTGCAGCGAGCTGAGATTGCGCCACTGCACTCCAGCCTGGGCAACAGAGGGAGACTCCGTCTCAAAAAAAAAAAAAAAAAAAGGTCTCACCTTCAAAGACGGTTTCCTTTGCCAACACCAAGGAGTAGGCTCCAGCCTGGGTTGCTGAGAGGACATGGGAGGACTCCTGGGACTTCTTCAGCTGTTACTTGGTTCCCAGGGAGAAAAAAAGCGAGGACAGAAGTGAGCAGAATCCCTTGAGACTAGAACCAGGAAGCTAAGGGTGTGGGACAGTGAGGGTTGGGGGCTGTGCTGATGGAAACTTCAGGGCCTGATAGGATTCCTGTCATGAACAACTCTGCAAAAGCCACACTGAAGTTACCCCCTATCTTCCTTCTCTTTAGGAAGTAACTTCCTCTTCTCTCCACCTTTAGGAACCCCACCTACAGACCGTCTCCTCCAGGAAACCTAGCAGTGCTGCAGGAGGAAGGAACTCTTTACTTCTGGTCTCAAGGCACTTCAGGCTTGAACCACCATGAAGGCAGAAATTCCATCCAGTTACCCTGGAAGTGGGAAACCGACAACCTGCATGGCATTTTTTGAAGCTAGACATGTAAACATCATTTAAAAGTTCTGTTTTCTTGGCTCACGCCTGTAACCCCAGCACTTTGGGAGGTCAAGGCAGGCAGATCATGAGGTCAGGAGATTGAGACCATCCTGGCTAACACGGTGAAACCCTGTCTCTACTAAAAATTCAAAAAATTAGCCGGGTGTGGTGGTGGGCGCCTGTAGAACAGCTACTCGGGAGGCTGAGGCAGGAGAATGGCGTGAACCTGGGAGACAGAGCTTGCAGTGAGCCGAGATCGCACCACTGCACTCCAGCCTGGGCGACAGAGTGAGACTCCGTCTCAAAAAAAAAAAAAAAAACTTCTGTTTTCTCTCTTTTCTTTAAAAACCTGAAGCTCTTAGCTGGGTGTGGTGGCACATGCCTGTAATCCCAGCTACTCGGGAGACTGAGGCAGGAGAATTGCCTGAACCCAGGAGGTGGAGGTTGCAGTGAGCCAAGATCACGCCATTGTGCTCCAGCCTGGGCAACAGAGCGAGATTCCATCTTAAAAAAAAAAAAAAGTCTGAAGCTCTGGCAAACCTGGGCCTACATCTCTGCCTGCCATCAATGGCTTCTCCCTTCAGGCCAAACTCACACTCTTCAAACTGTTATTAAAATACCACAGGTTTGGTCTAGGTCATGCTGCTCACCACACAGAAAGCCAATCACTGAGACAATTATTGCCAAGGAAGAAGGCTTTAATCGGGTGATGCAGGTGAGAAGACGGGAGATCGGTCTCAAATCCATCTCCCTGATGGACTAAAATTAGGAGTTTATATAGCAGGGAAGAAATGTAATTGTGTGTGGGAAAACAAATGCAAGGGGTAAGGAAGCAAATCATGATGAATGAGGGCCCTTGAGTCTCATTGTCTGGATGGGATGATCTGGTGGGTTTCAGTTCTTTGATACTTTTTGAGAGGACTGGGGATCCTTTCCTGAGAGGGGAACTCAGATAAAACAAATGTAAGTTTCAAGCTTTAGGATCAGAAGGGTTGATTTCTATGTTTATCCAAAAAAGCTGTCTATGGGACTATTGGGTTGGTTTCAAAACTTCCCCAATATTGAGTCAGAGTGTGGTCATTGTTAATGTTGAAATACAGAACTAATCTTTTGTTTCCGAAAAAAAGTATGACAGGCCGGGCATGGTAGCTCATGGCTGTAATCCTACCACTTTGAGAGGCCGAGGCAGGTGGATCACCTGAAGTCACCTGAAGTTCAAGACCAGCCTGGCCAACGTGGTGAAACCCCGTCTACACTAAAAATACAAAAATTAGCTGGGTGTGGTGACACACGCCTGTAATCCCAGCTACCTGGGAGGCTGAGGCAGGAGAACTGCTTGAACCCAGGAGGGGTTGCAGTGAGCTGAGACTGTGCCACTGCACTCCACCTGGGCGACAGAGCCAGACTTCATCTCAAAAAAAAAAAAAAGTATGAAAATAAAAGAGAGGCCAAAGGGCCATGTGCTTCAGGGAAGATGAGAAATGGCATAATTGTGTATGTATGTGTGTGTGTGTGTGTGTGTGTGTGTGTGTGTGTGTGTGTGTGTGTAATTGAAGAAATATTCTTACGTATTTATTATTCAAAGTCAATCTGTGCTGAAAAATACAACTCCAGGTGTCATTATTTCTGAGCATAGTGACCAGGGGGTCATTACAGGGTCAGACTCCCCAGTATGACTCTCAGCTCTACCGCTTGCAAGCTATTGACCTCAGACAAGACTGTGACAATATCCAGATGCCTCTGTAGTTTAAACTTCTCTGGACTGCTCAAATATAGCCCGACTGCTATCTTAGCAAGAAAACACCCTGTACACGTGGCTTTCAAGGCTGTACTAAAGAAAACATGAAATCCCATACCCCAAATTATTCTTTCTGGGATGAGAATGTGCCCAAAGTCAATACTAGCCCAAGCCAAAAGCCAAATCTGGCTCCCATGGATAGGTTTCTGGCCCTGACTTTGGCAGATGGTGCTGGCCCATGTAACCTACTCTACCCCAAAGGCCACAGCAGGGGGAAGGCTCTGGAGGTCAGAACTTCTGTGAGAGTCACAGGCTGACCTTGGGGATGCTCACAGCCTGGGAGAGCTCAGCTTAGGTCAAGTGAGGACCATCAGACCCTGTCCAGATCAGAGTAGCTCACTGAATTCTCCAGCCACAGCCTTCAGCAGTAGGTGCCAGCAGGATTTTCAAAACCAGGACCAGGGAATTTGGAGACAAAGGTGACTTTCTCCTATAGGATGCTGAGGGAGGAGAAAAGGAATAAAGCAGTTGGGCAGACAGCTATGGCTAGTCCTTGGTAAAATTCTTTTGAAAAATCAAAGCTACAGGCACAGATAGAGCAGCCTGGGGAAAAATCAAGCTGCAGCTGCACAGATAAGGGAGCAAGGCCCAGGATAGAGGCCTTTGTTCTTTGCATAATCAGCAGGCTCCCAGGAAAATGTTTCCTCCCCTTTTCAGGCATGCAAATGGTGAGCTCTGTGGGAACTTGCACAGGGAGGGGGATGGGGAGACTTACCTAAAACATACCTGCAACTACAGAGACAAGAGAAGCTACATATGCTTTCCTAAAGACATGCCCACAGCTGCACAGTTAACAGTAGTTACACAGATAGGGGAAGTTACACAAATAGCTACAGAGATGAGGGAAGTTTCTTTCTTTCTTTTTCTTTTTTTTTTTTGAGACGGAGTCTCGCTCTGTCACCCAGGCTGGAGTGCAGTGATGCAATCTCGGCTCACCGCAACCCTCCGCCTCCAGGGTTCAAGCAATTCTCCTGCCTCAGCCTCCTGAGTAGCTGGAATTACAGGCACGTGCCACCGTGCCTGGCTAATTTTTGTATTTTTAGTAGAGATGGAGTTTCACCATGTTGGTCAGGCTGGTCTCGAACTCCTGACCTGACCTTGTGATCCACCCGCCTCGGCCTCCCAAAGTGCTGGGATTACAGGCGGGAGCCACAGCGTCCAGCCAGACACTCCATTATTTTTTGAGCCACTAATAAAGGAAAAGAAAAAATGTTTTCATTGAGACATAATATCCAATAAAAAATACAATATATATATATATTTTGAGATGGAGTCTTACTCTGTCACCCAGGCTGGAGTGCAGTGGCACAATCTTGGCTGACTGCAACCTCCGCCTCCTGGGTTCAAGTGATTCTCCTGCCTGAACCTCCTGAGTAGCTGGGACTACAGGCACACACCACCACATCTGGCTAATTTTTTATTTTTAGTGGAGACGAGGTTT
Source organism: Homo sapiens (assembly GCF_000001405.40). Taxonomy (NCBI): domain Eukaryota; kingdom Metazoa; phylum Chordata; class Mammalia; order Primates; family Hominidae; genus Homo; species Homo sapiens. Next base: position 67,488,386 of record NC_000016.10, on the reverse strand, counting down.
TGCCATATTGGCCAGGCTGGTCTCGAACTCCTGATCTCAGGTGATCTGCCCACTTTGGCCTCCCAAAGTGCTGGGATTACAGGTGTGAGCCACTGCACTTGGCAAAATACACAAGTCTTAAATGTGCAGCTTGATGAAATTTTACATACTTATATACCTGCGTGACCACCACTGAGATCAAGATACAAAACCTTTCCAACACCTCACATGTTTTCCTCATTTCCCCCCTCAGTCAATAATTTCCCACCCTCCCAGAGTTAACCGCTGTTGTGTTTTATCACCATTTATTATAATTTTGCTTGGGTCTGAATGTCATAGGGCTGGATTCATTCCATCCTCACTCTTCTGCAGCATGCTTCTTTCATTCAACCTTATGTCTGTGCAATTCATTCATGTTGCAGTGTGTAGCAGTAGTTTATTCTCTTGTCATTGCTGTATAGTTGTCAATTATATAAACATACTTTTGTTTGTTTGTTTGAGATAGGGTCTCACTCTGTCACCCATGCTGGAGTGCAGTGGTGCAATCTTGGTTCACTGCAACCTCTGCCTCCTGGATTCAAGTGATCCTCCCACCTCAGCCTCTCGAGAAGCTGGGACTACAGGCTTGCGCCACCATGTCTAGCTAATTTTTGTAATTTTTGAAGAGACAGGGTTTTGTCATGTTGCTCAGGCTGGTCTGGAACTCCTGAGCTCAAGTGATCCACTCGTCTCGGCCTTCCAAAGTGCCAGGATTACAGGTGTGAGCCACTGTGCCTGGCCCAATTATATCACTATAATGTTATTATCCATTTTGCTGTTGATGGATATTTGGATTGTTTCCAGTTTTCTTTCTTTTTTAAAATTTTTTATTTTTTTAAGACAAGGTCTCATGTGCATAAGCTGGAATGCAGTAGTGTGATCATGGCTCACTACAGCTTTAACCTCCTGGGATCAAGCGATCCTCCCCACCTCAGCCTCTGGAGTCACTGGGACCACTGATGTGCACCACTGTGTCTGGCTATTTTTAAATTTTTTTGTAGAGATTGGGTCTCTGTATGTTACCCAGGCTGGTCTCAAACTCCTGGGCTCAAGACAGTCTCCCACCTCGGCTTCCCAAAGTGGTGGGATTACAGGCATGAGCCACGGCACCAACTTTCTCTATCTTTTTGTTTTATTCCAACCCTCAAAGGATTGGATGATTCTGGAAACACCCTCACAGGCACACCTAGAAATAATATTTAACCAGATATCTGGGCATTCCTGGCCCAGTCAAGTTGACACACAAAATTAACAATCACAGATCCTCTCTAGCTCAGGGCTCAATACACCAGCCCGAGAGAACCCCCATCCATCTTCTCCTCTCCCTGAATGACTGAGGAGACCGTGCCTCTCCAGGCAACCTCTGCCTTAGGAAATCCTACAGATGATTCACAGGAAACACATGGCTGTGCTCTCTGGGGCAGGGGCAATGGGCTGGGTAGGGGTTTCAAAATCAACCCTGATTGACAGAGCCACGGGTGCTTGCAGTTTTTCCCTGCACCCCCCACCCTCTCCCCTGGACAAGGTGGGAACAGGGCCCTTGAAGGGGAGTACACTGCAGGAGGAAAAAGAAGAGAAGGGAGAGGGTTTGAGCACCCCTCTCTGTCCTCATGTGGTCTCTGGAACGAGCATGCACACTCTCCCCTTTCTCCTCCCTGCACAGAGTCCCTGTGTTCCGGGCCCACACCCTCACTTAGGAGGCTCTGCCTCCCCCAGGGTTTCCCAAATCCTCCTCCCAGAACATGCCACATATTTCTGAAGGTCCTTTTGCCAACAAGCATTGTCCTGGGAATATCAGGCTGGTTCCTTACCGTAAAATTACCCACATAGTGAAACTTTTTTTTTTTTGAGATGGAGTCTCACTCTGTTACCAGGCTGGAGTGTTACCAGGCTGGAGTGCAGTGGCACGATCTCAGCTAACTGCAACCTCCGCCTCCTGGGTCCCAGTTCAAGTAAATCTCCTGCCTCAGCCTCCCAAGTATCTAGGATCATAGGTGCGTGCCACCATGCCCAGCTAATTTTTGTATTTTTAGTAGAGATGGGGCTTCACCATGTTGGCCAGGCTGGTCTTGAACTCCTGACCTCATGATCTGCCCACCTTGGCCTCCCAAAATGCTGGGATTACAGGCGTGAGCCACTGCATCCGGCTGTGAAACTTTTTTTTTTTTTTTTGAGAGAGTCTCGCTCAGTCACCCAGGCTGGAGTGCAGTGGCGCGATCTCGGCTCACCGCAAGCTCTGCCTCCTGGGTTCACACCATTCTCCTGCCTCAGCCTCCCAAGTAGCTGTGATTACAGGTGCCCGCTATGACGCCCGGCTAAATTTTTTTTTTTTTTGTATTTTTAGTAGAGATGGGGTTTTGCTGTGCTAGGCAGGATAGTCTCCATCTCCTGACCTTGTGATCTGCCCACCTCGGCCTCCCAAAGTGCTGGGATTACAGGCGTGAGCCACCGCACCTGGCCTTTTTTTTTTTTTTTTTTAATGGGGACTGGGTTTCGCCATGTTGCCCAGGCTGGCCTCGAATTCCTAGGCTCAAGTGATCTGCCTGCCTCAGCCTCCCAAAGTGCTGGGATTATAGGCGTGAGCCACCACCACCATGGCTCACTGCAGCCTCAATCTCCTGGGCCGAAGCTATCCTCCTCCCTGTCTCCTGAGTAGCTGGGACTACAGGTGTGCATCACCACATTCAGCTAATTAAATTTTTTTTTTTTGGTAGAGACAGAGTCTCACTATGTTGCCACTCCTGGGCTCAAGAAGGTGTGAATCACTACACCTGGCCGTTTTTTTTTTTTTGTTTAGTTTTGTTTTTGTTTTTTGAGACGGCAACTTGCTTTGTCGCCCAGGCTGGAGTGCAGTAGCGCGATCACAGCTCATTGCATTTTGGCGCTGGGTTTTCTTGATATCTCCCCCACTGGACCTGACCGGGGCATGGGCTGCCCTGTGAGTGCCTCAGCCCTCGTCCATCACTGCCCATGGGGCTGATACACCTGTGTGCACACACTCAGGTGAAGACAGCTGCTGCCCGTAGGTGAGGTAAGACACTGAGCACCTGTGTGGGAGGAGATCTTCCACTCCCACTCTGTCCACACCAGACCATGAAGAGCTCTCCATAGCATGGGTGCTGACCAGGCCCAGCCTGGGTGACAGAGTGAGACCCTGACTCAAAGAAAAAGACATAATGAGGTGTGATTTTAATTTCTTGGATGTCCCAGTATATATAAATGTTGGGAGTATGGATTGCTTCATTTCATTTTAAATAGCATTTTTTTTTTAAGATGGAGTCTCACTCTGTCACCCAGGTTGGAGTGCAGTGGTGCGATCTCTGCTCACTGCAGTCTCTGCCTCCCGTGTTACAAGTGATTCTCCTGCCTCAGCCTCCCGGGTAGGTGGGATTACAGGCATGTGCCACCATGCCTGAATAACTTTTGTATTTTTAGTAGAGATAGGGTTTCACCATATTGGCCAAGCTGGTTTGAACTCCTGACCTCCAGTGATCCGCCCACCTTGGCCTCCCAAAATGCTGGGATTACAGGCGTGAGCCACCGTGCCTGGCCACCCTTTATCTTCTTTTCTTTTTGAGACAGGATCTTGCTCTGTCGCTCAGCCTGGAGTGTGGTGATGCAGTCATAGCTCACTGCACTCTTGAATCCCTGTGCTCAAGCCATCCTCCCACCTCAGCCTCTACTACAGGCATGCACCACTACACCCAGCTATTTTTTTATTTTTTGTAGCAACGGGGTCTCACCATGATACCCAGGCTGGTCTTAAACCCCTGGCCTTGTGATCCTCCCACCTTGGCCTCTCAAAATGCTGGAATTACAGGTGTGAGCCACCATACCTGGCCCCCTTCATCTTTTTTCCACTGCCTTGTGCCAACCCAGTTTGTGCACTGGGGCCTTGCGATCCTCTCAAAGCTGATTCAGCCTGCATTCCTTTCCCAGATGGACACGTGTGTGATAAACAGCTCTGCAGTGGGGTGAGGGAAGGCAGGGGCAGCAGGGTCCTGTATGTCCTGCCATCTCCACAAAAGGGCAGTCCTTACCCCAGCCTTGTGCTGATGAGACCAGGCATAGACAGTCCTGACGACACAGGGCGGAAGGGAGCAGCCATTAGTGCTAATGAGGCAGGCGGCCTGAAAGCTTTGTACTCTGCAGTGGCTCGCCCACCCAGGGAACAGTTCGTTCTGTTTCCTTGGCTTCCAGGAACCCTAGGCAGAAAGGGGTTTGGGGACAGGAGCAGGAGTGGGCGGTCTTGGAGAAACCTGGAGGGAGAAAGGGAGGGGAGGACCAGAAATGTAGTCAGGAGGGCCTAGGATTGGTTAGGTGGGCTTTTCCTTCCCCTTTCCCTCCAAAGAAACCCAGGTTCTGGTTCTGCACCTACCCCTGCCCAACAGTGGCCATTGGCCCATCACCCGCTCCAATGTCCTTGACCCGAATTCTTGGAAGCACAGGAAACAACATGCCACATAGGGGTTGAGTAAGCATCTCTGGGGCCACAAATTAAATTAAGCTTTCAGGGCCGCCTGCCTTGTTATTGCTAATGGTTCTAGCCCTGCTCAGCTCCTAGGTCCCTGTCCTGTGGAAATTTGTGGACCCTGGGCACCCTCTCTTGCTCCCAAATTTTAATCGGCTCCTGGAAACCTCACCCCAAATTGGAGATAGGCACTCCTCTTGTAGAACAAAAGGCTCAGGTTCAGGGAGTGAGGGCCTGAACTGTGCCCCCACCCTCCAGGAAGGGTCCTTCACGGCCTGGCTGCAGGGATCAGTCACGTGTGGCCCTTCATTAGGCCCTGCCATATAAGCCAAGGGCACGGGGTGGCCGGGAACTCTCTAGGCAAGAATCCCGGAGGCAGAGGTGAGTCCTCAGGTTGGGCAGGGACTCCTCCTCTCTGTGGGGTCTCTATCTGGGCACCTAGAGGGGACTCCAAGGATAAGGAGGGACTAAGTGGTACATCTTCCTGCTGAGCCAGGCCATGCTGACCGCAGCGGTGCTGAGCTGTGCCCTGCTGCTGGCACTGCCTGCCACGCGAGGAGCCCAGATGGGCTTGGCCCCCATGGAGGGCATCAGAAGGCCTGACCAGGCCCTGCTCCCAGAGCTCCCAGGTCAGTGTGAGCAAGGGTGGGACTGGGCGGGGCCTGAATACCCTCTGGCCACAAATAGTCTCCCCTGGCATAAACCCTCTTTCTCCCTTCCCAAACCCTCCCCTGGGAGGTGGGTGCTTTGTGCATGGGGGTTCCTGCCCTCACATCCTCTGCCCCAGGCCTGGGCCTGCGGGCCCCACTGAAGAAGACAACTGCAGAACAGGCAGAAGAGGATCTGTTGCAGGAGGCTCAGGCCTTGGCAGAGGTAACTGCTCAGGGAAAAGGGTAAGGTGGTGGCCCTTGGGAGGGGGCATTGGGTATTAGCTCCTCTCCCCAGCTCCAAACTCCCTCACCAGCGACGACACTACCGACCACCCCTTCCCATGCTCCACTGCCATCCTGCACAGGTTGGGACAGGTAAGATCCCTGGATCTGTCTTTAGAGGCCTGTGCTGGTTCCCCACCCCTGCAGGTACTAGACCTGCAGGACCGCGAGCCCCGCTCCTCACGTCGCTGCGTAAGGCTGCATGAGTCCTGCCTGGGACAGCAGGTGCCTTGCTGTGACCCATGTGCCACGTGCTACTGCCGCTTCTTCAATGCCTTCTGCTACTGCCGCAAGCTGGGTACTGCCATGAATCCCTGCAGCCGCACCTAGCTGGCCAACGTCAGGGTCGGGGCTAGGGTAGGGGCAAGGAAACTCGAATAAAGGATGGGACCAACCCCAAGGCTGTGGTTATTTCAAACGTGGCCGTCAAAGGAGGGAGGGTTCATGGAGGGGGTGGGAGTGTCACCAAGCCAAGAAACCACACATACTCTTATCCCAGGGCCTGGGCTACCCTATCATAGGAGGCACATACACGGGCGCTTTTAGGGGTCCTGGTGCCCCTGGGAAAAATAGAGAAGAGCCGCACTCCAGCTTTCGAAAATCTTGTACAGCAAGTGCGGGGAACGCAGGACGCAGCGTGGCACAGGGGCTATCACTCCTGGCTAACAAATAAGCCTTAGGCTCCAGGGCTTGCTGCTACTTCCACGCAAAGCCTGCCCCTCATCCTGTTACCAGAGGGAAGGCCAGGAGTGTGCGTTGTTCAGGTCCTTAGCGTTTCGAACAAAGAATTGAACAAAACCCAGAAAGTAACAAACGAATGACACACAGGAAGGAAGCAGACAGCTGGGATTTGTTAAAGCGAGAAAGCACTACGCAGGGTGGGAGTGGGCCTGAGCAAGAGGCTGAAGGGGCTCAGTTACAAAGTTTTCCGGGTTTTAAGTACTCCTTTTGCGGTCCCTGTCCGTTACCCCTTATCTGGATGAAGGGTTTGGTCCATGGCTAATTAATCCATTTATGCCTGAGGTTGCAATCTTTTTGAATTTTTGCAATCAGACCTTGGCCATGACCTTGAGCAGTAGGATATAAATAACTCCCATATGCTTAGCGTTCCAATAATGGAACACAAGGCATAAATGGGGCTAAGGTGAATTGGCGCCCTATGCAGATGAAGGGATGGCCCGTGCTTGGCCCGCAGCCAATCCAAGGCACTCTCCCTTTCAACTGAGACGTGGTGGAAGGGGGAGGGTTGTGGGGACAGTGGCCTTTGATCCTTTGTTACTTGGACATGGGGAGATGGGGTTTTTCTTTTTGGTTTAGCTTTAGTAAGCTCGCCTTAGTTGGCCTCCGGTTCCCTGCCCCCAGACCTTGGTGTTTTCCCTTGATTCAGCTTCAGAATTCAGCACGTATTGGCCTCAAGTTCCCCGCCTCCAGACCCTATTCTCCTACCTCAATCGGACCTCAGTTTCCCTCTGGGGAGGAGGCTGGCCCAGCAGTCTGGAAACTTTCCAAGCTTGAGAAGGGCTCGCTCCCTTCTTTACCCCGCCCGCCCTGCAGCGTCAAGTGCAGCAAACCGGGGAAAGCTAGAGAAGGCCCAGTCAAATCCCTGCGGCCACAGGCGCCACCAAGCGGCCGGCCTCAAACTTCCTCTTTTTAGCGCGCAGGCGCCGCAGGGCCAGCCCACGCCTGCACCGCGCTTCCGCGCAGCCACCCGGAAGCCGGGCACCGCTCAGAGCCACGCCCCCTTATGGTCACGTGAGGCGCTTGCGCGTCACCTGACGCACTTGACAGCCCGCTGAGGACGCAGCGTCAGCTGACCTGGGGAGTCGCGATTCGTGCCGGCCGGTCCTGGTTCTCCGGTCCCGCCGCTCCCGCAGCAGCCATGTCGTTCTTCCCGGAGCTTTACTTTAACGTGGACAATGGCTACTTGGAGGGACTGGTGCGCGGCCTGAAGGCCGGGGTGCTCAGCCAGGCCGACTACCTCAACCTGGTGCAGTGCGAGACGCTAGAGGGTGAGCCGGGGCCGCGAAAGGCGGGGATAGAGGCTGTCCGGGGCCTGAGGGTTCAGAGGTGTAGGCCGGGAAGCCGGAAGGGGGGGTCTTGAAGGGCCTGAGAGGCCTCTCTGGGAATCCTGGGGCTGATAGCGGACGCGCAGGAGCGGGATCTACCTCTAGCTGTGGCTCGGCGCGGGCCCAAACTCAAACAAGGCTTTAAGAACCGCAGTTGTTCGCCTCTGCTTGGGCCACCTTTTCTCTCGCTGTGCTCACCCTGCAGTTTGGGAGGAGGGGGTGTTTCGGGGGTAGTTGGTCGGTGCGAGGTGTGGCCATACAAACCTCTTTACCCTGACGTAGCCCGAGAGCTGTCGCGTAGCAACCCTTAGGGAAGCTAAGCGGAAAAGTCCCCCACCTCTTCCCCCTCCCCCCGCCAAGACACTAAGGTCTTTGGGATCATCGTGTCTTCGCGTTGGCCTGCGGGGTGAGCCTTCCTGGGGAATTGCTGAGCCAGTTTATCGAGGGTTTTCTCCCAACTCTGAACTGCTGGCTGGGCAGTATCTCCTGAAGGCAATGTTTGGGAGAACAAGGGTGGCCCTTGCAGGTCTGGAAGTTCATATACAAGTATTTGGCCAATTAATCCCACCCCCTCAGCGAGGGGGATGCCTGTTGGGACAGGGTTTCTGAGCACAAGAGTAATGAGAAACCGAGTTCCCCTTTCTTCTCAGCACACAGCTCCAGAGTGGCGTTGACTTCTTTTTTTTTTTTTTTTTTTTTTTGAGACGGAGTCTCGCTCTGTCGCCCAGGCTGGAGTGCAGTGGCGGGATCTCGGCTCACTGCAAGCTCCGCCTCCCGGGTTCACGCCATTCTCCTGCCTCAGCCTCCCAAGTAGCTGGGACTACAGGCGCCCGCCACTACGCCCGGCTAATTTTTTGTATTTTTAGTAGAGACGGGGTTTCACCGTTTTAGCCGGGATGGTCTCGATCTCCTGACCTCGTGATCCGCCCGCCTCGGCCTCCCAAAGTGCTGGGATTACAGGCGTGAGCCACCGCGCCCGGCCGTGGCGTTGACTTCTGAGGCACAGCTCCAACAGATGTACTGAGTTAGAGGTGTCCCTAATTCCAGTCTTTGCCAACCACTCCCGCTCCAGGTGGTAGGGAAGGGAAGGGTGGCCAGGATGTGAGGGGATTCCTGATCCTCAAGTGGTACTCTTGAGCAGAGGTGCTGATAGCCTCGTAATTGGTAGCTGGGTGGGGGGAGGATGGCCAGATGTTTCACCCACTAGAGAACATTTTCTCGTCAGAAACTTCGTGAGGTTAAAAGTGAGCTCAAATGAAAAAGTCATTTATTGTTTGCCTTGCAAACTGGACCAGTAAAGTGAAAATAAATACCTTTAAAATAGAAAACTTACCGTTAAAATACAATAATTGTAGGTGTTATGATTTTAATGTAAATCTGCAGTACAGGCCAGGCGCGGTGGCTCACGTCTGTAATCCCAGCATTTTGGGAGGCCAAGGCGGGTGGATCACAAGGGCAGGAGTTCGAGACCAGCCTGGCCAGAATGGTGAAACCCTGTCTCTACTCAAGATACAAAAAATTAGCTGGGCGTGGTGACAGGCGCCTGTAATCCCAGCTACTCGGGAGACTGAGGCAGGAGAATTGCTTGAACCTGGGAGGCAAAGGTTGCAGTGAGCCAAGACTGCACCACTGCACTCCAGCCTGGGCAACAACAGAGCGAGACCCCGTCTCAAAAAAAAAAAAAAATCGGCAGTACAATAATTGTAGGTGTTATGATGTTAACGTACATCTGCAAGAAAAGTTGTTTACCTTACTTATGTGAGTGGAGGTGGGGAAGGAGAGCACTTTAGGATGCTGGGTAGTAGGCATCTGCCAGCAACCGATTACCCTTACTGTGGTAAAAAGGGGAGAATAGAGGGAGGCTGCCTGGGACAGGGCCTGGCACACAGTTGGAGCTTAATGTGAGTTTTGTGGACTGCCTGGGACTTGTCGAAGGTCTTTATTTGCCTAAATCTAAGGTGAACATCATTGATCATCAATAGACATTCGGTTGGTTGTTTCCCTTCTTGACTTTCCTCACTCCTGCTGCTGTCCGCTCTCCTGTAACAGCTTCTGGGGGCACAGGGTTCTTCCCATCTTCCCAGGGGACCCTCTATCATCCCCCATGAACATGTTAGGCCATTCTTTCTACACATTTTTCCTATAACACTGCTCAACATAGGCACCCACCCTCCCGCCCTCTGCCCCACCTTGTAGAATACCATCCAGATCTTTAGTGTGGCATTCAGGTATCCTTTGCTCATTCACACACATTTCTTTCTTTCTTTCTTTTTTTTTTTTTTTTTTGAGACAGAGTCTAGCCCTGTCACCCAGGCTGGAGTGCAGTGGCGCGATCTCCGCTCACTGCAACCTCCACCTCACCAGTTCAAGCCATTCTCGTGCCTCAGCCTACTGAGTAGCTGGGATTACAGGCATGTGCCACCATGCCCAGCTAATTTTTTTGTATTTTTTAGTAGAGAGGATTTTGCCATATTGGCCAGGCTGGTCTCGAACTCCTGACCTCAAGTGATCCACCCACCTTGGCCTCCCAAAGTACTGGGATTGCAGGCGTGAGCCACCACGCTTGGCCATTCACACACATTTCTATCCCTCATATCCCTCATGCAAGCCATCCCTCCAGCACTTGGTGCACAAAGTGTGGTGGACTTTGGAGTTAGGCAAACCTGGGTTGAATTCCAATCCTGCCAATTACTGGACTACTTTAGATAACCTATTTAACACCTCCGGGCCTTGGGTTTTTCAACTGGTGTATTAACAGCACCTATCTCATACAGGTTGTGAAATGTCAACAAGCTACAACATGTAAAACACTTAGCCCAGCACCAAGGACAGAATAAGCGCTAGGTAAATGTTAGCCCTTGTTTTCAGTATTGTTTGTACCTGTACCCTCCAGAATTTCGCTTTCCTCTTTTCTCTTTAAAACTGTTTATTGACAGGGCGCAGTGGCTCATGCCTGTAATCCCAGCACTTTGGGAGGCTGAGACGGGTGGATCATGAGGTCAGGAGATCGAGACCATCCTGGCTCGGTGAAACCCCGTCTCTACTAAAAATACAAAAAAATTAGCCTTGTGTGGTGGCGGGTGCCTGTAGTCCCAGCTACTCCGGAGGCTGAGGTAGGAGAATGGCGTGAACCCGGGAGGCGGAGCTTGCAGTGAGCCGAGATCGAGCCACTGTGCTCCAGCCTGGGCTATAGAGCAAGACTCCGTATAAAGAAAAAAAAAAAACTGTTTATTATGGATACTGTCAAACATATACAAATAAGAAGCAATAATATAATGAGCCCCTAAGTAATAATCATCTAACTACAACAATCATAAATTCTTATTGATAAAATAATTATCTGTCTTGTTTCAATACTAGTTCCATTTATACCCCCACTCCCAAATTATTCAGAAGTAAGTCCCAGACAGCATACCCTTTCAGTTGTAAATATTTCAGCATCTCTGAAAAAAGTCATGAGTATTTTAAAAAAATGACAATATTATTCCTCCTTCCTTAAAAACAGTAATTTGTTAATGTAATCAGATATCCATTTAGTATTCAAATTCCCCTGATTGTCTCAAATTTTTAAAATATGATTTATTTGTTTCAATTGGGATGCAAATATGATCCATACATTTCAGTTGATACTCTCTCAAGTATTTTAATATATAGATTGAAGTTAGATCACTTGATTAATAGATTTTCCATCCATCTCAATTTTACTGATCCCATCTCTGACATATAGTTGAACTTGTTCCTCTGTCCCTTGTTCCCACTTTAAATTAGTAGTAGATCTAGAGGCTTGCTCAGATTTTGGTTCAATTCTTTTTTTTTTTTTTTTGTAAATACTTAATAGGTGATGTTTGTACTTCTTTTTTTTTTTTTTTTTTTTAATTTGAGACAGAGTCTCACTCTGTCACCCAGGCTGGACATCTCGGCTCACTGCAACCTCTGCCTCCCAGGTTCAAGTAATTCTCCTGCCTCAGTCTCCCAAGTAGATGGGATTACAGGCACCCGCCACCTGGCTAATTTTTTGGTACTTTTAGTAGAGATGGGGTTTCACCATGTTGCCCAGGCTGGTCTGGAACTCCTGACCTCAGGTGATCCACCCACCTCAGCCTCCCAAAGTGTCAGGATTACAGGTGTGAGCCACTACACCCAGCCAATGTTTGTACCTCTATTGGGAGGCACATAATACCTAGTTTCTCTTTTTAGGATGTAAGGAATAATTGACATTTATTGACTGAAGCCATCGTTTCATCGGGGGTTGCAAAATAGTGCTATTCTAATTCTGTTTCCTTCTGTAGTTGCCAGCTTGACTACTTCTATGCCTGTAAACTTCCAGTAATCAAGTACTTAGTTATCCTGAGATACAGTCTGTATAGGAGAGGTTAAGATAAATGCTTATTTCTTTCCAATAGTTACCAGGTTTCAAAATAAAGAGTTGTTTCACTGACATCCTCCAAAAATGACTAATGAGGTTTTGTGACTAAACCAACCAAGATTTGTTTAGTATTATAACACACTAATGGTTTTTAATGTATTTGTTATGTTTCAGTTGATTAATCTTATTGATGCTTAAATTGTCTCTTGGCCAGTGGAAGCTTTTTCAGTTGACTGCCAAGTCTTTTTTATATAACCCTGTAGCCATTGAAAGCTTCCTTACTATCTGAGATGTCTGGTTTTTTTTTTTTTTGGAATGGAATCTTGTTTTCTTGCCCAGGCTGGAGTGCAGTGGCACGTTCTCAGCTCACTGCAACCTCTGCCTCCCAGGTTCAAGTGATTTTCCTGCCTCAGCCTCCTGAGTAGCTGTGACTACAGGCCTACGCTACCACGCCTGGCTAATTTTTAGTAGAGATGGGGTTACACCATGTTAGCCAGGCTGGTCTTGAACTCCTGACCTCAGGTGATCCACCCACCTCGGCCTCCCAAAGTGCTGGGATTACAGGTGTGAGCCACTCCATCTGGCCTGGGATGCCCATATGTTCTAATCTTACCTTGAAGATTTCTTGACCCAGACCTAGAGTCTTCATTTCTCTTAGGAGACTTGGTTCTTTGTATTACAAAATTGTATTTAGAGACCATAATCTGAGTCATATGGGGTTCTCATTGATACTGTATTGGACATCAGTCTTGGTTTTTTCCATGGCTAGTTTAGCTCTTCTCTTACTCAGAAACTTGGAAAATACAGAGAAGCAAACAGCTTGCTGGATTATGTAGCACCACTTCAGCTGATGAGTACCAGAATGCCAGTTTCCTAATTTGGAATAGGAGCTCTACCTGATACTTGGGCCAGTCAGGACATCTTCCTCCTGTTGCAAAGAAATATAATTAACACTCAAGAGGAGTCCTGTGACCTTCTCAGCTTCCATGTGAGCTAGTGGTCCTGGAAATTGTTCTTCTCAGCCAGAGAGTTAGATCGTTGGAGGCCATGGGTGAAGGGCCCATGTTTGATGTGCTGGCTGTTGTCCAGAACACTTTTATCCCTCTCTACCCTGATTGATTTGTCTTCTGTCCATTACATCTCTTTGTGCCTTTCAACATTATTTCACAAGAGACAATTTTATGCAGGAAGAAGAGAGACTCCAGGCTGGACTTGGCCAATCGCCAGTCGCAATGTCACATGAAACTGCAGATGCAAATGTTGATGGTGTGGCAGGTCGTTTAGCACAGACTGTGGGGTGGTTAGGACTGTGGCTGGAAAGTTAAGGAGAGATTAGCTCTAGAAGGATCGTAAAAACCATAGAAAGGACTCTGTCCTGAGTGCAGCGGATGGGATAGTAAAACTATTAGACTTGTACTTTAACAGGATACCTGCAATTTGAAGGTGGAGGCCACCCTGGAGGCAGAAAGAACAGTTTGCAGGTTCTTATAGTAATCCAGGCTGGCGGTGAAGGCAGCTTGACCTCAAGCATTGGCTGGGAGTATTGTAGGAGAATTTTAGGAAGGGGATTTGATAGGACTTGAGCGTTGGGCAAGAAGGCTGGGGGAAGAATAAGTCAAGGTCGATGTCCTCATCTTGGCTTAGGCAACTGTGTAGGTGGCAAAATGAAATGATGGTGGCATGTAGGAGAAGGAACACGTTGTAGAAGTGAGAAGATGAAATTGAGGGATCTGTGAGCCATCTGAGTGGAGATATGAAGGCTATTTTTGGTGCTCAGGTGTGACAGTTCTGAGCTTGGGAAATTGAGATAGCGGTGTGTCCACGGTCCCCAAGAGATAACCATGGAATCAGAAGACTAGAGGCTGAAGATGGGACCCTCCCCCAGGAAGCACTTCAGTTGATCACAGGACTTGGGGGAAAATGATGGTCCTGCCAAAAAGGCCAAAGGCATTCCCTGAAATGTGGGTAGCTCCAAAGGAGAGCCTGAAAATAAATGAGGTAGTGAGTGCCAAATGTGGCCAAGAGATTGATAAAGTCAGCCTTCCATTTGGTTTTGCCATTCAGAGGTCATAGGAGACCTTAATGAGAACAGAAGAAGGTGAGGCTAGAAGGTGACCGCAGTGGATGGGCAGAGACAATGTCTAGACAGTTAGAGAAGACCTTACTGATGGACTGATCCCAGCGCAGCCACTTAACTGGTTTTGTGACCTTGGACAAGTCATTTATCCTCAGCTGTAAAATGGGAATAATATTAGGGTCTCTGAGATGTTTGTGAAGTGTAAGCACAGGGCCTGGGACCAAGTGAACAGTTGGAGAGGCCAGGTGCTCCACTGTGGTCATTCCCTGCTGTCACTCCTAGGAGACAGGTGCCATGGTGGGCCTTGAGTGGCTAATACAAGTATGTCACACAGGTCTTGCTTAGGGCAAGTGTGCCTGTCTAACAGGCAGACTGAGTGACCATCAAAACAGCATTGAGTGCACAGTAAGTGCAGGGTACTTTAGGGAGGGGATGTTATGTGGTGGGTGACGGTTAATGGGTATGGGCTTTATTTTTGGGGTGATAAAAACGTCCTAAAACTGGCCAGAAACGGTGGCTCATGCTTGTAGTCCCAGCACTTTAGAAGGCCGAGTCGGGGGGATCACAAGGTCAGTTCGATACCAGCCTGGCCAACATGGTGAGACCCCCATCTCTACTAAAAATACAAAAAATTGGCTGGGTGCAGTGGCTCATGCCTGTAATCCCAGCACTTTGGGAGGCCGAGGTGGGCAGATCACGAGGTCAGGAGATCAAGACCATCCTGGCTAATGCGGTGAAACCCCGTCTCTACTAAAAATACAAAAAATTAGCCAGGCATGGTGGTGGGCGCCTATAGTCCCAGCTACTTGGGAGGCTGAGGCAGGAGAATGGCATGAGCCTGGGAAGTGGAGCTTGCAGTGAGCCGAGATTGCACCACTGCACTCCAGCCTGGGCGACTGAGCGAGACTCTGTCTCAAACAAACAAACAAAACCACAAAAAATTAGTTGGGCGTAGTGGCGGGCACCTGTAACCTCAGCTACCTGGGAGGCTGAGGCAGGAAAATCGCTTGAACCCGGAAGGTGGAGGTTGCAATGAGCTGAGATTGCACCACTGCACTGCAGCCTGGGTGACAGAGTAAGACTCCATCTAAAAAAAAAAAAGTCCTAAAACTGATTGTGGGGCGGTTGCACAATTCTGTGAGTATGCTTAAAACCATGAATTGTACACTTTAAGTTGGCAAATTGTATGGCAAATGAATTATATCTCAGTAAAGCTGTTGCTGCGCCACCCCCCCCAGCCCCAAATTAGCCAGGCCAAGAGGTGGGAAGAGCATAGGGAGAAGGAATGGCATTAGTAGTCTCAGAAACACGAAACTGCCTCGTGCATGACAGCAGCCTTGGGAGGTGGAAGGAGAAAGTAGAGTGTGTGTCGAGGATTTGCAGCAGCGAGGTCTGGATAGATGCATTGGGCTGGTTCCTGGAAGGCTGTGGGTGTCTTAGAAGGACATATTGCTCAGGAAGGATGAAAGTTATGGTAAAAAATTGTTTTAAAAAGAGAGAGATTCTTAGATTAAGGTTAATGTGTAGGAAATGTCTTGTTTAGGATTTTCTGTGTATGCTCTTGCCTGGAAATATATATATATTTTTTTGAGACAGTCTTGCTCTGTTGCCCAGGCTGGAGTGCAGTGGCGCGATCTTGGCTCATTGCAAGCTCCGCCTCCTGGGTTCACGCCATTCTCCTGCCTCAGCCTCCCGAGTAGCTGGCACTACAGGCACCCGCCACCACGCCCGGCAAATTTTTTGTATTTTGTTTAGTAGAAACGGGGTTTCACCGTGTTAGCCAGGATGGTCTCGATCTCCTGACCTCGTGATCCTCCCGTCTTGGCATCCCAAAGTGCTGGGATTACAGGCATGAGCCACCGCGCCCAGCCGCCTGGAAATATTTTATACATTTCATTTTGTTTGTCAAAGGAAACTCTATTGAATTGGTGAAATTAGATGACCACAACTTGGACAGCAAGATGAGCTTAGCTCAGTCCTAAATTCCTCTGAGTCAAACGTGATCCAAAGGAAGAGATGACATGGTACTGGCAATCTAGTGACTACAAGCAAGAGAGAGGAGCTGGGGGCTGGGGGAGGGCATTGGGAGAAGGGTGTGCAGAAGGCAATAATAGAAGGAACATTTACTCTGTGGAAGAAAGGGAATGAGCATGTTGAGTTGTGAGAGCCTGGACCCCACACAAGCCTGAAGTTTTTCCCTCTTGTTGGCCCCACTGCCCTGGGCAGTGGCATTGCTGCACAAGGGGACCCCAGTGCTCAGTGGCGGATGAACTGGCACAGGTTGTTGGTGGTGTCTGGCAGCCTGCTGCACCTGTTGCTCCCCTCCAGCTTGCTGCTGCTGCTGCCTGCGAGAATGAGGCCCCAGAGCAGGAATGGAGGCTAGGGCTAGGCAGGGGGGAGGTTTGGCATCTCGCTGTCATGAGCCAGTGTGGGAACCTAACCCCTCACTGGGTGAAGAAAAGGGGAATTGTGGAGGAGGTAGGGTTGGTGGTATGATACAATTAGAAACTCACTGGGCCTGGT
Organism: Homo sapiens; assembly: GCF_000001405.40. Taxonomy (NCBI): domain Eukaryota; kingdom Metazoa; phylum Chordata; class Mammalia; order Primates; family Hominidae; genus Homo; species Homo sapiens. The sequence continues at coordinate 67,471,933 of NC_000016.10, read as the reverse complement.
GTGGTGGCTAACGCCTGTAATCTCAGCCACTGAGGAGGCTGAGGTGGGAGCATCACTTGAGCCCAGGAGTTTGAGGCCAGCCTGGGCAACATAGTGAGAACCACCCCCCGGCCCAATCTCTAAAAAAATAATAATATGGGAGGCTGAGGTGGGAAGGTCGCTTGGGCCTGGGAGGTTGAGGCTGTAGTGAGCCGTGATCACACCACTACACTCCAGCCTGGGCAACAGAGAGAGACCCCGTCTCAAAAAAAAAATTAATAATAATTTTTTTTAAAAAAGAAACTTGCTCTGAGGGAGGGGATGATTAATCTGTATAAAATTACAGCTAGATAGGAGAAGTTCTATTCTATACCATAGGGTGACTGTATTTAACAATAATTCATTATATATTTTCAAACTGCTGTAAGAGAGGATTTTGAATGTTCTCAACACAAAGAAATAATAGGCCACGTGTGGTGGCTCATGCCTGTAATCCCAGCCCTTTAGGAGGCTGAGGCAGGTAGATCGCTTGAGGTCAGGAGTTCAAGACCACCCTGGGCAACATGGTGAAACCCCCATATCTACTAAGAATACAAAAATTAGCCGGGCGTGGTGGCGCATGCCTGTAATCCCCAGCTACTTGGGAGGGTGAGGCAGGAGAATTGCTTGAACCCAGGAGGCAGAGGTTGCAGTGAGCCAGGGTCACCCCCACTGTACTCCAGTCTGGGCAACAGAACCAGACTCTGTCTCAAAAACAAAGAAATAATAAATGTTTGAGTTGATGGATATGCTAATTACCCTGAATTGATCATTCATTACACAGTGTATATATGTATCAAAATATCACATGTATCCTATAAATATGTGCAATTGTTACACGTCAATTATAAACAAAAAAGAAACTTGCTCTGAGGCTCTAGAGGATGGATTTGTGGGAGCAGGCCAGAAGCAGGACACTTGCTAGCTGCTCTTGCAGCTCTCTAGGTAGGAGAATATGGACTAACCAGGGCTGGAGTGGAATGAGGGGGGATGAAGGACCAGGTCAGAGATCAGCTTGGGAGATGAAACCCACAAGATTGGTCCAGTTTTTATTAGATGTGGGTGAAGAGGGTTAGAAGTCAGGCTGCTGGCTTAATAAATGACTGGGTGGATGCTGGAGCTCCTTTTGAGATACGGGCTACCAGAGAAGGGATAGGAAAGTTAGGGGTGCAGATTGGGGGGTGGGAGGGGAAGTATTCTATCTCAGATGTCTGAGGGAGTCCGGCAGGCAGTTGGCTGTGTGAGATAGTAACACTAAAGATATTAACCTGGAAGTCACCAGTACACTGGCTGGTGGCAGTTAGGCCCGCGCCAGGCCATCTGTTGGCTCATAGCCGGGCAAGCCTGCCTTGGAAGCCTAGCTCTGCCCACAAGTCCTGCCAGGAGGCTAGAGAGCAGCCTTAACTGTGGGCCAAGTGGACACAAGTGTGGCCTAACGAGGACACCTGGCATGGAGCCCAGTTTGGCAAGCGGAGCAGAGAGAGGGACAGCTGGGCTCTCCCTCCAGATTCCTGCCGTGTCTCTTCCTGCATGATGCTGGGGCATGGTGGTTTTTTGTTTTCTTGTTTTCTTTTTGACTAAATATAATTTTTTAATTCCAAAAAGTTGGTAGAAGGATGACTTGGTGTAGACTCTCCAAGGGGTATACATTGTCACCCCTTTGTCAAAACACTGCATGTATATACCGTGCGACCCTGCAACCCAACTTATAAGATTGTGTCCCGTAGATTAACATGGGATAGCATGTACAGAGGTGTTTATGCCAGCCTTGTTGGTAGCAGCAAACTATTAGAACCAATGGAATATCCGGTGATTTGGTTATGGTCTGGTTAAGTAAACCATGGTCTATTCTTACAATGGAATACTACGAGAGAGTGCTCAAAAGCATGAAGTTCCATAAGGGCTGATTTAGAAATATGTTGTTAGGTGAAAAGTTGCAAAGCGTTACATGTAATCCCTCATCTTGGTAGACTACCAGATGGACATATATGCATGTTTTTGGAAGCATAGGCGCCAAGTTGTCATGAGTGACAACCTCTGGGGAGAGGGATTTATAGAGGCTGGTAGGGGGAAGATTTCAATGTTGACTTTTTATGTACTCTTCTATTGTTTAAATGTATTACAGTGAACACATTTTATAATTTGATACATTCAATAAAGATATTTAAGGAAAATTAGGACATATAGGTAAGCAAAGAGAAGGGTACCCACACCCAGCAGCCATCAAAGCTGAGGCCTGTGCTGGAGAGCCTGGGACCTTTGTGGTCCAGGTTTTGTTTCGCATTGTGGGGCATTGTAGGGCTGGTCTGAGTCTTAGGGAACCCCCATGAAGCCACTTCTCTTTACACCTGAAGACTCCCAAGTCCTATGGGGGTGCTTGAGGGCCCAGGCCAGAGCTGGACCCTTCTCATGTCAGCTGGCCAGAGCTGCAGGGCCCCTGTCCAGGTATAGCCACTGTGAGCAGGTGACCACTTAACTGGCTGTTTTTCTGTCTGTCCTTTGCCTCTTCCTCCTGACCCCTACTCCTGTATTCCCTTTGTTGGTTACATCTTGCACTGGCATATACTTTAGCCCGATTTTATTATTTATTTATTTATTTATTTATTTTGAGAAGGAGTCTTGCTTTGTTGCCTAGGCTGGAGTGCAATGGCGCAATCTCGGCTCACTGCAACCTCCGCCTCCCAGGTTGAAACGATCCTCCTGCCTCAGCTTTCTGAGTAACTGGGATTACAGGCGTGTGCCACCACGCCTGGCTAATTTTTGTATTTTTAGTAGAGATGCGGTTTCACCATGTTGGTCAGGCTGGTCTCAAACTCCTGACCTTGTGATCCACCTGCCTTGGCCTCCCAAAGTGATGGGATTACAGGTGTGAGCCACCGCGCCTGGCCTTTAGCCCGATTTTATCTGAGAAGCTATTTATGGTCAAGTCAGTAAGAGTCCCCACAGGAGCCAATAACTGCTGTTTCCAAATCCCTGCCACAGGATGTCTTGTCAGAACTTGCTCTGGTGGGTGATAACATATACTTTTTCTTGGGTTTACTCAGCGATTTCTTGGGCCTGGTTTCCGAGGTGGAGCCAGTGCTTGAACCCCTGCTAGGCCTTTTGAAGTACCCTCAGCCTAGGCAGATGTCAGCCATTCAGGGCCCTTAGTAAATAAGGCTTTCTGGGTGACTAGGGTTTCTTGATGGCAGAGACGGAAATGCTTCAACACCTTATTTTAAACATTGCATAATACACTTCTGGAATATATTAGTCTCATTTCCCTGCTTGCTTGCTTCCTTTCCTTTCTTTCTTTCCTTCCTTCTTTTTTTTTTTTCTTTTTCTTTTTGAGACTGGGTCTTGCTCTGTTGCCCAGGCTGGAGTACAGTGACCCAAACACAACTCACCGCAGCCTTGACCTCCCAGGCTCAAGCAATCCTCCCAACTCAGCCCCCCAAGTATGTAGGGCTACAGGCATGCACCACCGCACTTAGCTAATTTTTGTATGTTTTGTAGAGAAGGGGTTTTGCCATGTTTCCCAGGCTGGTCTTGAACTCCTGGGCTCAAGTGATCTTCTTGCCTTGGCCTCCCAAAGTACTGGGATTACATGCATGAGCCATCACGCTTAGCTCCTTTTCCTTTTTTAAGACAGGGTCTCACTCTGTCGCCCAGGTTGGATTGCAGTGGCATGATCATGACCCACTGCAGCCTCAACCTCCTGGGCTCAAGTGATCCTTCTACCTCACCTTTCCCAAGTAGCTGGGAGTACAGGCATGTGTTACCATGTCTGGCTAATTTTTTATTTTTTAGTGGAGACAGGGTCTCACTATGTTGCCCAGGCTCCCTGCTTTCTTAAGTGGCATACACTGAACATAGCAGAGTCTCTCCTGCATTAACGGCTGTTAGACTTGGAATGAGATGGAACAGAACCACTGTCCCTGAGGGCCCAGGTCTGCCTCCCATAGTTTTGTCCCTGGCCTTCTGTCAGGCCACCCATTCACTCTTCCTGCTGTGGTCAGGATGCCTGCTATAGCACCAGGGTCCCCTTCCCAACCTGTAGCTGCTCTTGGGCTTTGAGCTCAGTGATCAGACACACTGCAGCTTGTTAGGAGGATCTGCATCCAGAATGAACAGGTGCAAGGACATGATATGACTGTCTCTAAGTCATCTGCGCCTGCTCAGGGTCAGGACCCTAGTGCCCCTATGGGTTGCCAGAACCTTTCTTGAGTTCTTCTGTGTGGAGCCAGGCATCAGGCAGACCATGGCTCCCTTCCGGACAGCTGTGTGATGCAGAGATGTATTTGCCCACTTGTAAAATGAAACAGAAATCACTTACTCGTAGGTTGTAAGGATTCAACAGCGCAGTCCTAGCCAGAGTGGATGCTCAATAGATATTTGCCTGATTGGATGAGTGACAGCTCTTTTTTTTTTTTGAGACAGAGTCTCACTCTGTTGCCAGGCTGGAGTGCAGTGGCATGATCTTGGCTCACTGCAACCTCCGCCTCCTGGGTTCAAGCGATTCTCCTGCCTTAGCCTCCCAAGTAACTGGGATTACAGGCACCCGCCACCACGCCCGCCTAATTTTTGTCTTTTTAGTAGAGACGGGGTTTCACGATGTTGGCCAGGATGGTCTTGATCTCTTGACCTCGTGATCCGCCCACCTCGGTCTCCCAAAGTGCTGAGATTACAGGCATGAGCCACTGTGCCCAGCCATGACAGCTCTACTGGCACTGGCTGAGTACTAGGCTTTGGGGGTGTGGGGGAGGAAAAGCCAAGTCTCCCACCCCCCAACCCCAGGGATGCACCATATCATAGATTTCCCTGTTTCTGAGTTATTAAGCACTTGCTTTTATTAGACACATACTAGGCAGTAGAGACAAAAGGAGTTGAGACTTAGATAAAGGGAATTGGAGACTTGGGAGGGTCTGGCTGAGAGGGAGAGCAAGAGTGTAGAGGGCTGAGGATGCCCATGCTTCCCTCCACGTCCTCTTCAGCCTTGTCCCTCTGAAGGCTTTGTCTTCACTCATGCAAGACAGACCAGTTCCTTATGACCGACTCAGGTCTGTGTGGTCTCCGGTTTGGCTTTCCAGGCTTATATCCACCTATTGTTCTCTTTCTTTTCTTTTCTTTTCTTTTTTTTGAGACAGGGCCTCACTCTGTTGCCTGGGCTGGAGTGCAGTGGCTCCATCATGGCTCACTGTAGCCTTGACCACCTAGGCTGCAAACCATGCACCACGACGCCCAGCTGATTTTGTTTATTTTTGGTAGAGACAAGGTCTCATTATGTTGGCCAGTCTGGTCTCAAAACTTCTGGGCTCAAGTCATCTTTCAGCCTCGGCCTTCCAAAGTGCTGGGATTACAGGTGTGAGCCACCGTGCCCGGCCAACTTCTGTTCTTTTTTTTTTTTGAGACAGAGTTTTATTCTTGTTGCCCAGGCTGGAGTGCAATGGCACAATCTTGGCTCACCGCAACCTCCGCCTCCCGTGTTCAAGTGATTCTCCTGCCTCAGCCTCCTGAGTACTAGGATTACAGGCAAGCGCCACCATGCCTGGCTAATTTTGTGTGTGTGTGTGTGTGTGTGTGTGTGTGTGTGTGTGTGTGTGTGTGTGTATGTGTTTACTAGATACAGGGTTTCTCCATGTTGGTCAGGCTGGTCTCGAGCCCTCGACCGCAGGTGATCTGCCCATCTTGGCCTCCCAAAGTGCTGGGATTACAGGCGTGAGCCACCGCGCCTGGCCCAACTCCTGTTCTTTATGAGACATTCCTGCATAGCTCTGTGGGTACCTGTAGTCCCACTCCCTCAGAGGTTGATGACTGGGAGATGCTGACCAGGAGTCTGAGGCAGTGATTAAATTGGAGGGATGTGTTGAAGGGGAACTGGAGCTGGCGTACCCTCTTCCCACCAGAGGGGCCCCTCGCTGTGGACAATGCCATCCTCCCACCACAAGGGGGTGCGCCAGGATCACTCCACTTCTCAAGGAGCCTGGGGAGGGAGGTGTGGCTGGACCCCGTGAGTCATCCAGGCTCTCTCTCTGCTTTTCCGTGGGGCAGCTGCCACCAGCACTGTCCCTTGGGTCTCTGCTCTGGGCCCTACTTCCCTCACTTAAGTCTCAGTTGGCCTTCTCAGATGAGGTAGGGCTTGTCGCTTAGTGTCTCCTGTCTGTGTACCTCTACCCATCCTCACCTCCCTGTGCCCTATCTTCCTGGGTTGGGAAGGAGAAGGCCAGGGGACATTTCCTGATGCTCTTTGCCTTGGTGCCCAGTGCAGGCTGCTCCAGCCTTGCCCACCACACCGTCCTCATTTACCCTCACCTGGGTCATGCCAGCAGCTCAGAGTTGGAGCTGCAGGTACAGCACAGTGTGCTATGAACCCATGGGTCTTGGGAGCTCCAAGTAGGAGCTTGAGGCAGCCCAGGGATCAGGGCTACACTTCTCAGGCTCCTAGAACCATGCACCTCCCTAGGTAGTCACCACTCTTGTCTTGCCACCCTGGCCTCTCCAGGAGAGGGAAAATTTGTCTTCAGGACAGAGGATGAATTTTTCTCTCTCCTCAACCTCATTTGGCACTCCCTCTGAGGGGCATGTAGGATGTATGTGGCATGTATAGGTACATATATGCAGGGTGACTCCGGGAGATGGCCAAACCAGGCACCTGAACACCATGTAAGCACTGCAGGTCCACACGGTCAGGCTGGCGATGGGTTATCAGTTGATTGACAAGTCTCTCCTACCCTGTACCCCAGTTTGGAGGCCTCTCCATTGGGCTCCTTGGCGTCTGCCTCATCCAACACCTACTCCCTGGCTGATGTTTTAAAAAATCTATCCTGCACTAGAATGTTGGTCTTCCTCCTTTTCAGAGGCAGGAAAGTCAAGGCCCCGAAGGGTGCTTTAGTAGGCTAGGCTGCTGCTTTGTGGCCTGGGCACCTGCTCTGTGTGTCCAAACCTAGCAACTCCCCTGAAGGACCAAGGAGTAGGCACAAGGGGCAGTGCTGGGATTGCCCCTGTGTGAATGTGTGTGGTCCTGAGGACCGCTGGGCAGATTGGTGGCAGGGGAAAGGAATATGTGGAGGAGCAGCCCTGACTGGTGCTGGACACTGCTTTCCTGGCCAGCTCTTGCCTGGCCCTGGGCACTTGCCCAGACCTTGCCCCACTTTGGATGCTCAGGCAATGGTTTTCAGGCCTTGACCTCAACAGAGGCTTTCGTGCTTGGCTGGTGGATGGGGCTTTTCCCTCTGAGGAGTCATCTGAAACTCAGCTTTTACTGCCTGCCCTTGTCCCTGTGCTGGTGGCCACTCAGAGGCTCCACAGCCCCAGGGTCTCCCCTGCAGCTGTCATCAGTTCTTCTGAGGCTGTTCCATGGGTATCCAGGCCACTGGTCTCACTGGGAGCCCCTGAGTGGCCCTCAGGGGCTGGGTTGCAGGGAGTCAATGTGGTCTGGGCCTGACGAGGCTAGAACAGTGTCATAGCTGGACAGGCTCCTGGAGGTACCGTTATCCAGCTCTCTTCATCTGGGAAGCTGGGTCCAAGGTAAGGCCCAAGGGCGTAATTATGGTCTCCTGACACCTGTCTTGGCAGTTCCTGACCAATCACTCTATGTTCTTTGATTTTTTTCCCCCTTTATCTATTCTTCCATTTGTTCACTCAAGGATGCCTGGACTATATCTCTGTGAACTGGCCCCCAACTCAGGAACGGGTAGTCATGCAAAAAGGACCCTGTTTCTGGGGCCCTTGTCTTTTCCTCAGGCCTTGCCACATGGGATCTAGCTTGAAACTTGAAGGGTTGGGAGCTGATGAATACAGATGAGCTGCAGTCCATGATGTAGCACACAAGGCCCTGAGGCTGCCAGGTCATGGGTTCAGCTCTGCCTGTTTTCCCATGCCCCCAACCCTTTAACCTTCAAACTAGATACCATATCACAAGGCCTGGGAGAGCACAGGGTCCTGGAATGTCACCCTTCGGTATCTGCCCAGGCTCCATGCCTCCCACCTCCCCCAGTGGCTTCAGTCATTTGGACCTAGCTTCCACTGTGTGGTCAAGCAGGTGACCACGTCCCTCCCAGGGGCCAGCCCAGGTCCACAGCACTGGCTCACTCTGGCATGTTACTGTTGCCCCCGCACCTGTCCCACAAGGCCCTTGAGCAGGGCCGCTGAGGGGAGGGCTGAAAGGCAGGGTGGGTGGGGTCCTGGGGGTGCTGTACTGGACCAGCTTGTATAGTTACTGCTTCTGCCATCTTCTTGCCTGGACCAAGCCTCTTGGCTCTGCCAGCGAAAGGTATGGGATGGATTAACTCTACCTCTGGCCTGGGCTGCTCTGTCCAGTTTCTTTTTTCTTCTTTTTTCTTTTTCTTTCTTTTTTTTTTTCCCCTTCTTCCTCCCTCCCTCCCTCTTTCTTTTTTCTTTCTTTGTTTCTTTCATGAAAGAGTCTCATTCTGTCACCTAGGCTGGAGGACAGTGGCATGAACACTGCAGTCTTGACCTCCTGGGCTCAAGTGATCCTCTCACCTTAGCCTTTCGAGTAGTTGGGACCACAGGCACATGCTGCCACATCTGGCTAATCTTTGTATTTTTTGTAGAGACAGAGTCTCTCTGTGTTGCTCAGGCTGGTCTTGAGCTTCTGGGCTCAAGTGATCCTCCCACCTCAGCCTCTCAAAGTGCTGGGATTACAGGCATGAGCCACCACGCCCAGCCTCTGTCCAGTTTTTATGAGCCGCAGGGAATGGGACTTTATGCTGACAGTGCATGAGCTCACAGCCCCAGATGAGGTTTGATCCCACGAGCCCAAACACAGGGCCTAGGTCAAAGCAAAATGAGTATTTCCTACTTTTCTCCTTTGGGCTGGCTCTAGGCACCGTGGAACTGGCAGGATGCTCCTGCCAGGATCCAGCCTGACCTGCTTATTCTCACTGAGAACAGCCACCTCTAGGGAGCCCTAGAAATCCCCTCCACCTCCAACTGAGTGAGCCCCAACTTTCCTTCGTGTCCTTCTGAAGATGGCTGTGCGTGTGGAACAGGAGCCCAGCATCAAGAGCTGACAGGATTGCTCAGGTGGTGCAGGCCAGCAGACCCAGAAGCTAGACATGGGCATGGGCCAGGTTTTTTTTTTTTTTTTGAGACAGAGTCTCCCTCTGTCTCACAGGCTGGAGTGCAGTGGCATGATCTTGGCTCACTGCAGTCTCAACCTCCCAGACTCAAGCCATCCTCCCACCTTAGCCTCCCAGGTAGCTGAGACTACAGGCATGTACCACTGCGCTGGGCTCATTTTGTTTTATTTTTTGTGGAGACTAGGTCTCACTATGTTGCCCAGGCTGGTCTCAAACTCCCTGGGGTCAAGTGATTCCCTCACCTTGGTCTCCCAAAACGCTGGGATTATAGGTGTGAGCCACTGTGCCCAGCCTCGGCCAGCTTTTGAGCACAGCACATTGCCATAACTGGCCTTCCTTGGGCTACCTGGCATCTGGCCAGGCCAGACCACTTTACCTCTTACTCATGCCCAGGCAAACTCACATCTTTGGGAAAATGAAAAGAAGCTCTTCTTCACAGTTCCAGATCCACCCCAACCTGCCGGTTCTATAACCGTGGTGGCAAACCTGGAGAAGAAATAGCTTGCTTCGGTCAAAGTGCAGGGCATCAACAGAGGAGGGTGTGGCCCCCACCTCCCAGGGTGAGGCTGGGTTGTCTGATTCTCAGGCTGGGCTGTGGCCAGGGAACATAGGAAAGCTGCCCTGCAAGCCCTGTGTCTCCTGGGACATGCCAGTCCCATGGAGCCTTCAGGCCTGGGTGGGGACGGCCTGGTGACGGGCTGTCCAGGCGGATCTCCACTCAGTCAGAGGAGAGCTTCTTGGAACTTGCCCTGGGTGCAGCAGTAACCAGTTCTGCCCCTCCCTTTGGCACATGGGACTGTCGCCTGCCTGGCACCCTCCTGACTGTCAAACGAGTTGACTTCCTCCTAGGATGTGAGAAATGCTTTCATCCTCCCAGCCTCAGGGACAAGGTGTTCCTGAGAGTATGAGGGTAATTAAATGTGTCTCTGCCACCACCTACCACCTGTCCCAGAGCAGGGAGTGGGGTGATGAACCCAGGGCAGACATCCTTTTGCTTCCTGGACTTGGGAGGTGACTCTCCCATTTGATCCCTGTGTCTGATGTTGCTGATGGTCGGTGCCGCTGGCCCCTGGTGTCAGCTGGACCATCTCTGCAGATTGGCCCCATTCCCCTACTGTGAGTGCCTCACCTCACTGAAAAACCTCTAGCATGAAACAAAATGTAGGTCCAGGGACCGAGGAAGGAGAACTTACTGTCTTTTCCCTGCAGGAGCTCTGCCTTAGCCACCTGAAACCTAGTAACTTGCATGTGACCGTGCCAGCAGGAGACTCCAGGTTCTTCCCAAGACTACTGGCCTGCCAGCCCAGAGGTTTCCCATGAAGCAAGAGCTGTCCTTGGCTATACTACCTCCTACCTGCTCCTGAGACCCTCAGGGCAACTCAGGGTGTGGTGGGTGGTGCAGAGTTCTGTCCTTGCCTCTCTCTATCCAGGTTGCTGGGGCTGCTCAGAGCTCTCTATGATCTTGCTGATAGGTGAGATGTAGGTTTGGGGACAGAAGCCCCGGCTCTTGAGCCAGCCCTGTTTCTCTTTCCCCAGGAGATAGCAGAGTGTTAGCATGCTCATGCTGCACAAGGTCCCCTGCAGGCTTTATGACAGGGAGGACAGCATGCTAGAGGCCTGGGAAAGGGTTGGGACAGACCATGGAGAGGAGGAACAGGTACCTTCTGTACAGGACTTAGTAGGACAGCCTAAGCAACAGCCTGGAGTCAAGGCTACACACTGCTGGGCTCATGGTGTCTGCCAGGAGAAATGGACTGTGGTATGCTGTGCTCAGCTCTCTGTAAACCGCTGCCTTTGCTCAGTGTCTGTGCAGTGCCCTGGGAGGCTGGCACTGCAGAACCTGTTACCTGGTGACTGGCCAGGGGCCTGGTTCCAGAGAGATTCCACAAGTGTTTTAGGGCCAATTTGTAGACAGGATTTGAACCCAGGTCCTTGTGGCTCTGAAGCCCAGATTCTTTCTCCCCTGTCCCACTCAGCTGCCTAAGGAATAATGTCTTGAAGCCAGTGATCTGGCAAAATGGATCTGCAGAGGGGGCTGGGGCTGTGGGATGGATCAGCTGATGGGTGATGGGTGGGCCTGCACTGGCCAGGGAAAGGTGCCATGGATACCCCAGTTGAGGGTGATAGTGCCAAGGTTCCGGATGGGGAATGGCAGATGGCATGGGGGGAGGGGGGAAAGCTGGCATTTGATAGGAAGTGTTGGAACTTGGGGTTACTCAGTCAATTGGTGTTACGTGAGGTTTGCAGAGAGCCTGCGAAGGGCCCTGGCAGAGGCCTGGGGGCTGAAGAGGACACTCATACTGTGCTGCAGGCCCCAGGTAAACCCAGGGTTAATGGTTTCTATGCTGTGGCTCCCACACTGAGAGTTCCAGATGTGGTGCTCTGACCCTGCAGATCCAGCCAGCCAGTGCACACATCTGCTTTGGAGCTGATATGAAAAAAAAGGTCTCCTCCCACTCCTGAGCCTAGGGAGGAGGTCAGGCGCAGCACATTCACCGAGGAGGGGCAGGGCAGCTCTCGCTTTGTTGGGCCACCAGCCTGGCCATCTGTCCACATTGGTCCATCTGTCTGAGTTTTCCTACTTTGAGCCAGTAGAAGTTGTAGCATTGGAGGTAGAGCCCAGGTCCAGTCCCTTCGAAGCCGACTTCTCAGCCAGGCCCAGGGGAGTGGTAGAACAGGCTCCAAGACTCTGCCACCCTTGCAGAGAATGGCATTGTGGGCACACCAGAGTCTAGGGAGCATGTTCTCACATCTGGTTCCATTCAGTGGGCCTCAATTCCTGAAAACCCCTGAGCTCCCCAGGAGAGCCTCACTGAGTGACCTCTGGAAAAGCAGAAGTAAAGTCTGGGAACACTCTGTCCTCTCACACTGTGCTGTGGCCAGCTGGCCAGCAAGACCCCTCCATGGGCCGGCCATGAGGCCATGGGGGAGCCTCAAGCGGGTCTGCCCCGCCCAGTATGCTGGCCAGGGGCTGCCTCCATGCCTACTGGGCCCTGGGGCATGTGGGACCAACCCCCTGGCACGGGCCAGGACCCTCCTTTCTGCCTCCCTATGGCCCTTGGGGAGGAACTGCAGAGGCCTGGGGGCTGAAAAAGCCGTGTGCCATCTGAGCCTGGGAGCCCTGGAGAGGCTGAAAGATCCCCTTCTGGGTTGGCAGGATCTGGGAAAAGTTTCAGGAAGTGGGCGGGGGCAGGGCTGCCCAGCTGCCACCTCTCAAGGCCTGTCTGGGGTTAGCTGCCAAGCCCATACTTTGTCACACAGAGAGCAGAAAGCACTGGGCAGGCTGAGTGTCCCATGCCCTCCTATTAATCAAGGGCTAGGGTGATAGGGGTGCCAGCTGGGGCTCAGTGTGGCCAGCCTGAGTCTGGTGCAGCCTGGCGACCCCTGAGAGGGGCAGCCATGCCAGGTGGGTCTTGGGCTGCAGCCTTCCCAGGCCTCTTCAAAGACCTCAGCTGCCCCTGCTGGAGCCAGGGCAATGGTCCTTGACACAGGCAACCTCAGGGTGGACAGGGCCGGCCTGTGGAGGTGGGAGGGCAGGGACTCTCACTTTCCAGGCTGGGGGTGTGTCTTCCCAACCCAGCCTCTCTATGGGCCTGAGAAAGCAGCACTATTTCCTGCACTTCAAGGGCTTCTCTCTCCGGCAGCCTGTGGACTTCCCTGGAGCACTTGCTGGAGCAGAGATCACAGGAAGGTCACTCTGGCCAGCAAGTAGCACTGTTAGACCAGTCAAGGGCTGAGGTAATGCTAGGGCTGAGGGCACGGGGCCTCACAGGCTGTGGGGGAGAGGCAGAACTCCAGCTTCAGGGCTACATGGACTGCTGGGTGAAGGTGACAGCGAACCATTCAATTTGGAGGACTTCATTCTGGTGATGGTATGGAGAGTGGTCTTGGGAGTAGGGAGCCAAGATGTGGGGCAGAAGGCCTGGGTAGTGCCAGGAGATGGAGCTGGGGGGAGAGTCATCTGAACATGGGGACAAGAATGTGGGAAGCAGAGGAGTTGTGGGAAGGTCCTGGGGTGCAGACTGAGGAGCAAGCCTAGGCCTGAGGGAAGGCTGGAGATACCGGGAGACCAAGTTGGTCTGCTGCTTCTGAGTTGGGGTTCAGGTCAGACAGCAGAGAGAACTTCCTGAGAGCAGCAGCATCTTTTGAACATGAGAAATCAGCCTTCAAGGAAGTCTTTTACTGTGAGAGATCCCAAGCTGGCCAGACATTCCTGTTGTTGGGCCATGGATGGGAGGATTTGGGGTAGACAGCTGGGCTTGTGGGTAGACCAGAGCGGTCCCCCGAGTCTGTGCTAGCCAGAACACTGCTTGCTCATGCCTTGGCTGGGCACGTCTGGGCCTCTCAGTGGCCATCACTGAGGCTGTCAGGCTGCTGAGCCCAAGGCCCAGAGCAGAACTAGCCCCTGGCTTCCCAGAGCCCCTGCCGTCCTTGGCTGCCCTCAGAGGCTGGGCCAGGGCTGGGTGGCCAGGTCTCCCACAAAGCTCTCAACAAGTTCCAGGCCTCTCCTTCTGTGCTTAGATCCTGCTCCCAGTCACGTCCCCTCCCAGTCACATCCCCTCCTCCGCATCCCTCAGAGAGAGCAGGAAGCTGGGGAGGAGGGAGCATCCCAACCAGCCTTGTCCTAGGCCTGACCAGTACTGTCTTAGGGCTTGGGGCTGCCAGCCACTGGGTCTGGGAGCCAGGTTTCTCCAACAGGGCCAGAGCTGGTTTAGAAGCCCTGTGTGGTCTCCTCATGGGTGAGCTGAGGGTTCAGCAGGCCTCCTTCTCTAAGTCGCCTTCTTGGCTGGCAGGCTGTCCCCCTTCCCTGGGTCACAGGGAGATGTGGGGTTTGGCCAGGGAAAGTGGTCTGGAACGGCCCTTTGACATCGTCCCTGGGGGCTTTTAAAAAATAAGTTTCCTGGTAAGGAAGACTCCTCAGGCCTTGGGCAGGATTCTCAGTAGAGTCTCCCGGGTTTGCTCTGATCTGACAAATGCCAGCAGAAACCACCCAGCCGCCTGCGTTCCAGCAGTGCTTGGAGCCGTGGCTTCCCCAGATGCAGTGTCAGCAGAATGCAGCAGCCAAGGCACAGGGGTGTTTGCTTGGAGGCCCTTGCTGAGCCCAGGAGTGGGGGGCCTGCAGAAGAGAGCCCTCTGCTTGGCTTTGCCCCCTCATTCACGTGCACACATTCCTGGCTTCTCTAGGAATGGATGGTGCCACAAGGGATGCCAGAGGGACTTGTCCCTGAGTGATGACAGTCCAGTGACAGTGCTGATGGTCCATGCCTGTCAGGTGAGCAGTGAGTGTTCAGGCTGCCTCCGAGGAGGGGAAGAAGGCATGCCCTGGCTTCTCCCACCCCTCTGCCACCACCTGCCAGCTCATCTGGGACTGAAATCTGTCTGGACAGCTGAGTCTGTATCTGAAAAGCCTGTCCTGGGTCAAGGGCTGGGGAATAGAGCGGTAAAGGAGGTGCAGAGTGGGGAGGAGAGGAGGAAACTAGATCTGGGGACAGATAGAATCCCCCAGGCCTGCTCCACATCCCAGCCCCTCTATGCCCCAACTCTGGGACTCTGGACAGGTTTCATGTTCTGTCTGATTTCTGTTCCTGAGGCTGAGATGGGCATGGTTGAGAGGTCCAGCACACAGGTTGCTCCTGGCATGGGGATGAGTACACCGTACAGCCCATGTGTTTCCAGTTAGAGTAGATCTGGGTTGCCCGCTTCATGTTGGGATGAGGGGACTCCCCCCTGGCCAGTCCCAGGTGTTGGATAGAGAGTCATGGAGGCCTAGGGAGGGGAAAGGTGCTTGGCAGTGGGGAAGTTGCTGAGCTAGGGAGAGAAGCCATGTGGAGCAAAGTGGGAGGCTGGAGCAGAGGAAGTTTCATGCTGCTTGAGAGCTCATGAGGATCCTGAGTAGGAGGTGACAGCTCACTCGGGGAAGCCTCCCAGCAGCTTGTGCCAGGGCCTGGAAGAGCAGTGTGTACACAGATGCCCGGGTGAGGCCCAGCCCCTGATGCTTTGGAGGGGAGGGATCAGGAGGCCAGACCGGGGTCCAGACTCCCAGTCCCAGGGAATAGTGGAGTCACTGGCAGGAGTGCCACCACCCAAAGGACTGAGTTTTTCTCTGGAGCTCACCCTGTACATCTGGCCCGGCCTCTAGGCCCAGGCTATAGCTGAAAAGGAAGAAGTCTCCTGGCCTGAGAAGGGCTCTTGGCTGGCTGCAGTGGCTGTGTGAATAAGCAGACAGGTTTGGTCTGGCAGCTGCCGCACCAGTGCCTGGGTCTGACCCAGAGAACTGTATTCCAGTCTTGGCTCCCAGCTGCCATCCGCTCTGCAGCTTCCCCTAGTGGAGATTTCAGCACTTGCTGGGCCTGGGCCAGAACCCCAAGTATATAAAATCAGAGCATGAACATGACTTTGATAAATTAAGAAGGCTTCATTTTAATACCACAGTAAGAGGAACCAGTTAATATTCTTACCATTTCACATCCACAAAAACCACATCAGGGGCATTAACAATCTCTCAGTTTTGTACAAATAAACCATGTTTCTCTTAAAAAGACTTGCACACGTGGTTCACGCCTGTAATCGCAGCACTTTGGGAGGCTGAGGCAGGTGGAGGCTGAGGTCAGGAGTTCGAGACCAGCCTGGCCAACATAGTGAAACCCCGTCTCTACTAAAAATAAAAAAAAATTAGCCAGGCATGGTGGCATGCACCTTTAGTCCCAGCTACTCGGGAGGCTGAGGCAGGAGAATCGTTTAAACCCGGGAGGCAGAGGTTGCAGTGAGCCGAGATTGTGCCACTGCACTCCAGCCTGGGCAACAGAGCAAGATTCCATCTCAGAAAAAAAAAAAAAAAAGGCTTGCATACTTGCCCAAGCTCAAGGATATTAAAATCTAGCACATGAAACCCATTTCTAGAGGTAGAAATACAGGCAATATATTATTTCAGCAATGACCATCAATTACAGTTAAGAACAGTTAACAACCAAATGGGTAATGAAATAATGCAACCACCCAAGTTTACTGAGCAAAGCATCTTTTCTCACCCATGCCTTACTCTAGGAGTAGCTGGGGCTTGGTTAGATGTGGTGAGGATGTGGGAGAAGAGATCTCAGGGCAAGGGTTCATTGCAGACGGCCTGGGGTAAGGATGTAGGAGAGTGCACATTTCCCAGGCAAAAAGGCATTGGGGTCCACAGAGCAGAACAGGGGCTGGTGGCTTCTGCCTGCCCTGCCTGACTTTCTCTTCTATGCCCTTTTGGGTGGCCATGGGAGAAAAGTAGTGGTCAATTGCAGAGTAATGGTGAAGGCAGCAGGTGTCTCCTGCAGGCCTCAGGAGGTTGAAGTTCACTCCATGAGTGCCCAGGAGCCACAGAGGTCATGAGTGTGGCCTGCTACCAGCCCCCCAGAGATGCAGGTGGAAGGCATCTATTCCAGAGACCTGCTGTATTCCAACATGCTGTGTTCCATCTCTCCTTTAGCTCGCCTGACTCCAGGTTGGGGCTGTCTTCTCCTGATGGAGTACAGCAGGAGGGGCATCACAGGGGTCCCCTAAGCTTGTAGAGGGTTTATGTGCCCCACTTCCCTTCTTCTCTAAACAACCCAGGCTAGCATGGTCTCCTGAGCCTCAAAGACATCTGGGGAGGCCGTGGCCAGGACAGCGTGTGGAGGTGGTCCCAAGTGCAGCTCCGCCTTTGATCCCCTGGGCAGCCTCCCCAGGGGACAGAGAGGCATGTAGTCTTCCAAGCCAGCCTCCGCCACCATGTGCCTGGGTATCTTCTCAGCCACTGTCCTTGGTACTGTCCCCAGGGAGCTTCTGTGTCCTGTATCAGGTGGGATAAGTACTGCTAAGAAGAATAACACAAGGGACAGTGATGGGCTGCTGGAGAAGCCTCTGAAGAGGGGGCGTGTGAGGAAAGATCTGAAGGAAGAGGGGGAGACAGCTCCACTTTCAGGCCAGGGGACGGGGAAGGGCCCTGAGGTGGGGACATGGCTGGGGATAGTGAGCATGGGGGAATGGCAGGACCTAAGTCAGAGAGGTTAAGCGGGGATGGTGGGACCACCACATGAGGGCTCTGGAAGGGACTCTTTCTGAGTAAAGTAGGAGTAGCGGAGAGTTTAAGGCCAATGAATGGCATGGTCTGCCTTGTGTTTTAAAAAGATCACTCTGGCTGGCACATGCCTGTAGTCCCAGCCACTTGGGAGGCTGAGGCCAGAGGATCACTTGAGACTAGGAGTTCAAGTTCAGCCTGGGAACCTAGCAAGATGCCATCTCTAAAAAAAAAAACAAACAAACAAAAAACAAAAACAAAAACAAAACACTCTGGGAGACTGTTGTTAGGTTCTCATCAGGATCCCACTGCCTCTCCCTTGGCCTGCTTCCCCCGGGCCCTTCTGCTCTGCCTCTCCTTCCTTTTCCCTTACCCCATCTCTGAATGCTCAAGAGAACCCTCAGGATTGGTCTGCCTGTCTCCGGCCACTCTGAAGGGACGCTCAGTCTTTCCTGCCAGCCTCACCTCCCCCGCATGCCACTCATTTGCCCTGCAGGCCACTTGTCACTCACACCATCCTCCTGGCTGTTTCCTTTGTACTTTCTTGCCCCTGCCCTTTGCTGTGGCCCAGCCTTTTGTGGCCTTCTCATCTTCTCAGTCTGATCTTTGGTGCCCTCTCCACTCCACTCCCACAGCTTCAGGCATCTCTTGTATTTCATGTGCCTCGGGGTGTGTTGGCTTGCCCCTCTGACCCTGAGGCCCTGGAGTGCAGGGCTCATGACTTACCCTGCTCTAGATTAGGGCCAGCCTACAGCTTAACATACAGAAGGGCTTCAAAGGCTGTGGGTTGTGGATTGGACCTTGGAATTTCCCAGGCTTTCTTGTCATCTTGGGGAGGAACTGTTCCTCTTATGCTCGAACTTTGGGGCTCCATGTGCTGGATTGTGGCCCAAAGATCTGGTGCATCTCCAGGGCCTTAGCTGATTGCCCTGTGGTAGGCCCTGAGCCAACAGGGAGATGGAGATCAGGGTAGTAGCGGGACACAACTGCAGGGGAGAGCTGGGGCTGAGTTGGGGTGGGGATGGGGACTTGGGACCCTTGGGGAGGCCCAGCAAGGCTAGCCCTTACCCCCTACCCTTGGGTTTCAGACTTGAAACTGCATCTGCAGAGCACTGATTATGGTAACTTCCTGGCCAACGAGGCATCACCTCTGACGGTGTCAGTCATCGATGACCGGCTCAAGGAGAAGATGGTGGTGGAGTTCCGCCACATGAGGAACCATGCCTATGAGCCACTCGCCAGCTTCCTAGACTTCATTACGTGAGTGTGCTTTGTAGCGCCTTCTTCTCTTACCTGGGCAGGATAGCTACACCTGCAGGAGCTGGGTTCAGTGTGGCTTAGGCTAGCTGCCTTCGTGCCTGTGTCAGCTGTCAGAGCTGATGGCAGCTCTGTCAGGCCAGGTGTCCCAGGACCCTACCTTCAGAGTCCTCCCTGACTGTGTGCGTGGTCATTCAACAACCCTGGACTTCCAGGCCACCACCTATGAAATGGGTCACCAGCACGTTCACTACTGGCTGAAGATATGATGGGCAGGCAAGAGTGTCCCACGCAGTAGTGCTGGATGAAGCCTCTTCCCCCAGTCACATAGACTGGGGCAGGGAAACCTGGGAAGGTGGGAGCCCTTTTTCTTACCCTACAGCACCCAAACAGAACACTCACCAGGCCCCACTCCCCATGCGAGGGGTCAGGTGTCGGGATGGACAGAGCTCTGAAAGGCCAAGGTCTTAGGATAGGCCCATTCTCTATCTGCTCTGACCATGGCCCTGGGTCTCAGGGAGATTGGTTCGGAGTAGAGTTGAGGGGCAGGCTGAACGTCTAGCTGCCTTTCTCAGTTCTGACGCAAGCCCTCAGGAACTCAGGTGGGCAGGCTCCCATTCTTATGACTCTTGGCTGCCCCAGCTTCTTCATTGTCTGACCCTTGGGCACAGCTCTGCCTTCATCAAGCTCCTGGAGAAGCTGAGTGGAGGAAAGGACCTTGGGATCTGCAGGCTCGGGGAGGGCACCTGGACTGCACGGGGAGGGCACCTGGACTGCACAGGGAGGTAGGGAGGGTCCCTTTGCAGGGATGTCCCAAGAGCCATGAGCCAAGTCCTGGTGGACAAAGAAATAGTCCCAGCCTAGGTGGTGGCCCCACAGGGGTGGTGAGCAGAGGCATGCTCAGCGGCTAGCGTCTAGGAGAGTACCCTGCATTGGCAGAGTGTGAGTGTGCAGTATGGTGAAGCATTTCCCTGAGCTCTCTGGGTATTGTCTAACTTTTACCATTCCTTGATTATGGTGCCCCCACTCTTTTCCTTGGGACCTGGCACACCTGCCCCACTTGTCCCTGCAGGGACAGAGTTAGATGCCTGCTGCCTGGCCTGATTCTTATCCCCTGCAGTTAGGAGCCACTTGCCCAGGATCCACTTGCTCAAGAAGTGCTGCAGCCAAAGGGCTCCATTCTCAGGCAGGAGTCAGAGGCTGGGACACCTGAAGGGCCAGGGAACATGCCCAAGCTAGGAAGCAGGCCCTCTCCTGGCCACAGGCCTCCTTTCCTGAGAGTCTCCTTGCTGCCCTGGCCTCCATCAAGGTATGCCAACATGGACCTACTGGGGCAGGAGGCTGGTAATGGGGTGTCTCTTGTGGTGCTACATTAGGGGTCACATTGCAGCTCCCCATCTGTTGATCATTCCCTGGCCTTGGTCTCTGTGTTCCTTGCTGCAAAGCCAGAGCTGAGGACATACCAGGAAGCAGTACATTTATTGCTAGAGCCCAGCCTGAGACTTGTTTGCACAAGGCTGCTTCAGCTTCCTGGTGAATGTTCTGGCCTTGCCAGCTAGGCTGGCCAGAGGAGGCCTGACCCCATGCCCATGGTCAGAGGGTAGATATCACCCACCCCACTGCCCACTGGCCCACCTGCCTGTGCAGCTAGCCTTTGGCCTGTCTTGGTCTTAGCCTGCCAGGCCATGAAACTGGAGAGGGCTCTGAGCGTGACTGAGGCTGCACAACCACAGCTGGAGGTTGGCTGCAAGCACCAAGGGTGCTTAAAGCAGCCAAGTGCTGTCCTGTGGAAGGCTGTCCGAATCTGCCACTTCCCACCCCTTCCATTCATGGGTGATTGTGGCTTCCAGTCCTACCAGCCACTCACTCCTCCCCTCACTCAGAAGGAGCTCAGCAGTCACGTGTCAGCCCATCAGGGCCTGTGTCTGCTTGGTCCATGACCTCGTCATCTCCAATGACCTGCTCCTTTGCTCCTCTGCTCTGCACTTCAGCCATCCCCACTGATGGCTGCCCAGGCCCATGTCACCACCTGGAACTGCTCCACCCCTGAAATTGCTGAATCAGGCACCTCTCTACCCACAGCCTTCAGGCCCTCCAGCCCACTCTCAGTCCCTTGTGGGACACGGGTTCCAGACTCAGCGGGACACTAGGCCTTGCTTCCTCCCCTGCTACCCCTTCTGTCTTCATTTCCCGCCCTCCCCAACTGAAGTTCCCTGGTCCATCATTCGAGCACTTTTCTGCCAACATCCGCAGCTCTCTTGGCCGCCCGACTCATGGTCCCACCCGGCTGGCAGCCCCCCAGCCCTGGAGGAATCCCAGCAGCCTCCAGCCTGGAGCCGCTCTCCCCCTACCTCCACTGCCGGGAGGAAAGCTGGGGAAGCCAGCCTTGAGTGGGGGGTCATCCTTGCTGCCAGGCTTGCATGCTCACCCTCTTAGCCAGCCTCAAGCTTTTTTCTGCCTGGCAGCCTCTGGCTCTACCTACTCAGCACCCTGCAGACCCCACCAGCACTGCAAAGACCACCTTCCCGTCTTAAACACCATTGCTCTCCTGCCCCCAGCCTCCTCTTGGGCAGGTGGCCCACCTTCTTCACAAAGACAGTGGAAGCCAATAATATGCCTCCCAGTGCTGCTTCTGCCCCCCACCGCCCGAACCCTATTCCAATGGCAGAAGTGCCCTTCCTTTTCTCTTGGATCCTTCCACCAATGTTCTGAGTGCCCTCACCTTACTCCCTGGATGCTGAGTGGCCACTCATTTGCATTCCTGTCTGTGCAGGCACCTTCCCTTCCGAATTCTTCTCTTCAGTATCTAAGCAAGCTCAAATAATTAAAAAACATCTCGTGGGACCTAAACTTTTACATTCACTGTCTGTTCTCTCATTTCCCCTCATCCCTCGAGCTTTCAACAGTCCCGTCACTCCACCACAAGGCCCTGGCTAAAGCCACCCCTGACCTTCACGTAGCCAAGGTCTCCAGGCGTGACCACTCTGCGGTGTCCACCCCCCAGCCCCCCTAGCTATTTCTTTGCTCCCATGATGCCTCTCTGACTTAACTCCTACCTCTCTGGCCACTCTCCCTTCTCCGCTCTGCCCCAGCAGGCCATCCCCAGTGTGTGTGTGGAGTGTTGCAGGAAGGGGTGAAGCCTTCCATAGAGGCCTGAGCTCCCCCAGGCTGGGGCTCACGATTGGCTTCCCTGAGGAGGTGGCTAGTTTGGCTGAGGGGAAAAGCATTTAAGGGAAGCATTGGAATAGGGGGTTTTTAGGTTGAGGGAACTATACATGTCCTGAGTAGCGAGCATGGTGCACCTGGCTCTGTGCCCCACACAACAGCCTCCAGATATGGGTGCCCACTCTGGGAATGAGGAAGCTACCCTAGAAAACGCAGAGGAATATACTCAGGAGAGTACAGTCCTCCAGGCAGTAGAAGCATCAGCGAGAGGCCCTGTCCTGGGTGTGAAGACCTGAGGGAACAGTGCCCTGACTGCCCACAGACAAAGTTGGCCCAGCTAGGGACAGAGGTTGGGACCATTACAGAGGTCACCTTAGCTCCATCCCTCAGGGCCTCATAGTTGCTTTTGGAGCTGCCCCAGGCTGGCTGGAGCAGGCTTCTGCCAGGAGGTGATGAAAGCAGGAGCTGGCTGAGGCTGCCTCTGCCCTTCTGTGTGAGAGACAGTGTCCACTGCTTTCGTAGGTCCTGGCCAGCCTTCAGCCGCACACATAACCAGTACCTGCTCTGGGCCAGGCCTGGGGCTGGGAGGGAGGTGCCTGGATGCAGTGGGATGGCACCAGTGATAGTATAGACAGTGCCTGGAGAGGACTGTGAGCAGCTTTAGCAAATGGAACTGGGGGTCACAGGTGGCTTCACAGCATTGGGAGGACTCCAGGATCAGGTGGGGATAGAGAAGCCACTGGAGAGAGTAGGTGGCTGGAGAAGAGGCAGCTGTCTGGCATGAGGCAGCTGTCTGGCATGGGGCCGACAGCCTGAGTGAGATAGGGCCCCTGAAGTAGACTGTCGTCATGTGCTCTTGAGAGGATCTGGCTCAGTTTCATGCCACTAACATGTTGTTATGTCACCATGCCCAAGCCCAGTCATTACCTTGCTGTGGGACTTGGGATGGTGTCTGTCAGGGTTTTTTGGCCTTGGAGGGGACTTTGATCTGGGCCATTCCATGATGTTTTCCCTTGAGAGAGTTGGTCCTAGAAGACATGCTGAGAGACTTGTGGGAGGAGTGAGTGCGGCCTCTGGGGAGTCCCAGGTGGGCTTTAAAGGCCTTTGTCTTTGAATGAGTGAGCCTCCCTGGAGGGGGCCTAGCCCAGGTGCCCATTGGCAGAGCCTGGGCATGGGTAACCTGCACCACCTGGGGGATCTGAGGGCCCATATTTCTCTTGTGTCAGGGGCCTCAGTGCCACCAGCCTGGAGTGGGCAACTGGTAAGAGGCTTTGTCCCAGGACAGTGGCCTCAAATGCCTAATGGGCCTGTCAGCACATCTGTGATTTTCTCCAGGACCTGTCACCCCAACCTTGGGGCCCTGCTTGGTCACAGAGGGACATCAGGTTCCTCTGGCCCCCACTCCCCTGGCCAGTTCCTGTCTTTGCTATCTACAGTCACTGTTTCTGGGTCCATGGCAGGACTCTGCAGTTGGGGGCTGTAGGCCTGCTGTGGTTTCAGGGTCCTGGGCTAGACCTGGCTCCTGCCTTGAAGGAGTGCCAGCACTTTCACTCTTCTCCTGGGGTCAAGCATGCAGGAGCTCCGTGAGGCCCAGAAGGCTCAGACCAGGTGGAAGGACCCAACTGGGCCTTGGGGAGAGGCAGGACTTTTATGAGCAGGTTAAAGCTCACTATCTCTGTTGGAGCCACACCTCACTCATATGCTTTTTTTTTTTTTTTTTTTGAGCTGGAGTCTCACTCTGTCGCACAGGCCAGAATGTAGTGGCACGTTCTCGGCTCACTGCAAGCTCCGCATCCCAGGTTCAAGTGAGTCTCCTGCCTCAGCCTCCAGAGCAGCTGGGATTACAGGTGTGCGCCACCACACCCGACTAATTTTTGTATTTTTAATAGAGACAGGATTTCACCATGTTGGCCAGGGTGGTCTCAAACTCCTGGCCTCAAGTGATCCGCCCTCCTCGGCCTCCCAAAGTGCTGGGATAACAGGCATGAGCCACAGCACCCACCCTCATCTTCTATTTATTTTATTTTTTGAGATAGGATCTTGCTCTGTTGCCCAGGCTGGAGTGCAGTGGCATGATCATAGCTCACCTGCAGCCTTGATCTCCTGGGCTCAAGTGATCCTCCTGCCTCAGCCTCCCAAGTGTCTGGTATTACAAGTGCATGCCACCACACCTGGCTAATTTTTTTGATTTTTTAATAGAAATGAGGTCTTGCTATGTTGCCCAGGCTGGCCTCAAACTCCTGAGCTAAGAGAGCCTCCCACCTCTGCCTCCCAAAGTGCTGGGATTACTGGTGTGAGCCACCATGCCTGGCCCTCACTCATCTTGATATGGAGGAGAAACTAAGTCTCGAGAGGTGGTGTGCTGAGGCCATGGACAGAGCTCAGAAACAGTGATATTTCTGTTCACTTTCCACTCTGCACAGGGCTCTTCAGGACCCAGAAGTGATTGAATACAGATACTGTCATTAGCAGCTCACTGGAGCACCTGCTGGGGACTGCAGTGGACAGGCTGGCAGGGTTACCCAGGCATCATGGCTGCCTCACCAGCACCAGACCAGCCACCCGGGGTTGAGAAGCCATATTGTTCCAGCAGGTGGCACCAAAGGGCGCAGCAGAGGGGCAGAGTTGGCTAGGGACTCTGAAGGCTTCTTGGAGGAAGTGGCTTCCTAAACTCCAACCCAAGATGTCTGTGGGCCCAAGCTGAGTTTTGAAGGCACAGGGCAAGGGAGGGCCTCTGGGCAGAGGAATACAGACGGCCCCACCCCCACCCCACAAGGGCCTCTTTGGCCTGGCGGGCAGCCGGCCCTCCACTCCCCAGCTGTCTTCCCCTGGAGGGAGATGCTGACCAGCTGGAACCTTATTCCCTCCTATTGAGGCCAAATGAGGGGAGGAATGGTGGAGTGGCTTTCTGGGGGCAGGGAGGCAGCTGCTGAAGCCAGGCAAGGAGGAAGAGGAGGATTTCCCTGCCTGCCGAAGGCCTCGGCCTTGGGAGAAAGGCAGACTGCTGGGCCAGCCTTATCTCTGCCAGGCCTGTCCAGCCTCTCATCTCCTGAAAAAGAGGATTCTGCCCCTCACTGGGCAGGAGAGAAAAGCAGGGCTGCAGCAGCAACAAGCTTATAGCCAGCCCGGCAAGGGAAGTGCTGGGCCTGGCACAGGATCGCCCACGATTGGCCTGGCTTGGGTTTGAAGAGGGCCTTGAAGGGGCTGGGGTAGTGCGATTGTGAGTGGCCCTTACTAGGCTCAGCATTTCCCCCACATAAACAGATGCCCTGAGTGGGGGGCGCAAGGAGGGGGACGTTGAAAAAGAGGAGATTGGCTGGTGGGGATCCCTCTGAGAAAATGAGACTAGGTGGGGTATGTAGAGCCAGGCAGGGGGCCCTGGTCATGGGTGGAGGTGTGTGGACATTGGCCATGGGGACGTGGAGCTCCTCTGCTTTGTGGTGTGTTAGGGCCTGGTGCTGGCCCTCTCTGGGCCTTATCTGCTCTGACAGTGGGGCTGGTAATGCTAGTGGTTGTGGGATCACTTGGATAAGGTGGGCCTTGGGTGTGCTTTTTCTCCCTCTTCCCGTCCGAAAGGGAGGGAGAGCATAAGAAAGCATCCTTCTGCTTGGGGGCAGGGGATTTGTGACTGTCTCAGGGAGCACCAAGGCTACATTGGGGCTGGATGGGGTGCAGTTAGAGTATTGCGGGGTGGCGCATATGCAGCATGGGTTCTGGGGTATGTGAGATGTTGGAGGCCTCATAGGCAGGAGGCGTGTGTGCTGTCCGGGGTAGAAAATATGCAGGCTGGAGCTGCAGACCATGGCCCAAAGCTCTGGCGAGCTCTGAGGTCCCTCACTCTGCCAGCACTGTGGGGTTGGGGGCAGGAGGCTGCCCATTTGGGCCTCTTGGCTTGCAGCTGCAAGTGGGCCCTGCTTAAGGCTCTCAGTTATGGTTGGGAGTTAGGGGACTGTCTCTTCTCAGTGCACATCCTGTAGCTGACCCAGCCAGATTGGGGGTGGAGAGAGGGCAGTTGCCTGGCTCCAGGCCCAGGAGAGCAAAGGTCTTCGCAGGGCGCCAGGCTGGGTGGGAGCTGGGGGAGTGCAGAGCAAGCAGGGGGAGTGGGGGTCAGGCCAGGACAGGAGCTGGGGCCTTTTCCTCCTGCCGCCTTTCTAGAGGGCCCTGTGGGAGCTCCCCCAGTGGCCAGTGCTTTGAGCCGTGGCCTGGGCCCTGGGCTGCCACCTCCCCTCCTTTCTTTCTTCAGTATGGGGGAAGACACCTCCTACCAAGGTCTTCTCTGGACAGCCTGAGCACTAGTTGCACAAGGTCCTGTCACAGGGCAGGGGCCTAGCTCTGGCCCACTCAGAAGCTAGGACAAGACCCGTGTTCAGTGCCCAGCTCAGAACAGCAGCCTCCACCCCAACTTTTATCCCATAGGTGCCTCACCTTGACCTTGGAGGAATTTCCCCTAGGCCTCATTTAGCTCCCTCATACCCTGAGTTCATCTTTGGTGACAGACTGGAGGATAGTTGTGGCTACTGCAGCCTAACTGTGGAATGGGGCTTACTGCCTTCACTGCATCCCCACACAGGTGACTACACAGAACTCTCTGCCCCAGCCCCTTTGTAGCTGGTTGGAGGCAGAGCCTTGTCCCTTGCCAAGTCTGAACTGGGCAGTCTCACCCCTCCCCAGCTCCACAGCCCCCTCTGCTGCCCATGTACCCCACAGAGCTGGCCTTCTGCAGGGCAGAGTGATGGGAGCCTCGGCCTGGGATCGACCTGACCCAGCCTCCTGTTCAGGTCTCTGGGTCTTATCCAGGCCGTCCTGGGTGAATGCCCAGCCCTGGCCTCAGGCCCTAAAAGAAGAGGACAGTTCTCTATCTCTGGCATAGGCTGTGCAGGTCTGCCTGACCTGGGCCTTCATTCCAGAGAACCCCCACTGGCTCCTTGCTGGCCTTCCCTGGAGAAGCTTCTCTCCACTCCACTCCTCAGCCTTTCCTCCTGTCGCTATCTCTGCCTCTTCCTCTTCTGTCCCCACTGGGGGACAGAGTGACCCTAACTGGATGGCGATTCCCCTGCTTACACCCTGCTCATAGATCCCTAGTGCTCAAAACAAAGCCAGGGCCCTCCAGGCCCAGCCTCTGCCCCCCGCCTGCTGCAGCCCCGTGCTGCCGGCTGCTGCGCCTTTCTCTCCCTCTGCCAGTCCTGACCATGCCAGTTCCTCCAATGCATCCGTCACTCAGTGAGTGCCTCCAGGCCTTTGCACATGCTGTTCCCTCTTCCCAGAACACACTTTCTTCTCCCAGCCCTTTAATTTCCCAGGCTCTCACGCTCTTCACCCCCTGGGCTGGGCTGCATGTCTCACCTCCTGTGCCCCATTCCTGTGTCCTGTTAGAACACTGTTCATGCTGTGGGGTAGTTAGCTCGTGTCCCAGTCCCTCACAGGGCATGAATCCCCTGCCCCCGCCCGTTTGGGGGGCCTGTGTCTGTCCTAGGCCTCTGGCAGTGGGGGTGGTCAGAAGCTTGAGAGGAACATGGGGAGGGAGAGGAGACACTGGTGCTTATCCGCAGCACCCATGAGTCAGCATACATTGTTAAGGGGTGATGGCCTGTGCAGGCGGGCGAGGGCATGGTGCTATGCCAGGACTTCCCGGCCCCCACCTTGATGGGCTCCTTGCTATTGCCTGCCCCCTGTAGTTACAGTTACATGATCGACAACGTGATCCTGCTCATCACAGGCACGCTGCACCAGCGCTCCATCGCTGAGCTCGTGCCCAAGTGCCACCCACTAGGCAGCTTCGAGCAGATGGAGGCCGTGAACATTGCTCAGACACCTGCTGAGCTCTACAATGCCATTCTGGTGGACACGCCTCTTGGTGAGCCGCTGTGGTGGTCATGGGAGGTGGGCAGTGGTGTCAGCATCAGCGCATCAGGGTGGGGTTTGTGGACCCGCTGGGGGGCGACCCTGAGCCAGAAAGTGAGACCTGCCCACTGCTGCTTACCTTTGTCTCCCTTCAACTTCCTCCTCCGATTCTCTCCTCACTTCACCCCTCTTCTGCTCCTGTCCTGTTGCTTTTGCTGGGCCAGGCAGGCTACCCAGGGCCTGACTGGGACTGTCTCACTTTGTGAAGCAGTCTGATCTCCCAGAGTGCAGAGGAGGGCTGAGCTCATGGAGAAGAGTGAGAGAGGCCCAAGTCCCTTGGAGTCCCGAGAGCTCTGACAGACTGTGGCCCGGAGCTGGAGCCTGAGTAAAGCCAGAGTGGCTGCCTGTGAGGCAAGGAGCGAAGCAAACACTGCCACTTCCCTCCACCGAGCAGGTCCCCTGGGCCAGGTCAGACAGCATCCAGCAGGATGCAAGGTCCGTATCAGAAGCCAGGGAAGGGGAATCAAGAGCTTCCTGCAGAGCCCTGCTTAGGCAGTGCTAGTTCCTGCCTGCTTAGGAGGCCGAGGAGAAGGCATTAAGTGTCCTTGTAGCCAGAGTCCTGGGCCTGGGGTACCACCTCTAAGAAGCCACCAGGGTTGAACTACAGGGCTCTAAGCTGCACTGGGTTCTGAGCTAAGAGGCCTGAGCCCTACCTGCTGACCTTGTCTGCCGTAGGCTCTCCCAGCAACTCTGAGCTGGTTCTGGGCTGTTTGTGGCTTCTTCAGTTTCTCCATCTTTAATGAAGAGATAGACCAGTGAGTCTGCAGGCCCTCTTGGGGGATGGGGGTGCTCTATCCTGCTCTGGCCTCTCTTTCCAACCCCACAGTGGCCCCCTGGGTCGCTGGTCTGTGCCTACCCTGCTGTTGGACTTGTCCTAAGGAGGAGGCTGGTTTTCCAAATGTGGACGCCAGGCCTTCCTGGGAGGTGTAGAGAAGTAGGCGTTAGGCCCCGAATCCACAGCTGCCCCTCCAGAAGGGAGGATGTCATGGCCTCTTATGCAAGCCTGTCTTTGGCATGGTCTGAGCTTGGGTCTGCCCCAGCGGTGATTAGATCATGTTATGGCTAGCTGCCTCCTTTATAAATCAATTTTAGGAGCAAGGAGGCAGGAGAAGCTCAGGTCAGTGTACATGGCCCAGAGCATTGCTTCTGCCACTTCCAAGGCAACAGCCTAGGCTGGGGACCCCTCAATACCCAGCCCTGTGGGCCTTGTGGCACGGGCACTCTGTGCCGTGTAGGGCATTTGAACATCAGGATTCTGGCCTAGGCCACCTGCCCACCCCTCAAACCATGTTTCCTCCCCAGCGGCTTTTTTCCAGGACTGCATTTCAGAGCAGGACCTTGACGAGATGAACATCGAGATCATCCGCAACACCCTCTACAAGGTAATGCCCCACACAAGCCATGGGGGATTGGCCTGTCGGTGGGTGGGGCTGTGGGAAGTGGTAGGGTGGTGATTTATGTGAGGTGCTGGGACAGGATGCAGCTATGTCAGGCTCCTATCCCAGGGACTTACTGCTTATTCTCTGGCTCCCATGCTGGGCACAAGGCTGTGTGGAACAGGTTCTCCATCCCATAGTGCCTGTGACGGGCTCAGATAAAATCAGCAGGAGTGGCTGGTGCTCCACCGCTGGCCTGTTACAGCTGGCTCCTGGACAGCCGCTCCCCCAGCATCCAGGAGGGTCATGGACTACCACCCAGGCCGTGGCCCCTGGAACCGCCCTACCTAAGCTATTGCCAGCAAGGACAGGCACTTGAGCAAAGGCAACAGTGTGCTCACTTATGGTGGGGGGAGGGATCTGGCGAGGCATAGCTAGGTCCTCATGTCCCTCGTAGGTTCCCAAGCTTGGAGTCAGTGCCACTTCCCACTGTCCTCATCCCCTGCCCACCTCTTGCCTCCCACCAGGCTGTAGCATAGACTGGGCAACCCCTGAGGATTTCTGGGTCAGCACTACCCTGGCCCAAAGAGATTAAAGAGCCAGGGGACCGGAGAGGAGAGGAAAGTTTAAAAATTTAAAAAAAAAAAAAAAAAGCCCGAGACCAGTTAGGTTAGGGGTGTCTGGGATAGACTCTGCTCTGGCTGCGGTGAGGCACTGAGCTATAGCGCCAGGACCCCAGATGGGCTGCAGTCAGGAACATGGATCCGCAGTGGGCAGGCCCCAAAGCAGGGCTGAGGATGGCCCTGGCCGAGGGACCTGCTGACCTCACCTGTCTATTGGGTGAGAGTCCTCTCCTGCCCTGGTTGGAGCGAGCTGGCTGACATTTGGCTGCAGCCTGAGCCCAGGCCTGCCAATCTCCCTGCAGGGGCCTGGGCCAGAGCACAGTGAGGGTTGGTGGTAGGGGAAGGGCCTGCCTGGAGGTTGCAGTGGTGTCGGCAAGGGACCAGCACGTGCAGAAGGAAAGCATAGAGCATGGGCCAAGTGGCAGGCAGTTTGCTGTGGAAGGACACATTCCAGATGGACAGGGGAGAAGTCTAGAAGAAAAGGCAGGCATGGGATCAAGTTACCCAGGGCTTTGAATGTAAGGCCAGAAGTTTGAACATAGTCCCGTGGGCAGGGTCAGCCAGTAGAGGTTTCCAACAGAGCAGAGTCTTCTCAGAAAGCCCCTTCTAGCCACAATGTGGAGAGCAGATTAGAGGGCCTGAAACCAGAGGTGGGAAGGTCGTCAGCTTCTTTAATCCTTCAGACTGCGCTAGGAACTAGGAAGGTGTCATTATCCCCATGTGAAAATGGGGAAACCGAAGGCTCAGAGAAGTAGGGTGGGTTGCCTAAAGCCACATAATAAGTCACTGGCAGCGCCAGGGATCACACCTGGCTCAGCTTGTTTGCAAAAGTGAGTGCTCTCACCCACTCCGCTAATAGGGCACAGGCCAGCCAGTTAGCTGAGAGGAGAGAGAGCATACACACGTGTGTGTTTGTGTGTGTGTGTGTACGCACGCGCCTAGCTGGCCTGTTGCCGGGTTGCCTGCCCTGAGACAGGGTGAGGGGTGCGGCTGTCCGCCAGCCTCACCCATGCCCTCACCGGGCCTGACTGGTTCTAGCTGGAGTCGCCGGCGAGGGCTGCCCAGGCACTAGCTCATAAACACAGACCCAATGCTGTGGGCCTTGTGCCAGGACTGCCAGCCTGTCAGGCGATGTCCCAGCCCGGTGACCACAGATGGGAGATTAGGCGGACCCTCAACCACCCAGCAGGTGGGAACAGTAGGCAGCTGGTGCAGCAGCCGTGGATTGGCAGACTCCAGGGGACAGGGCGGGGGTGGGAAGGTGACTTTGGTACCGGGGTTGCTGGGATCTTGCCAGTTTCTTTAGCTGCCCTAGCCTCCAGAGGAGAGTCCCACCAGCCTCCCTGACCCTGGGATCAGCCTCTCCTGGGATTGGTACAGATTGGCTAAGCAATTGGGTGGGTAGCAGGGCATGGAGCCCAATACCTGGTTGGTTGGTTCCCCCACAAATAGGAAGTGCAGGGCCCCACTGGGGCAGGCTGTGGGATTTTTGACATATCCAGCTTGGCTGGCCACAGGGAAGGAGGTGGCTGGGGACAGACCCCTAGAGGGACTGTGAAAGGTACCACCAAGCCATGGGAGGGGTTGGCAGCTGTCTCTGCCACCCAGGCCCTCTCATTCCTGGGATCCTCTGTGCTGGGGTCAACCCTCTTTTCCAGGCTTCTTACTTCCTGACCTGTCCTAGATTTTTGTTTCCCGTGATCCCAGAGGTCACTCTCAGGCCTTCCCCTGAGTTGGGCTTGCCCAGCATTGCTGGCCAGGGCAGGCCTGGGCTCACAGACTCCTGGGTCTCATCTCATCTCTCTTGGAGCACCACCCAGCAGAGCTTGTGAGCCCAAGTTGGCTGATGGTTGGTGGAAAGGTCTCCACACCTTGGAGTTCAGACCTCGGTATGAAAAGCTTTCCATGCCATCCAACCCTTGCCTACAATCTAGAAGAATAGTCTCTAGCCTGTGGAGCCAGGGTCTCTGAGCCCATGCCAGCAGATGGGACCAGGGAGGTCTGAGTGGAGGGTGGCCATTACAAGGGAGCTCCCCATGGGGCCCGTAAGATCATCCACCTTCCTTGGCATGGAGAGGTGTTGGGAGGAAGCATGGCTGCTTTTGTGAGTGAGCGTTGGGAGGGACCTGGGGCCTGGGCTGACCTCTTCTTTCCTCATGCCCAGCAGATCCAATTTGCCTGGGCAGGGAGTGCTTGTTCCCGCCGGCAGCCCATGTGCCTGCCATTGTACTGTGCCCAGCTGACGTCCGTGTAGGCAATAACCATCCCTCAGCAGGAACTGGCCTGACAATTTTGTTCCTGCTCTGTGATGCTGAGGGGCTGCCTGGAGGATGGGAGGAGGAGGTGTTCTGTAAGGGAAGGTGGCAGAGAGGGCCGGGGGCACTCAGTCCCTGCCATCCCTGTGGACTTTCAGGCGTGGCCTTTCCTCACCAGCCTACGGACACCTGTTTTTTTATTCTTTTCTGAGACGGAGTCTCTTTCTATCGCCCAGGCTGGAGTGCAGTGGCATGATCTCAGTTCACTGCAACCTCCGCCTCCCGGGTTCAAGCAATTCTCTGCCTCAGTCTCCCGAGTAGCTGGGATTACAGGCACCCACCACCATGCCTGGCTAAATTTTTTGTATTTTTAGTAGAGACGGGGTTTCACCATCTTGACCAGGCTGGTCTTGAACTGACCTCGTGATCCACCTGCCTTGGCCTCCCAAAGTGCTGGGATTACAGGCGTGAGCCACTGCGTCCAGCCACACCTGGTTTTCAGAGGCTGAGGAAGGGGAGGTTTGGAAAGATTTGGGGAAAAGGAAGGCAGAGCAGCAGGGGAAAGTCAGAGGACCCCTGCGAGCCCAGCCTTCTGTGAGGTGAGGGGGTGAAGGAGACTGTAGCCTGAAGCAGACAGTCGGGTGGGCCCTGCCCTGGCACTCCTGGGTGGGAGGCTGTGGGCAGCTGCCACTTGGCTGATTCACAGAAGTGTTTCATTGGCTTTGCTGTAAGGGCTGCCCCGGCCCATCCATGGGTGTGCTTGTACCCACCTTGAAAGGGGCTAGGGAGGGGAGGAGGGAGCTGTGAGGGCTTGTGCCTAGCAAGCCCTCCAGAGCTTCCTTGCCTGTGCTGAGCAAGCTCCATACTCTCTACAGGCCTACCTGGAGTCCTTCTACAAGTTCTGCACCCTACTGGGCGGGACTACGGCTGATGCCATGTGCCCCATCCTGGAGGTGAGTGCCTGCCCGCCCTCCTGCCTGCTGGTGCCCGCTAGCCCTGGCCTGGGGAGGCTCTGCCAACTGACTGGCTACTGCCTCCTTCTTCCTCCCTCTCTTCTTACCTGTGCACTGGCTCCACAGTTTGAAGCAGACCGCCGCGCCTTCATCATCACCATCAATTCTTTCGGCACAGAGCTGTCCAAAGAGGACCGTGCCAAGCTCTTTCCACACTGTGGGCGGCTCTACCCTGAGGGCCTGGCGCAGCTGGCTCGGGCTGACGACTATGAACAGGTCAAGAACGTGGCCGATTACTACCCGGTGAGTGCCCCGGCTGGCAGGACAGCGGTTGGATGTGTTGTCACCAAGCACCCCCACCCAGAACCCTCATGCTTGTGCTTCCCCCCACCCCCCTGGCCAGGAGTACAAGCTGCTCTTCGAGGGTGCAGGTAGCAACCCTGGAGACAAGACGCTGGAGGACCGATTCTTTGAGCACGAGGTGAGTCTGCAGGGTCTGCTTGTCAGAGGGAGGCCAACCTGGTGGTTTAGACCTGACTCTGTGGCCATGGCCACCTGGACACCACATCTGCCCGTGTCCACAGGTAAAGCTGAACAAGTTGGCCTTCCTGAACCAGTTCCACTTTGGTGTCTTCTATGCCTTCGTGAAGCTCAAGGAGCAGGAGTGTCGCAACATCGTGTGGATCGCTGAATGTATCGCCCAGCGCCACCGCGCCAAAATCGACAACTACATCCCTATCTTCTAGCGTCCTGGCCCAAGGCTCTCAATTGCACTCTTTGTGTGTGTGTGTGTGTGTGTGCGCGTGTGTGTGCGTGTGTGTGTATGTGGTCTGTGACAAGCCTGTGGCTCACCTGCCTGTCCGGGGTGTAGTACGCTGTCCTAGCGGCTGCCCAGTTCTCCTGACCCTCTTAGAGACTGTTCTTAGGCCTGAAAAGGGGCTGGGCACCCCCCCCCACCAAGGATGGACGAAGACCCCCTCCAGAGCAAGGAGGCCCCCTCAGCCCTGTGGTTACAGCCGCTGATGTATCTAAGAAGCATGTCACTTTCATGTTCCTCCCTAACTCCCTGACCTGAGAACCCTGGGGCCTGGGGGCAGTTTGAGCCTCCTCTCCCTTCTGTGGGTCGCTCCCAGAGCCATGGCCCATGGGAAGGACAGAGTGTGTGTGTCCTTGGGGCCTGGGGGGATGTTGCTCCTCAGCTCCCTCCCTCAGCCCTGCCCCTCTGAGACAATAAAACTGCCCTCTCTAAGGCCAACTGTCTGCTGTCTCGTTTAGGCCCTGGTACCTCTCCATGACCCCTAACTTCCCTCGTGACCCCACCTTGCTAAGCAACCCTGCCTAAGCCTCCACCTCCCTCCCTCAGTCAGCAGCCGAGATTCTTCAGGGTTGGGGAGTCCCAGGGAGATAGCCCCTTCTTCTGCTGGAGGCTCAGATGCATACAGGCCTGGGGAGCTAGATGTTGGCCCTGGAGGCCCCCCTGGCCTCCCCAGTTGCTTCAAGCAATTGGGATCAGTGTCATTACCCCCATTTCACTATGAGGAAACCCATGGTCTGAAATGATTTGCCCCAGGTCAGTGGAGGAGGGGGAGGTGTGAACCAGAGTCTACCAGGGGAATCCCAGCCTCCACGCTGAGCCCCAGGAGTTGCCACCCTGTCACACGGCCACACTGTGTCACTCAGCCAGCCAGTCAGTGACCCCCTCCAAACAGCACCTGCCGCATTTTAGAAGAAATAAAAATTTGTCTTTATTTAAAATGTGGCAATTGGGAAGTACAGTACATGCTTCCCTGTGGCTTGGGGGTGTGTAGTTGGGGCCCTAATTCTTGAGCCAGTCAAGAGACACTTGGGATTTAGCCCTCAATTGCAGCACTGAGGCACTGGTGCCGAGAAACAATCCTGAGGGGGTCCCCAACCCACCTAGTCACTCCTTAGTTTGCAGAGGCACTATCTGCAGAGTCCTGTGAAAGGCTGCAGTGAAGTCTTGCATGAGACTCCCCATCCAGCGGAGTTCTCCAAGCTGCAGGGTAGAGCGTTGTGCCAGGAGGGTGTTTGGGCTCATGAAACAGTGGAGAGGCGCAGAGGCTCACTGGGAAACCTTGGCCTCACCGGGCCTGGATTGGGCATCGGCAGTGGGCATGAAGTGGGGGTGGGATTCTTTAGGCCAGGGTCCAGGACACTTGGGGGATCGTAATGCTGGGGGTTTTCGGGGAGGAACCAAGGGCTCACGGAGCCTCCTGTGCTGCAGTGGCTGGGCCATAGGTGCACATGGCTCACCGAGCCACTGCTGGGGAAGGGCCGGGGCTCAGGTTTGGGTCCTGGGCTGCGTCCTGTGGTGGGGTAGTGCCAGGCTGGCCAGGCTGCAGTGCTCGAGGCAGACAGTGACTGATGAAGAAGGCCTGCAGGAAGCGGCGCCGCAGGCCTTCAGGCAGGTAGTAGTGGATGAAGTACATGAGCCCCAGGCCCTGGCCGGGGTAATAGCGGCGGCGGGGCCGAGCTGCCAGCAGCGCATCTGTGATGGCATCTACAACTGGGGTGAGGTCGGACATGGCCAGGCGTAGCGAGTGCAGGAACTGCCCATGCAAGTGCTCGATGTAGTCCTTGCCGTAGGCCTGCAGCAGCTCTTGAGGCAGGTTGGCCAGCAGCAATTGCTTGCGCTTTTCCCACTGACCCACGTTTCTCACTGACTCTGGGGAAGGAGTGGCAAGGTCAGAGTGGGATCAGCTAGGGGAGCCAAAGCCAATTAGGACTGTTTAACCCGCGCCAGGTCTGCAGCCAAAACTACACCCCCAACCAAAACCATGACCATTCATCAAACCTGACCTGCCCCCATAAGACCATTCCCAGCCCCATTCCCCACCCCCACCCCACCCCCAGCCCTGATTCCCACCTGTCTTGAAGCAGCCAGGCTGGATGATGCTGACCTTGACCCCCCAGGGAAGGAGTTCACAGCTGAATGTGTCCATGAGTAGCGCCACGGCCGCTTTGGAGGTTCCATAGGCCCCCAAGCACGGATATGGCATGTCCCCTGCGGATGGATTGGGAGTGGGGCAGCTCAGCTTTGGCAAGGGGCTCCCTAAGCCCTCCCCCACCCCAGGGGGCTCCTTTTTGCTCCAGTGGGGGGGGGCACTCACCCGCTGGGCTCCCCACAGTCACGATGCGGCCCCTTGAGCTGCGCAGCAGGGGCAGGAGGCCCTTGGTCAGCTCGAGCGCGCCAAAGAAATTCACCTCCATGCAGCTACGGAAAGTGGCCACTGGAGACAGCTCCGCATCAGCAACTACTTCATTGTGGCCTGCGTTGTTGACGAGGCCCCACAGGCCTGGGGTCACAGAGCAGAGGAGGGAAGCCTTAGGTCAGCCCAGCAGCAAACTTCCAGTCCCCGTGTCCTTCCCACTCCCCTGCCACGCCCTTGCCTGGTGGACACTTGCCACTGACCGGTGCTGGTGGTGTGGGCCTTGGTGAACTCTAGCACGCGGCTAATGTCTCCTGGTTTGGTCAGGTCCATCTGCAGCAGCCTTAGGCGAGGGGAGCAGCAGGTACGCAGCTCGATGGCACCGGGGCTGTTCAACTCCAATACGGTGGCCAGCACCGTGAAGCCCATGGAGTCCAGTTTCTTGGCCGTCTCCTTGCCAAAACCAGAGTCACAGCCTGGCCAGGCCAGGGCAGTCAGTGAACTTCCACTGTGGCCCAGCCTAGCCTGAGACAACCCCAGAATCACCAGGGTCTGGATGGGATCCAGGCCCCTGCAAACCAAGCCACCAGCAGTCAACAACCCTAACTCCTTCCCTAGGCCCATCCCTGGCAGGCTGTGTCCCTCTAGCTGAGCCCTGGGCAGTAACTCTGTGACAGCTGTCATCTGCCTGACTCCCCGTGGCTACCCCACTAATGTGGCTTACAGAAGAGGAAACTAAGGCCTAGTAATGCTAAGTTGCTTCCCAAATTCACACAGGTCAGGTCTGGGACAGTCCCAGGCCCCAGTGTGGTTCTGCTTTCTTGATTTCAGGCCACAGCTCACAGGCACAGGCACAGTATTAGTAGGAGCCTCCCTTTCTCTTTTTTTTTTTTTTTTTTTTGAGACAGGGTCTCGCTCTGTTGCCCAGGCTGGAGTGCAGTGGCATGATCTTGGCTCACTGCAACCTCCCCTCCTGGGCCCAAGCATTCCTTCCTCCTCGGTCTCCTGAGTAGCTGGGACTACAGGCCTGTGTCACCACGCCTGGCTGGTTTTTTCTTTTTTTTTTTTTTTGTTTGAGACGGAGTCTCACTCTGTTGCCCAGGCTGGAGTGCAGTGGCGTGATCTCAGCTCAGTGCAACCTCTGCCTCCCGGGTTCAAGCGATTCTCCTGCCTCAGCCTCCTGAGTAGCTGAGACTACAGGTGCGCATCACCACAGGCCTGGCTAAGTTTTGTATTTTTAGTAGAGACGGGGTTTCACCATGTTGGTCAGGCTGGTCTCTAACTCTTGACCTCGTGATCTGCCTGCCTCGGCCTCCCAAAGTTCTGGGATTACAGGCGTGAGCCACTGCGCCCAGTCTACCTGGCTGGTTTTTAAATTTTTTTGGAGAGATGGGAGTCTCACTATGTTGCCCAAGCTGGTTTTGAACTCCTGGGCTCAAGTGATCCTCCCACCTTGGCCTCTCAAAGTGCTGGGATTGAAGATACAAGCCACCACATCCGGCTTCTCTTCCTTTCTGACTGCCCAGGCCTCTCCTTCCTTAATCTGGACTCTGAAGCAGCCCCTTCTGTAGTCCTGTCCCTTCCTGCCCTCTTGAAGCCCTTCTCTACCTAAGCAGCCAAAGGGATCTTTCCAAAAATGACAATATCCCTCTGTGCTACAAACCTTCCCAGGGCTGCCACAGTACTCAGAATGAAGCCCAAGCTCCCTGGCTCAGGCCCTGTACAACATGAGCCCCACCTCCCTTCCCAGCCTCAACACCCTCTACTATTTTTTCAGGCTGGAGGCAAGCTGGAGGCCCATCCCCACTTCACCCAGACCCTTGGAATTCCAATCAGTGGCAACAGGGGTGTTTTCTGAGCCCCAGACGACTTGCCTCCAGGACAGGGACCATGATAGATGAAGAAGAGAACAGACCTACATTTGAATCCTTTCCCACACCCACCAAGTGTGACCGAGGTCAGTTACCACTCTTGGAGGCTTAATTTCTGTCTTTGGTATGCGAAGAGAAGAACCACCAGGCAGAGCCAGTGTAGGGGTCCATAGTACTGATAAGCCCCTGCCTCCTTGATTGTTCCCATGCTGATCCTGGCTCCATGGGCAGCCAGTGAGGGAAGGGGAAAGGCCAGTGAGCAGGGAGGCTTTCTGTTCTGCTCCTGCTCCCACCCCTGGCCCTCAACCCCGCCCCCCAACCCCCATCTTCTGGAACAGAAGCTGCAAAGCAGCTCTGTTTCCCTACTCCTGGACCGCTCAGTACGGTCTCCCCATCTCAGCTCCACTCCCTCTACTGAAAACAGCACTGGGCAGGGGTCTTCGAGCTCCTGCTGAGGAGGGGTACTTCCCAGGCAAGTCTGCCTTGGAGAGGGAGGCAAGCATATGTGTGTGTGTGTGTGTGTGTGTGTGTGTGTGTGTGTGTGTAGACACACACATGCATATGTGCACTTGTCCGGGTCCCCCTCAGAGCAGACAGGTCCTCCCAAGGGAAACAGACCTCCCAGTTCTGACCTGAGCTGACCACAGGCCTCAGCTCTGTGGTCCCAACAGTCACCCACATCTTGCACACCCTCTTGCTCACGTGCACACCCTCAGATACCTGTACACACTTCCAACCTGGCTGGATGTTCTCACAACGGGCTCAATCCCTACCACCCATTGGCACACACATGTGCACATGTGTGCACACAGGCACCTGATCCTCAGCCCAAACCCTGATCCCACAGCTGAGCTCCAGGAGTAGCCTTGGCAAGTGATTCTCTGGGCATTCTTAGGAGGGAGAGGGGGAGTAGCAGCTCTGCCAGGCCCAAAACACAGTGTTCTTGGCAGGTGGGGCTGAACCTGGTTACCTACTTGTCTTCCAGCCGGGTGTTGAGAGACAACCCCCAAGTGTTCGGGCCCTGGGAAACTTGGAGTCTTACTGATGCTTGTACAGGGCAGGTTGGGTGGTCCTCTCTCCCCCAACCCCAGCTTTGCAACCAGAGATTGGAGGAGCCCAAGTTAGAGAAAGCATCCTTCCTCTCACCTCTCTCTCAGGCTCAAGGCCAGAAGCAACAGCAGCAGCACAAAGGCCTGAGGTGAGACCTCAGGAAAGACTACCCAGCTAGGCCACTAGTACCTGCAGATGGCCTGGGTCCTGTTGAGGTGGCTCACAAATAAAGCAGGAAGGGATCTGCCCTGTCCCCAGAGGCAGAGCCCACAACCTGGCCCCTACTTCATACCCGGGGTGTCTGTTGATTTTCCTTCCTCAAACCTCTGAAACTGGGGTCTGCTGAGGCTTCACACTGCGCCTGGAACCTGGGTCTCTCCTGTCCAGCCCGAATGCTTCCCCATCTCTACCATCTTTGCTGGAGTGCAAGGCCCTTGTGCCTCCTTCCCCCCTACTCTGCCTCAGCAGTCTGGCTTCTTACCTGATTCATGGCCCCTCCCAAGGAAACCACCTCATATCCCCTTCTCCCCACCCCCACACCCAGACTGGCTGTCCCCTACAGAGACCGTGTGTACTCCTGCCTTAAGCCTTTGTCCCACATCCTTTCTCTGATCCGAGATCCCTTTCATACTCCACTTATCTCCACTCATGCTCCAAGGCCCCACTCAAGGATTTCCTCCTCCGGAAAATTCTCCCAGCCCCATCTGATCACACAGGGCCCCTACTAGACCGAGGTCTCTGAGAAGCCAGGTTGCTGGCTGCCCCAGCAAAGGCCCAGCGCAAGGACAAAGCCTGGAGCACCTGTCCAAAGCCGTGGGTATTGGCGAGAGACCAGGCTGCTCCTCCCACGATGCAATGGAGTCAGTGCCCCCTGGCCTTTCTCCCCCTCCCCACTTCCGGCGGGCCTCCAGCCCCCCCCCCCCTTCCCCTTCCCTCCCTCTGGTGACAGATTTATTCCCTGCTCCAGACAAAGGAGCTCAGCTAGGCGGCCAGAGGCACCTGAGCCCAGCTCTCTAAGAGCTCCTTCCTGGGCACAGAGGACCAGGAGGGCTTGGGGGTGGGGTGCTGGGTGTAGGCTCCAAACTACTGCCTCAGCAGTTTGGCAGTGGGTGGCTAGACAGAAAGACAGCTGAATGTCCAGCTGCCCCTCACGGTGACCTCTAGCTTTTCTGAACTCCAAGGATCCCAGCCAGTGGGGGATGGGTGGGGTGGGGAAGTTCCCCATCTAAGCTCTTCCCTCTGGCCCGAGGAATGGGAGATGGGTATCTTAGGTGGGGATGTCAGGCAGAGTTCAAGGGGTAACGATCCTCCCTTCTCAAGGCCTCCGAAGTCCCCTGAGACTGCTCTCTTGGGGAAGGGAATGGCATAAACTCTCAAACTCCAGGAGGTTCCCTCTTCTCAGCCACCAGTCAGTTTCCTTCTCGAACCGGCCCACTCCCTGTCTCACTTTCCCTCCAACACTCCCCGCAGCGGCAGGTAGTGAACCCGGGCTTGGGGAGGTGCCCGGCGCTCCCTATTTGGCTCGCTCCCTGCACCCAGGGGTGGAGAACTCTCCCACTCTTGCGCTGAGGAGCCCGCCTTGGCTGTGCCCATGGGGAGTCAGTCCTGTTGAGTGTCCAGTCCCGCCCTCGAGCCTGGAGTCCCCGCGCTCCGCGACCCGCGCACTCACCGGTGATGAGCACCGCGCGAGTGGCCACCGGCAGGCGCTGCGGGCGCGCCAGGCGGGACAACGCGATCCAGCCGGCGGCGGCCAGCACGGCGAGTGCGGCCGGCGGGGGCAGCAGGCGCTGGCACAGCCAGTCGAGCGCGGCCAGCAGCGCCAGCGCCGCCAGCAGCGGGCGGCCCAGACGCAGGTCTGAGCGCAGCAGCTGCAGCAGCGCGCGGGCAGCCACGAGCAGCCAGGCGCCGCCCGACGGCCAAGGCCAGCGCTCCATGGCGGCCCAGCGGGCTGGGGCGGGGCGGGGCGGGGGCCGGGCCGGGGAGCGGGGAGAGAGAGCTTCTAGGCCGGGGCGCGGAGTGCGGGGGTACACCGGCCTGGGGCGCGAGAGGGACACTCGCTTTCTCTGCTCGCCCTCGGGCCGAGCTTATGAAGAGCCCCGGGGGCGGGGGAGAGGGCGGGGAGCGGGAGGGGCGGGGGCGGGGCTTTCCTTCACTTCTCTCCCGGCACCCCCCGCAGGGCAGGTGCTCCCCCCCCGCCCCGCCCCCTCGACCAGATTCGATTTGGAAAAAGCCGGAACAAAGTCCCAAAGTTGCTGCGCTCGAGGAGCCGCCTGGCTGCGGGCGGTGCTTGGGAGAGGGCCCGTCGGTCCAGCCCGGGTGCCCGGCCTCAGCTCTCCGCCGCGCCCCCACCCACACGCCCGGGGCCGCCAAGCCGCCGCGCTCAGGTGAGCACATGCCACTCACGCTTGTTCGGGACACCTGAGGACACGCACAACCGGCATCCCGGTGCCCTTTGCTGATCGCACCACCGCGGCCGCCAAGCCTGCAGGAACACCGCGAGGAACCAGCCGGTGCTCACCCGGTCTCCGCTGCCGCTGCCGCTGCCGCCCGCGCCCGTACACGCGCCGCACTCCCACGTGGTCGGCTGCGCCAGGTCCCTGGCGCACACACCCTAAGGCGCGCTCACCCCTGAGCAGCTCGCGGCCACAAAACCTGCCTGGGACAGGGGCTGGCGGGGGAACAGGACGACCGCTCCCGGTTCTTGGAGTCTCTGCCCCGTCTTTCCCTTTCCTTCCAGGGCTTAAACCTGGGGACGCACAACCCCACTTCCTGCCTCACAAATGTATGTGTGTGGGGGTCAGTGGAGGGTGGGGTGTCAGAGGAAGCACCTAGGTCTCCCATTACTTATGGCCCACCCCCGCCAACCCCAAGAGCCAGGCCAGAGGGACGTCGGTGAAGGCAGCCTCTAGGACAGGGTGGTCCCTGCCTTGCTCCCCTGAACCCCCAGGGGGTAAAATAAGTGGTATGAGTGTGGGTGGATTTTTCTGCCTGCGTGTGTGAAGGTCTCCATGCTTGTGTGTGGCCCAGTGGCCCCCCACCCTGCCCACCCCCGTGTCTGGCACCCTGTGCCTAGCATCCATGCCAGGGCTCTGCCAGGCACTGGGAGTTGGTGCCAGTACCTGGCTGCAGGCTTGATGCTGAGAGCAGTAGGTGTAGCCCTCGACAGAGGGGTCCCTGCTTCCCGTGGGCTTCCAGGCCGTGCTCAGTGCCTCATCCCTGCCCTCCCAAGATCCTGGGAGGTTGTGGACTCCCTGTCACACTTCCTAGCCCTGTTGCTCATTCTCTCTTAGGTGCCCAGGCTCTGCCAGGGTTTCAGGGCAATGCCTCCTCCAAAGCCCTCTCTGCCACCAGACACAGCCCCCTGGTGAGCCAGGGAAATCTCAGGGGAGGCTGGGAGCCAGACCCACCTAAAGGGAGAGTCTCTGGGTGGAGGACCAATTTGCCCTGAGCCACTCCTGTGCCTCCACCTATCCCTCCTCCTAAGGACAGATGACAGGCAAGCCCCAGACCTGGGAGGCAGGACTTGAATGAGGAGGGTGTGTGTGCCTGACCTTGGGTACATGACCTTGTGTGCCTGTGTTTGTAAGCACTTGTGTCCATGGGACTCTGTGGCTTGTCCAGGCCATTTGGTTGTGTCACTCCCTATGCCATGACCCTGTGTGTGCAAGTGAGTACATTTGTGTGCATTGTGTGTGTTTCTGGTAACTCTCTGTCCTTCGGTCTGGGTCATCCTGCCTCTAGAAACTCAGGGAAACATTCCTTTTCCAAAGTCACTGATTCCTGTTGCGGTGAATGTATGGCCCAGGCTTGGAGGCAGACACAGCACCCCTGGCCTGACTTCCTGATTTGAGCTGTAGAGATTGGATTGGCCAGACCCCCCAGCTTTAGCCACCACACCAAGAGTCTGGCTGTGGTTTCTCCAGCCTCAGTCCATTGGAGTCTTCCCCTTGGAGTGAGGAAGGGAGTAGAAGCTGAGATGAGGGTCCTGGGGAGCCTTCAAGGTCAAGGCAACACAGATAGAACCAGCACTTGCTAAAGCAGGAGTTGAAGAGTAGGGGGATGGGGCAGGAAGGCAAGATAAGGAAAGAGGCAGAAGCAGGGTCCTACACTGTCCTGGGAAGGAACCGTGAAGGCCACCATGGGGACAGACTTGCCAGGAGGCGATGTTGGGATTTGCGTTTGGCTGAAGAGTATAACATGGTTAGGATGAGGAAGGGGGTGTTTCCAGCTCAGCTTCTGGAACCTCGTGCCACCTCAGGCAGAGCCATTAGTCTTATGGGATTTGGGTCTTGGTGGGACTGGACCATCTGCCACATTTTTATATAAACTCCCCCTGCCCATTCATCCCACTTCCTAGTCCAAGCCTCCTCCTTCCCAGGACCTATGCTCCAGCTCCTGTGGCCTCCTCAACCACTGACCCCTTATCCCTTATTAGGTGGAGACGTTCTAGAAGTACAAGGTGGTTAGGGCAGTCATTGCTGGCAGAAGCTGGCCCAGCCCTGTCTGAGGCCTGTTGCCAAGTCGTGCCTGCCTAGGGGCAGAAAACCAGCCTCTGCTAGAAGCAGGAGTCTAGGCTGTCAGGGGCCTCCAGGGAAGAGAAGCGGAGAGGGGCAGTGGGCAGGAGCCTCAACAGATAAAGCAGGGCCTGGCAGGGCAGAGGAATGAAGGGTGACCAGGAGCAGAGCACCTGAGCCACTCGGCCCCTAAGCCCTCAGCCCACAGCCTCCCTTAGTCCTTTGTCCCAGCCTCCAACCCGCCTTGGTCAGAAACCTGGTTAACCAAACCCTTAGCACGCCCCAGGCTCTGGAGGACAAAGGGGTGGGCAGGCGGGCTCTGGTCTCCTCCAGCGGAGTCCAGCAGCTCACTGGTACCCTCTGCTGGCCGTGTAGGGAGAGCACGGCTCTGAAGGAGCTAAAGACCAGGTAACCCACCGGCTGCTGGGTTGAGGAGAGGGGAACAGATGTCTACAGTAGGGGGTACCAAGTGGCAGACTCCAGGAGCCCTCTCGCTCTGTCCTCTGACTGTACTTGGGTTCCTGGAGCAGAGCACTCAGCACTGACTTGTCACCTCCTCTTCCCTCTGCAGCTAAGAGGCTGCAGATTCCCAAGGAGCCCCTGCCCTGCACTCTGCTTCACGCCTTCACCCCCACCATGCCTCCTCTTGGCAGAATGGCAGAGGGTCCCTCTTCCTGCCAGTGGCCAGGGTCCTAGACCCCATTGCTCCCTGTCCTCAAAGACAACAAACTTGTATTGAGTTCCTACTGCATGCCAGGCCCTGTGCTGGGCACCACAGATATAGCAACTGACTACTGGCCCCAGCAGCAAGTGTACTGGCGCTAGCCTCACCCATTGGGAACCTCAAGCCCGTATCCCTTTCCACAAGCATCTCTCTTGTGGCTGGGCGTGGTGGCTCACGCCTGTAATCCCAGCACTTTGGAAGGCCAAGGCAGGCGGATCACCTAAGGTCAGGAGTTCGAGACCAGCCTGGCCAACATGGCGAAACCCTGCCTCTACTAAAAATCCAAAAATTAGCCAGGTATGGTGATGCATGCCTGTAGTCCCAGCTACTCATGAGACTGAGGCAGGAGAATCTCTTGAATGTGGGAGGCGGAGATTGCAGTGAGCCGAGATTGTACTACTCACCGCACCCCAGCCTGCGTGACAGAGCAAGACTCTGTTTCAAAAAAAAAAAAA
Source organism: Homo sapiens (assembly GCF_000001405.40). NCBI lineage: Eukaryota > Metazoa > Chordata > Mammalia > Primates > Hominidae > Homo > Homo sapiens. The sequence goes on along the minus strand of NC_000016.10, from coordinate 67,427,489 downwards.
AAAAAAAAAAAAAAGCATCTCTCTTGTGTTTTCTCCTACTGTTTTCAGCTGCATTTCTCTAAAGTTGTCCATAATCACCATCACCACTCTCCCCTCCCAGCCTTTGCCTGGGACCAGCTCCCAATCGTAACCCCCTAGTCCCCAAATCCCATAGACTCATCTCTGGCTTCAGCTAATTTGGCCTCTTCAAAGCCTCGGCCCTGCTGACCTCTCTTTCCTGCCCCAAGCCCTGTCTCCCTTGGGTGCCTGCGAAGCCACGGCTGCCGGGTTTCCTCCGACCTCACTGCCTCTCCTTCTCAGCCTCCTTCTCCAGCTTCTCTTCCTTGTGGGTGAAGCTCTGGCTGTAGAGGCCTCACCCTCGGCCCTCCCCACACCATGAGCTCATCTTTCTACTCACATGCTGGCGACCTCCCTGCTTGCTTTCTGGCCAAGCTCTCCCTTTTGACCACAGGCCCACATGTCCAGCTGCCCCTGGACACTTCCCTTGGACACACATAGGCCCCTCAGCCTCAGCATGTCTAAAGCTGGTCCTGGCAGCCATCGTGCCCCACCACATCCTCAATCTTCATGCCATGCACTGGCCTCCAAATCTCTTGCTGTGTCCCAAGCCCTGGGTTGGGTGCAGATACCTCATCATAGCCTTTGTAGTAGTTGTCATTATCACCATTTTACATTCAAGGGAACTGAGGCTTCCAGAGGTGAAGGGAATTGCTCAAGCTCTCAAGTTCCACTTGCGTTGGAGTCTTGGACCAGCCCCAAGATTCAAACTCAGGTGTACCTGAACCCAAAGTCTGGGCTCTTGAGAACTGTGTTAATACGGGGCTGTGTTGGTCACCTGTGGCATCTTAGACTTCATCCTGAGGGCAAAGGAGAGCTTGGAATGGTTTTGAGCAAATGAGACCCCCATCCCAGGTGGACAGGAAATGGATCTGGGGAAGAGTGGAGGCTGACTAAATTATTATTATCACTCTTAAATTTTATTATGATTATTACTTTATTATTATTATTATTACTTTTAGTTAGAGATGGAGTCTTGCTCTGTCACCCAGGCTGGAGTACAGTGGCACAATCACGGCTCACTGCAGCCTTGAACTCCTGGGCTCAGGCGATCCTGCCATCTCAGGCCTCCGTAGTAGCTGGGACTACAGGCACTCACCACCACACCTGGCTATTGTTTTTTAAATTTTTTGTAGAGACAGGGGTCTCACTATGTTGCCCAGGCTGGTCTTGAACTGCTGGCTTCAAGTGATTCTTGAGGCTGGGAGTCTTGTTCCTGCATCCAGATGAGGGACGGAGCAGAGGTCTGTTCAAACAAACTGAGCTTGAGGCACCCCTGAACATGCAAAGGCTGAGCCCCAAGGCAGGTGGAAGCCTGTGGGCTCCAGCATGTTGCTCCTGTAGCGTGGGAGCCCTGGAGGTTGCCGACTCCCCTCTGATTACCCTAGGCATGAACTGAACTCGCCCCTGCCTCCACCATTTTTCAGAGCTATCCCATCTGGGCTGGGCACCTGGAAACCAGGCCCTTCAGTTACGGAACTGAAGGAAACCTCCCCTCCAGTTACCAGAGAGGGAGGCAGTAAGACACAGAAAGCCAGGAGCATCACTTGTGTTTTCAGCCTGTGTCTGGCACCCTCCTCCGAACTTTTACTGTCTCCAGGATTAAAGGCAGATGTTTGGGGATTAGGGTCCTTGAGTTTGGGAAACAGAGAGAGTATGTTCTGCAGGGCTTTCTGGACCAGTCCCAGGCGGAAAGCAAGCCTCAGCTGAGAGCATTTGGAGGGAGAGCTTGACTGACTCTGGATGAAATCCTTCTAGGATCCGTCTTGTATCCTCCAGTGTGGTTGTGTGTTTGTGGCATGCCAGTCCTTGTGCTTAGCTTGCTTGGTCTTTATTTTATTTACTATCCTCACGTCATCACTATGAAGTAGGTACTATCATTATCCTTATCCTATACATAAGGATAAGGCTACCGACCTTTTGCTATTTGCTGCTCGATTAAAAACAAGTCTCCCAACGACGGAATTGAGGCAACTTGATTGTTAAAACTCATTCCAAACTTGTCTCCTTACAGCTTCCATCACCCTGATTCAGGCCTTTTCTTGGCACAACAACTGCAAAAGATACAAAAATTAGTTGCTGTTGGCTGGCTGTTTTAATTTATTTGCATATACATAATTCAGCCCCACCCCTGGTGGCTAATACGCCCCCTGGGGAAGCTGTGGCTGTCTTCTGATTGCTGGTGGGGAGGACTGTGTGTGTTGTTTTTTTAAATAAACTGAAACCAGATGGAGGGGGGTTTTGTTCACAGCCTTGCGTACAATTTTCTCCAGCGAATTCCTTGAAAAGTCAACCACCTATGAGTGGTGCCTCTGCTCCGTGGAGGTCCCTCACCGCTGGTATGCAAATATCGAGCAGGGTTGATATTTCTCAAGAAGAAAAAGAGCTTCTTGGCCTGAGGGCTTTCCAGAATGCGGGGTCATCTCCTGGTTGCCCCCAGTTTTAGGTCTGTACTTACAGTTAATGTCCTCGCTCTCCTTCCGCCTTGTGTTGGGAGTGGGCTGGGGCGGGGGAGTCTTGGGCCAGGCTTGAGTCAAATCACCTAGACCAACCACTTGGTATAAAAATGTGAATTCCAGACCCCCACCTATACCCCATTTGCAGCACTGACCTCCGGCACGAGACCCCAACTGTCCAGCTGGGTTGATTTTTGCAGTCAGCGGAGGGGTTATTCTCCTAAAGGGGCCCAAGCCACTCCTGCTTCCATCCTGGGAAGGCCAGAAGCTGGAGGTGGTTATCGAAATATTTTTAACCGCCAGCCAGGTCCAAGGCTTTGTAATGCCCCGGGAGCCCTCATTAAGCGATTCCTTGTTCAGAGAAATGAGGCGAGTGTACCCACTGGTCACCCTGCCAGAGGTTTAGTATTTTTTCTTTGGAACGTGAATTGGGCATTGTCGTAGTGAAGTGTGACCCAGTCCCCAGGCAAGGGAGAGCACTTCTTTCCCAGCTCTGACCTTCATTCCTAGCTCAGAACACCTTTCTTTTGGATTCCAAGCTTTTTCAGATAATTGTGTCAGGTTACATAAGGCTCTGAGATATGAACACTCAAAGGAAATTCCGGTGAGAGCAGGTCTGAGAGGTTCCTGCACATAATTTGCTTTAAAGTATTCGAGGAAAACTTCAGGTGTCTGAGGCCAGCACATTTTTGAAATAAAATAAGAGCAGCCAACAACTTTGCATGGATGTGCCATTCCCCATAGAAATGAGCGAGCAAAAAGACAGATTTCACACTGAAAGGAAATACCCCTCCCCAGGGAGCCTGTGCAGGGGCGGGAGGGGGCTGGTGGGGGAGAGGCGGGAGTCAGTTGCAAGAGAACAGCTTGGACCAGGCTGCCATTGAAATGGAAATCTTCACCAACCAGGATCACTTTTTTCCCCCTTTCTGCATCTTAGGTGACACGTGGTAAACACAAGACTTCAGTTTTCCAAGAAACATAAAATAAAAACTGAATTACTGGCAGAGAAGCTTTAAAATCTTTGGTTCCTGGGACTCTGCGGGCACATTTTCCACACACCATGATTTTTATTTCATTTGCCTCTGAGGGGCGGCCCTCCAGCAGTTCTGTTGCATAAGGTACTGTTTCCAAACACCTTGTCCCCAACTGGTGACACAGAGTAAGTTTTATCTAGGTCTGAGAAGAGTTCTGGAAGAGTGACATCGTGTTCCAAGTCGCACCAGTTACAATCAACAGTAGGAAGGTTGCCAAAGATCTCACCAAGAAAGCTGAGAGAATATTTTAAATACTAAATGGCACTTCTTGCTTAAAGCATGAAGTGGTCGTAAAAACCACTTAACAGGGAAGAAAATTAATGGGAGGAAAGTGCCTTGAATGCAGCAAATTTTACAAAAAGCTTAACAAGGAACATGGAAAAAATAGATTTACTATGTTGAAGAGGTGGGATAATATAGGAAAGTCCATTTTTACACAAAAATAATTTGGTTATTTACACAAGGCTTCACAGAAGAATTCCTATAAGTAGCGCTATCCTTTTTTATTCTTCACGTGTTTGACACACATTTCTTTCTTTATGATTATTATTTTTAGAGACAGAGTCTTGCTTTGTTGCCCAGGCTACAGTGGTGCAGTCACTCATAGGTCACTGCAGCCTCGAACTCCTGGGCTCCAGGGATCCTCCCCTTCTCAGCCTCCTGAGTAGCTTGGACTACAGGCATGCGTCATCATGCACCGCTAATTTTTAAATTTTTTGTAAACACAGGGTCTTGCTATGTTGCCCAGGCTGGTCTTGAACTCCTGGGCTCAAACAATCCTCCCACCTTGGCCTCCGAAAGTGCTGGGATTACAGCGGCCTCAACACACATTTCTTGAGTGCTTAGTATGTTCTGGGCTTAGTAAGTGCTGGGATTACAGCAGCCTCAACACACATTTCTTGAGTGCTTAGTATGTTCTGGGCTCTGTGCTAGGGAAGCAATAGTAAACAATACAAACATTATTCCTCCCCTGTGGGAGGAATAATAATTCCCTCCTCTTCTGTCTGACTGGAGGGACAGGCCCTTATCAGATCATTACACAATCAAGGAGACCCAGAGAGAAGGAACGAGAAAGCAGAGTCCCACGGTGCTATGGGAATGATGGTCTCTATTCTGGGGACCACAGAGGGCTTTCCCAGAGGAAGTAAGTTTCCAGGTAGTGTGAGCTTCAAATGCAAAGGCCGTGGGATAGACAGAGCTGTGGTCAGCCTGAGCCAGGGGGCACGCAAGGTCTTGGAGACTGCGGTGGCCACAGTGAGGAGGAGGTTTCTATTCCAATTTCATGGTATATGGAAATACCTCTCCCTAAGGAGTGGGGAGTGTTGTTGAGGGTTGTAAGCAGGAAGTAAAAGAATCAGCTTGGCGTGGATTTTTTAAATTTTGTTTTTGTTCTAAGACAGCCACAGGCTGTAAGGAGAATGGACTGATAGGGGTGGGGACGGGGACAGGGAGGGCCCCCGTGGAAATCAAGAGCCAGTCAGAAAGCCAGGGCAAGAGATGCTGGTGGCCATGAAGACACGCCAAGTGGATGGGCTGAGTCATCCAGGGCCCATTGGAGAGGGTACTGTGACCCAGACGAAGTGGGCCCAGAGAGCGAGAGCTGTGGCTGATCATCTCCCACCCAGTCTAATTTAATAATTAAATTTACTTCCATTCGTTGATGATGCGGACAGCATCATTTCCTGGTAGAAAGACAAGGACGGTCTGGATGGGAGGCACCAGTGATTACTACCCATCGAGCACTCTTTGGGTGCTCTATATGCATGGCCACATTTTCAGGCCTCATCACAGCCCTAGGCAGTAGCTATTGTTACCCCCATTTCAAATACAAGCAAATTGAGATTATTAAAGTTGAAGAATTTATGGCTGGGTGCAGTGGCTCACGTCTGTAATCCCCAGCACTTTTGGAGGCTGAGGCGGGCGGGTCGCTTGAGGCCAGGAGTTGGAGACCAGCTTGGCCAACATGGTGAAACCCTGTCTCTACTAGGAAAAAAAAAAAAAAAAAAAGCAAAACAAAAACAAACAAGCAAACAAACAAAAACAAAAATTAGCCAGGCATGGTGGTGGGCACCTGTAATCTCAGCTACTCAGGAGGCTGAGGCAGGAGAATTGCTTGAACCTGGGAGGTGGAGGTTGCAGTGAGCCGAGATTGTGCAACTGCACTCCAGCCTGGGTGACAAAGCAAGATGCCGCCTCAAAAAAAAAAATTACCCAAGGTCACCATCTTATAACTGGCACCATGAAGATTGAACCACTAACCTGCCCTGGGACAGGTGAAGAGTGCCCGGAACCCTGGGATCACACTGGCTCTAATTATGGACGTATCTGTTGGTTCAGGCCCAGGGTGGGCTGATCCAGCTTTGTCCCTGTGGAGTCACCTCTGGCAGCTCCCAGGAGCCCTGTAAGTCAGCTCACATGTGTGTGTGCACACCTGGAAAACCACAATTGGCCTTTTTCTCCCTGTGGCCCTTGGCTGTTCTATCCTGGGCAGACCTCCCTTGCGAATCACTGGCTGCAGCTCTGGCTAGGAACAAGTCCTGCCCAAGGGGCTGACTTCTATAAAATGGTCTCAAGTTTTCATAGAAATTGGCCAGGTTGGGGAGGGGGTGTTGTCGGGAGGAGCTGGAACAGCACAAGTTAAAGAGAACCCTGTGGGAAGAAGCCTGAGGGTGAAAACAGATGTTGCCAGTTCCAGGAGCTGCAGAATCGTCACAGAGGACAGGAAGAAGCTCCACATACCAGAAGCCTGCCCAGCAGGGCATTGGAAGCCACACTTTGTCATTTCAGTTGATCCTAAAGGCAAAAGGGAGCCCTGGAATCTCTTAAGCAAGGCTGATGAGGTGGTGTTTTCACATTTAGAAAGATTTCTCTGGCACCTGCCAGGCAACGTGTGACTTTCCTCAGTCGGTGATGCCCTGTGCAGTGTCAGCTTCTGGATTGGGGACCACACAAGGATGACAGACTCAGAAAGAGCATGATCAACTTGAGGTCAGGAGTTCGAGACCAGCCTGGTCAACCTGGTGAAACCCCAACTCTACTAAAAATACAAAAATTAGCTGGGTGTGGTGGTACAGGCCTGTAATCCCAGCTACTCAGGAGGCCGAGGCAGGAGAATTGCTTGAACCTGGGAAGTGGAGGTTGCAGTGAGCCAAGATTGCGCCACTGCACTCCAGCCTGGGTGACTCCGTCTCAAAAAAAAAAAAAAAGCATGATCAAACTGCCTGTGCTTTTCAAAAGCAGATTTGGGGTGAGAGAATCATCTTCTCACAGAACCTGGCTTGGAGTCATGCAAAAAGATGTCAAGGGAGGCCAGGCGCCATGGCTCATGCCTGTAATCCCAGCATTTTGGGAGGCTGAGGTGGGTGGATGGCTTGAGCTCAGGAGTTTGAGATCAGCCTGGGCAACATAGCAAGACCCTGTCTGTATCAAAAGTACAAAAAAAAAAAAAAAACAAAAAAAACCCCGAGCAAGGTGTGATGGTGTATGCCTGTAGTCCGAGCTACTCAGGAGGCTGAGGTGGGAGGATCGTTTGAGCCCAGGAGACGGAGGCTGCAGTGAGCCAAGATCACGGCACTCTGCTCTAGGCTGTGTGACAGAGAGAGAACTCATCCCCTGCCCCCCCAACCACCCCCCTCCCGCCCGCTTAAAAAATAAAAGATGTCAAAGGAATCTGAGCTGTCTCTTGGATTTTTGTTTCAATTGAAAACAGCTTTCACTGGGCATATATATGTGCACTTAACCCTGTTTGCAAACCACTGTATCCATTTCCTATTGCTGCTGAAACAAATCACTGCCAATTGTGTCATCTTGACAGTTCTTGAGGTCAGAAGTTGGAAATGGGTCCCCCTGGGCTAGAGTCGAGGTAACAGCAGGCTGATTCCTTCTGGAGCCTCTAGAGGAGGGTCTGCCCCCTAGCCTTTTCCAGCATCTAGAGGCTGCCTGCATTCCTTGGCTCAGGCCCCTTCCTCCATCTTCAAAGCCCACAGTGTAGCACCTTCAAATCTCTCTGACCTCTGTCGTTACGTGGTCCTTCTCCCATGTGACCCTCCTGCCTCCCTCTTATAAGGACCTTTGTGACTACATTGAGCTCACTCAGATAACCTGGGATAATCTCTTCCATCTTGAGATCTTAACTTCATCTCATCTGCAAAATCCCCTTTGATGTATCACATAACACATTCAAAGATTCCAGGGATTAGGGCGATGACATCATTGTGGCGCTATCATTCAGACTACTACCTCCTCTAACAAAGAGAAGGAAGGATAGTCTGGCAACTGAGAGGAGGATGGGCCGGAAGTGGGCAGGCTGATGTTAGGGAGAACTGGAGGCTGCTGCAGGCTCAGCAAGGAAGATGCTGGTGGTCTGGGCTGGGGTGGAGCAGGAAGAATGGACACAGAATGTGTTTCAGAGTGAGGGCAGCCTGGTCACAGGCACTATCTGGTTTAGGTGGGCAAGGACTAGCAGGAGAGACATGGGAAGATGCCTAAGTGTACAGATGGGCTTACTGGGTAGATGGTGGTGCCCTTCAGAGGGCCCAAGGGGAGGAGCAGATTTGTGGCAAGGACAAAGAGGACATGTGGGGATGTGTTACATCCCAGACACCAATGGGACATCCAGGAGAGAAGCCCCTGAGTCAAGTGGATCCAGGGTCTTTTGGGTCCCTCCCCTTATTATGGGAATATATGGATTCATCTTTCACTTTGTTTTTTAATTTTTATTTGTATTTGCATTTATTTATTTATTTAAAGACAGAGTCTTGTTCTGTCGCCTGTAAGGAGTGCAATGGCACAATCTCGGCTCACTGCAACCTCTGCCTCCTGGGTTCAAGCGATCCTCCCATCTCAGCCTCCCGAGTAGCTGGGATTACAGGCGCAGACCACCATGCCCGGCCAATTTTTGTATTTTTGGTAGAGACAGGGTTTCGTCATGTTGCCCAGGCTGGTCTCAAACTCCTGACCTCTAGTGATCTGCCTGCCTCGGCCTCCCAAAGTGCTCAGATTACAGGTGTGAGCCACCATGCCCAGTCCCACCTTGTTTTTTAAAATATTTATTTATTTATTATTATTTTTTAAAGAGATAAAATCTGACCGGGCACAGTGGCTCATGCCTGCAATCCCATGGTGGCAGGCAACTGTAATCCCAGCTACTCGGGAGGTTGAGGCAGGGGAATCGCCTGAACCCGGGAGGTGGAAGCTGCAGTCAACTGAGATCGCACCACTGCACTCCAGCCTGGGAGACAGAGCGAGACTCCGTCTCAAAAAAAAAAAAAAAAGAGAGAGAGAGAGAGATAAGATTTTTTTTGTGTGTGACAGAGTCTCACTCTGTCACTCAGGCTGGAGTAGAGTGGTGCGATCTCGGGTCACTGCAACCTCTGCCTCCTGGGTTCAAGCCATTCTCTTGCCTCAGCCTCCCGAGTAGCTGGGACTACAGGCACATGCCATCACGCCTGGCTTACTTTGTACTTTTAGTGGAGATGGGGTTTCACCGTGTTAGCCAGGATGGTCTCGATCTCCTGACCTCATGATCCACCTGCCTTGGCCTCCCAAAGTGTTGGGATTACAGGTGTGAGCCACTGAGACCAGCTGAGAGATAAGATCTTACTTTCACCCAGGCTGGAGTGCAGTGGCATGATCGTAATTCACTGCAATCTTGAACTCCCGAACTCAAGTGATTCTTTTCTCCTGCCCCAGCCTCGTGAGTAGCTGGGACTATAGGCACAGGCCACCAGGCCCAGCTATTTTTTTTCATCTTTTGTAGAGATGGGAGTCTCTCTATGTATCCCAGGCTGGTCTCAAACTCCTGGCTTCAAGTGATTTTCCTGCCTCAGCCTCCTTAAAGTGCTGGGATTACAGGTGTGAGCCACTGCATCCAGCCTCATCCTTCACCTTGATTTCTGGGTCATGATCTCTGTTTGACCCGAAGTTTTCCAATTCCAGATAAGAGTTAAGTAGTCAGCTTGTACTCTGAAGCCAGAATAGCATTGATATTTATCTCACATTGAGTTTGAGTTTATCAGTCTTGAAAACAAGAATTTAAGTAATAGGTTATGTCACTTGCACAAGGACCCACACACCTGTCATGTGACAGAGAAGGAGTAGTTATGTTGCCTAATAAAACATACAATAAGTATGCTTGTGACTTATACATTTTAGAGATAAGGATGTTTTCTTTCCCTATCTGTCATATCTGCCTTGGAGATGCGCACAGGACAGATAGCAGAAGACAAAGTGTCTTCCTGTCTTTTGAGAAAGCCTGAGCTCATAGAAGATTCCATTCTGAGTGTCCACAAGGAGAAGAGGAGAGGGGACTTTTAGGGAAACCAAGTTAGCAGGGAAGTCTCCCAGGTAGAGAAAGGGAAGGGAGGCTGCAGGCCATGGAGCAGAGGAAGCAGGTGTCTGTCCCTGGCAGCCCCAGGGAGAGGCAGGGGCCTCAGGCAGGGATGGCCTCATAGAGCCCAAACCTGAAAATCTTTGTGGACTGGAGCAATGGTTGTGGCCTCAGTACCAGACAAAACCCTGACCAGAGAGTTTTTTGCTTATTTGTTTTTGATTGTTGTTTTTTGCTATAGGAAAACATGAGTCCTTTGGAATTACCTAGCTAAAAGGAGTACAGTGGAGACTGAGACTGAATTTCCCGGCCGGGCAGGGGCTCACGCCTGTAATCCTAGCACTTTTGGAGGCTGAGGTGGGCGGGTCGCTTGAGTTCAGGAGTTCGAAACCAGCCTGGGCAACATGGCAAAACCACGCCTCTACAAAAAAATGCGAAAATTAGTCGGGCGTGGTGGTGTTCGCCTGTAGTCCTAGCTACTCTGGAGGCTGAGGCGGGAGGATCGCCTGAGCCCAGGAGTTCGAGGCTGCAGAGAGCCGTGATCGTGCCACTGCACTCCAGCCTGGGTAACAGAGACCAGTTTAAAAAATAGAAAAAGACTGAATTTCCCATCAGCCTGGAAGATTGGGGCTTGATTTTTGCTTGATTTAAAGGCAATAAATAAATGAGATATTTTGTGCTGCTTATTTTAAGCTCTTACGCTTCTCGCTTTATATTCTGGGGTACCTGCATTTTTAGTGGTGTAATTTATTTGTCTAGATCTGTTTGCCTCTTAACCTGTAAGCTCCCGGAAGGGTCGGGATATCATGGATGTTCCAGCACATACGCTCATTGAAGTGTGCAGGTTGACTGGGGTTGGGGGAGGTCTCTTCTTGAGAGCGGTGGTCTCAGGATAGAAACTGGAAGGGGGCGCTTTTGAGATGTTAGGATTTCGGGGAGACAAGCTGTGACTCGGGAGTAGGGAAAAGCGGATTTTCTAGACGAAAGGTTAGGAAGAATCTGGGAATGGGCCGACTGGGGCACCAAGAGGGTCCCTGGCAAGCCCCGCCCTGGCCGGGGGACCGGCGCGGAGTGACGCAGCGCGGTTTGGCCGCTGTGGGGCGCCGTAGCCCGCGCCGTTGTCAGGGGAACGGGCCCAGCGCCGGACGAGGCCCAGCCAGTCTGGGTCTGGCCTGGCCGCCCCTCCAGCCTGCTGGAGCCGGAGCCGGAGCCGGAGCCGGAGCCGGAGCCGGAGCCAGAGCCAGAGCTCGAGGACTCACCGGCCCAGTCTCCGTCCGGGATGGGGCCCCGCTCCCGGGCGCGTTGCCGCCCAGTCCCGGGGACCGTCCCTACCGCGAGGGTCTGAGGCGCGGCTGCCCCGGGGAGGGTGGAAGGCCAGGCGTGGGGCCCGAACCTCTGGCTGACTTTGGCAGGGCCCATCTGGCACGGCCTCCGCGGCGCGCAGGTGAGGAGTCCCCGCCCGGTTTCTCACCTCGGAGCCTGGCTTGAGCCACGGGGTAGCGGATGCTGCCGCCTGGCCGGCTTTGGGCTCGCTTCCGCCTGGAGCCGGTGGCCTGAGTTCCAGGGCCCCGGCAGAGCGCGGGGCTTCCTTTTAGCATGCATCAAGTTCACAGATCTTCCTTGAGCGCTTACTCTTTGCCAGGCTCTGTGCCAGGCGTGGGCACAGAGGACTCCCAACAGACGTGGTCTGTCTCCAGAACCCAGAGCATTAAGGAAGGGGGCTGGGAAGCGGATGTCATACATGACTAAAGTGATTTCAGGTCGGGTTAGGCTCTCTGGTATTGAAATGGAGGGGTTGGTCATGGAGGGTCTGTTTTAAAAGGAAACCATGGGAAGAGTTTTAGTTTTTTCTTTGAGACGGAGTTTCGCTCTTGTCACCCAGGCTGGATGGAGCGCAGTGGCACGACTCGGGTCATTGCAACCTCCGCCTCCCGGGTTCAAGCCATTCTGCTGCCTCAGCCTCTGGAGTAGCTGGGATTACAGGCGCCCGCCGCCACGCCCGGCTAAGTTTTATATTTTTAGTAGGGACGGGGTTTCACCATGTTGGCCAGGCTGTTCTCGAACTCCTGACCTCAGGTGATCCACCCGCCTCGGCCTCCGAAAGCGTTGGGATTACAGGTGTGAGCCACCGTTCCCAGCCAATTTTTTATTTTTTTGAGACAAGGTCTCCCTTTGTCACCCAGGCTGGAGTGCTGTGGTGTGAACATGGGTCACCGCAGGCTCCGGCTCCCGGGCTCAAGCGATCCTCCCGCCTCAGCCTCCCAAGTAGCTGAGACTACAGATACCCGCCACCACGCTCAGCTAATTTTTTAAGGTTTTGGTAGAGATGAGGTCTTACTATTTTGCCCAGGCTGGTCTCGAGCTCCTGGTCTCAAGGGATCCTCTTGCCTCAGCCTCCCAAAGTGCTGGGATTACAGGTGTGAGCCACTGCAAGCGGCAGAAGAGTTTTTTATTTTTTGTTTATTTTTATTTTTATTTTCCAGATGGAGTCTCGCTCTGTCACCCAGGCTGGACTGCAATGGCACAATCTCGGCTCACTGCAACCTCCACCTCCCGGGTTCAAGCGATTCTCCTGCCTCAGCCCCCCAAGTCTGGGATTACAGGCGCCTGCCACCACACCCAGCTAATTTTTGTATTTTTAGTAGAAACGGGGTTTCAACATGTTGGCCAGGCTGGTCTTGAACTCCTGACCTCAGGTGATCCAGCCACCTTGGCCTCCCAAAGAAGAGTTTGGATGAGTTTCACGTTTGAAAAGCTCACTTCACTCTGGCTGCTGAGCAGCATGGTTGTGACAGACATACCGGGAAGTCAGTTGAGGGCCATCCTAGTTCTGCCAATCTAGCTGTGCCTCCTAAAATAACTCATTTAGTGTCTCTGAGCCTCAGTGTCCTCATGATGGGAGTGGGTGTTCTGTATGTTTTTTATGAGGAAGTGAGAGGCCAGTCACATCTGAAATCAGTGACTACAGGGATCTACAAGAACAGTTGGAAATGATAGGACCTTCCTTAGAGCTCTATGAGGATTGAATGAGTGAATTCCACTGAAACAGTGCCTGGCACAGAATAAGTGCATTCTAAATGCTGGTGTTGGTTATTATCATGCAAACACTGTAGGAGAGCGATGCTGGAGGTTTGGATTGGGGTAATGACAGCAGAGATGGTAAAAAAGTGGCTTGACTTCCTTTACTGAAAGAGAGCTGGGTTCAGACACGGGTGAGGGGTGGTCTCTGCTTTTGTGGAACTGGTGGTTCACTGTGGGAGACGGGTTTGTAAACAGATAATCACCATGAGATGCAGTAAAAGCAACAGTGGTGCTTAATTAGCCAGATTGTTTTGTTTTGTTTTTGTTTTTCTTTCTTTGTTCTGTCACAACGTTGTTTTTAATGACTCTTGTGTGGTGGGTGTTCCCCAAGGCTGGCTCCTGCAGTCATGAGTTGATTTCCTGGTTAAAGTCAATAACCTTGGCCTCTCTTCACTGGCCTTGTTTCTATTCTGTGTTACTCCCTCCTACTTGTCCCCTTTCCTTGGCTTCATTTGTATCCCAAACAATTTGCAGTGGTTGCTTCAGGAGGAGAATGGCACAGAAAATGTTTGCAAACCATGTCAACTCAGGAATAATTGGAGTTTCAAGCTTTTCTTGCCATAGCATCAGACTTTTTTTTTTTTTTTTTTTTTTTGAGACGGAGTCTCGCTCTGTTGCCCAGTCTGGAGTGCAATGGCATGATCCCGGCTCACTGCAAACTCCACCTCCTGGGTTCAAGAGATTCTTCTGCCTCAGCCTCCAGAGTAGCTGGGATTACAGGCACCCACGTCCATGCCTGGCTAATTTTTGTATTTTTAGTAGAGACGGGTTTCACCATGTTGGCCAGGCTGGTCTCGAATTCCTGACCTCAGGTGATCTGCCCGCCTCGGCTTCCCAAAGTTCTGGGATTACAGGCATGAGCCACTGGGTCCAACCAGCATCAGACTTCCACCTGTTGTTTATGAGAGAGAAAGCAAGGGCCCAGCCACATCTGAGATCAGTGACTTGAGAGGTCTTTGGGAACAGCTTGAAGTTCCAGTTTAATTTTTGGTAGTTGTGTGATGCGCATCCGTTAGTTGAGCTAGAGCTGCTTCTCAGAATTTTAAGGCCAGAGACTTCTCTGGCACCTGTGGGGAATTTTAATAAACAAAGTACTTGTCCCTAAAGAATCTTTTGTAAATGACTTTTTGCAGTGTAAAAATCTGTGTACCGTGAAGTGTTTTCTTTCTAGCTTCCCTTTAGGTAGTTCAACTGGGCATCTGTTAAATCTCAGTGAAAATTATTTCAAAAGCAGATCCTGGGGGAAACGGAAAGTTCATTTAGGAATACTCATAGATAGAAAATCTCCCGACTGGGCACGGTTGTTTACACCTGTAATCCCAGCGCTTTGGGAGGCCAAGGTGGGAGGCTTGCATAAACCCATGAGTTTGAGGTTACAGTGAACGATGATTGCACCACTGCACTCCAGCTTAGGCAACAAAGCAGGATCCTGTCTCTTAAAAAAAAAAAAAATAGGCTGGGTGCAGTGGCTAGGAGGCCGAGGCGGGTGGATCACCTGAGGTCAGGAGTTCGAGACCAGCCTGGCCAACATGGTGAAACCCCGTCTCTATTAAAAAAATTCAAAAAGTAGCCGGGCGTGGCGGCGGGCACCTGTAATCCCAGCTACTCGGGAGGCTGAGGCAGGAGAATCACTTGAACCCAGGAGGCAGAGGCTGCAGTGAGCCAAGATCGCACCACTGCACTCCAGCCTGAGCAACAAGAGTGAAACTCCGTCTTAAAAAAAAAAAAGTGAAAGAAAAGAGAAGAAAATCTCTCACATGGAAACCACAAGTCCTCTAGCAAAAGGACAAGATGCATGGGAACAAAAGTTTCCTGTGGAGTGCACTTTCCCTTCGGGTTCTGGGAGTCTCAGGTAGCTGAGTTGGCTGTGGCCAAGGATGAAGCAGGTCCTGCCTAGCAGCTCCTCTGTTGTGCTGTCTGGTTGTGTGATTCCAGCTTTGACAAGATCCCTAACAGTTCATAGGAAGTTCTGTGGCTTTTCCTCATAGCTCTGCAGCCAAGCGTCTTAGAATTGCTTTCAAGAGTGAGAAAACATTTCACTAAAACCAAGCCCCCTTGTTAGGCAGGAATTCTTTGTCTGGCATGATAACAGGGCTCTAGATCACACGAGTGTGTTTCATCCACAAGGCAGCTCAGTGGGGCCAGGAAGGCAGGAGGTGACATCCCCTAATCATTTATTATTAGACATACTTTTTTTTTTTCAAAAGCAGTACATGCTCATGATAAAAATATATATATATTTGAACAGTTTGAAGGAGTACCAGGAAATGCAATTTCTGTCTTACAGCTCTTGGACCACTAGGTCTCATTCCTAGGGGATGCTCCTGTGTTTGGTTTCTTGCATTTCATTCTGGAGAAAATCTGTGCGTATAGGAATGTAGATATCTATCCATCCCCGCAGCCTTTTTTTGTTTTTTTTTTTGAGACAGAGTCTCGCCTGTTGCCCAGGCTGGAGCGCAGTGGCACGATCTCGGCTCACTGCAACCTCTGCCTCCCGGGTTCAAGCAATTCTCCTGCCTCAGCCTCCCGAGTAGCTGGGTCTACAGGCCCGCACCACCACGCCCAGCTAATTTTTGTACTTTTAGTAGAGATGGGGTTTCACCAGGTTGACCAGGCTGGTCACGAACTCCTGACCTCAAGTGATCTGCCCTCCTCGACCTCCCAAAGTGTGGGGATTACAGGCGTGAGCCACCGCGCCCGGCCCCCTTTGTTTTCATTCACTTGGTAGCGCCATCTACAAGTGTTCTTCATCTTGCTTTTTCACTTAATTGTGTATCAAAGATTACTTCATCCCTTTTTTTTCTTTTTTTATCCCTTGCTTTTGATGCTGCCTAGCATTTTATTGTATGGATGTGCCATAGTTTATTTGTATTGTCTTTTGTCCTTTATTATTGCAAACAATGCTGCAGTAAATCTTTGTGAGTATATGTATAAGATAAATACCTAGAAATGGAATGTCTGGGTCAAAGGGCATATATGTTCTAAAGTTTCGCCAGACTTGGATATTGCCAAATTGCTTCACTGAACTTTGTTGAAAGATGAGTACAGAAGAGATCCAAAGAAGTGGATCTGTGAAATTTGCCCCAATGTTCCTCAGTCTGTGAGTGGCAGCTCGGGAACCAGAAAAGGGCTCTACTCCAGGCTCAGCCCTCTTCCTTTGATCCCACCTGCGTCTCCCCATTGGCAGTGCAGGGCCCTCCAAGCACCTGCTTCAACCCCGTCGCTTTCTCCTCTGACCCCATCACCCTGCCCTCCCAGTTCCTTGTCCTCTCCTGGCAAACCCTCTTTAGTAATTAACTTGATTCTGAAGCCCTCAGGTAGCTTGCAGGAATCCAGGGATGCCCGCAGTCTCTCCAGGGCTGGTACTTTTCACCTTGGTGTGGTTCCTTTGAGAGTGCTAGGCATGAATTTCAGAACAACATTCCTAAATGGTTTTTTTTTTGTTGGGAGCAGAGGTGGGCAGGAGGAAAGTGGGTCACTCATGTAACTATAATGTAGTTCGTAATGAGAACTTAAAATGTTAAGATTTCCTTCATTTGACTTAAGCATATAAATTAAGGTACGCAGGCAGGGCGTGGTGGCTCATGCCTGTAATCCTAGCACTTTGGGAGGCCGAGCTGAGTGGGTCATCTGAGGTCAGGAGTTCTTGAGACCATCCTGGCCAACATGGTGAAACCCCGTCTCTACTAAAAACATAAAAATTAGCTGGACGTGGTGGTGCATGCCTGTAATCCCGGCTACTTGGGAGGCTGAGGCAGGAGAATCGCTTGAACCTGGGAGGTGGAGGTTGCAGTGAGCTGAGCTCATACCACTGTACTCCAGCCTGAGCGACAGAGTGAGACTCAGTCTAAATAATAACAATAATAATAATAATAATAATAATAATAATTAATTAAGGTAGCCTAACCTTATATTGAAAACACCATCTAAGGCTTTTAGCAAGTGAATGTTAATGTGAACAGATTACTGTCATCCTGCCAATGGCTTTCACCTTGTGGGGGATAAGGGAGGGGCCTCCACAGCCCCTCCTGCCTGCCTCAGAAGCCAGGTGGGTCCTTGGCTTACCCAGGCCACGGGACACCCTCCTTCCTGTCTTCCCTTTATCCCGGCCAGCCTGACTCTCTATGGTTTGTTCTGTGGCAGTAGAAGGTACATGAAGAATGTTTTCCCAAGGCTGTGTACCTCTGAGCCTTGCAAAGATGCAGCTGGAGGTAGCCAGGTGGGCAGCAAGGAGCTTGTGGGCTTCACCGCCACCTTCTGACAAGTTTCTCCCAAAGCACAGGGCTGCTGGGCTCCCTGCTGGGCCACTGTGGTGCCGCTTCCCCCATGCCCTCCTCCCCACTGGCTAGAAAGTTTTCCAAAGCACCCTGAGCCATTGGGTCACTCTCATGCCTTCAGCCTGCTTTGCCTCCATGTGGCTCTTCCAGCAGTGCCCATGTGTCCTCACCTGGCCTCCTAGACCCCTGTGATCTGAGCCCCGCAACTCCTTCAGTCCCATCTCTCACTGGGTCCTGCTCTCCATTCCCTCCTTCCCCCACCCCCCACCCCCGCCACCTGTCCACCCTGTGTTCTGCCACATTGGATGGCTGGCCCTTGCATGGGCTGCCAAAATGCCCATTCACCCACTGCCCTGGTATCTGTTCGTGTCCGTCCAGGTCCCAGAAGAGAAGCCCCTGAGGGCAGGCACCCGGTCTCATCTGTGTTTACATCCTAAGTGCGCAGGCTGGGCTCCGATAAGTGCTGACTGGCCAAGGTCAGAGGGTGCCAGCTGGCTACGTCGTTGGAGAACAGAGCCACATGTCTTTCAATCTGGTCTCCTAGAGAAGTGCTGAGAGGGGAGCAACAGCCAGAGAAGTCCCGGGGTCTGGTGACAGTGCTTGGTCCCATCCATGGGCCTGGGAGCCCCATCTTGGATTCTCTCCGACCTCCCAGCCCTTTTAATCAAAATCTTTTGGGCCGAAGGAATTTGTAGCCACCAACTCTGCAGGAGAAAATGTCGTCAGTG
Source organism: Homo sapiens (assembly GCF_000001405.40). Taxonomy (NCBI): domain Eukaryota; kingdom Metazoa; phylum Chordata; class Mammalia; order Primates; family Hominidae; genus Homo; species Homo sapiens. The sequence goes on along the minus strand of NC_000016.10, from coordinate 67,409,528 downwards.
AAGAGTGGGCTGGCCTGGGCATGCCTCTGGGCCAGCCTGGGCGTCTATACCAGAATGCTGCCTCTGCTGAGGGAGGTCTGCCTGGCAGCACCATCCCCACATCCACAGCCTCAGACAAGTGCTCCCTTCCTGGGCCTGATTTGGAGTATCGGGGGTATCCTGATTTGGAGTATCAGGGGGTATCCGATTTGGAGTATCAGGGAGTATCCTGATTTGGAGTATCAGGGGGTATCCTGATTTGGAGTATCAGGGGGTATCCTGATTTGGAGTATCAGCGGGTATCCTGATTTGGAGTATCAGGGGGTATCCTGATTTGGAGTCAGAGCCATCCCCAAGGCTGTAAGTGGCGGGCGCCTGGCTGCAGATGGTGACTCCTCCTGCCTCAGGAGTCAGGGATACAGCAGCTCTGGGGGTGCCTGTGGCCACTGCCAGGCAGTGGGGCCAGATCAGCTGCATGCGTCTGTTTTGCTCTTTGGAAACTCCTGCAAGGTGTAGGGTTGTTCAGGTTTGGGGATGGCAAAAGGAGAGCCAGAATTTAGGAATCCAAATTAATGGATTCCTTTCAAAGTAATTGCCCTGGTGATGGTGTCACTGGGGAGCTGATGTGCAAGCCACAGAGATTGGCCCCAGAGCAGAACCATCCAACCCAATCATATTCACAGGGCTTGACCTGATGACCTTTGACAATTCCACAATACAAGGACAAAGATTTGCTATCTTTGGGGACATGCAAAAGAAAGTGAGGGCTGGGATAGTGGGTCATGCATGTAATCTCAGTGCTTTGGGAGGATAAAGTGGGAAGATCGCTTGAGCCCAGGAGTTGGAGACCAGCCTGGGCAACATAGTGGGACTGTCTCTGCAAAAATAAAAAATAAATAGCTAGGCATGGCAACACGCCGCTGTATTTCTAGCTACTCAGGAGGCTGAGGCAGGAGGATCACTTGAGCCCAGGAGATTGAAGCTTCAGTGAGCTATCATTGCGCCACGGCACTCCAGCCTGGGTGACAGCGCAAGACCCTGTTTCAAAAACAAAAAACAAAACAAAACAAAGCAAGGCCGGGCACGGTGGCTCACGCCTCTAATCCCAGCACTTTGGGAGGCCAAGGCTGGCGGATCTCTTGAGTCTGGAGTCCAGGAGTTGGAGACCACCCTGGGCAACATAGTGGGACCCTGTCTTTACAAAAAAATAAAATAAAGTAGCCAGGTGTGGTGGTGCGTGCCTGTACTTCCAGCTACTCTGGAGGCTGAGGTGGGAGGATCACTTGAGCCCAGGAGGTCAAGGTTACAGTGAGCTGTGATGGTGCCACTGCACTCCAGCCTGGGCAACAGAGCAAGATCCTGTCTCAGAAGAAAAAAAAAAACCCTAAACCCAAAACCCAAATACCACCAGTTGAATCCCTGGGGGAAAACTAAGTCCTCCATTTAGCTTTGAGATGGGACAACTCAGAGGTCACTTCAAATAATGCTTGGCTTGGCCTGCAGGAGGCTCTGAGCCTCAGGTGGGCTGAAGGGCAGGGTGGCTAGGAGTGAGTGTCTGGCAGTCAGGGTGGTAGCCAGCCGGCAGAGGGAGATGGGCTGCGGGAGGCATGGGTTCACGACCCTGCAGAAAGAGGGCAGGGCTGGATGGATGGAAGGCAGGAGAAAGCAGGCCAGATGGCTTAGGGTGGACCAGGATTCCACACCATTTACTGTGCCCACGTTTCCTTTTATTTCAGCTGTTTTCAAGTCAGCAAACATTTACTGAGGATCTACTATGTACAAGGTACAATTTTGGGTGCCTGGGGGAAGGGACATAGGGGACAGAGATGAATAAACCCCACCCAGCACATTTGCTGCCTTTGGGGAAAGTTGTCCTAATGAGGGCAGACATGAGGATTGCAAAGCGTCCCAAATGGCAAAGTAATTTGCCCAACAATGACTTAGCATAAGGGCCCCCTGACTCAGGGCATCAGGGAAAGCTTCCTGGATGAGGCAACCCTTGCAGTTGGCTCTGAAGATCAAGCCTCATTCTGTGGATTGAGAAGTGAGAAAGGTGATCCAGGAAGATGCACTGAGTCGGGGTCTGCGGCACCCTTTCTGCTTAGGTTCCCTGTCTCATGGGCAGGGGCTCCTGAAAGGAGAGTTCAGCTACCAGGGTTTTAGTCCCAGCTCCTGGCCTTCCCACCATGAGCGCAGAGCTGGCCTGTCTCCCAGGTGTGGCGCTGCCTGCCTGAGCTGTTGTCCCATCTTGGGCCCATATCCTGGGGATGGGGGTCTTCCTCCTGTAGCCTACCCCTTCTTGCCTGGCATTCATCCCTGGACCCTGGGCCAGCTGTCCGGCTAGAGGGTGGCGGGTGGAGGGGGTGGTTGATGCCATCTGGTGGTCTGGCTCTGAGTCCAAGGGCGTTAGCCCACCTTTCTGTACAAAACTGTACACCAGGCCCAGATTTACTTAGAGAAACGTGGTCATTTCTGCTGCTGAAGGGAACTAAAGAGGAATCCTTCCCTTCCTCACATGTGCTGGCCCCTCCCCAGCTGAGAACCCTCAGGCAGCATGGGGCAGAGCTTCAGACTCCCCCAGTCCTAAAGGGATTTTCTGTCCACCGTGGGGGAGAGGGCAGATCCTCCTTCTGGGCACCCCATTCCCCGTTTCCCTGAGCAAAGGATAGCGGGGGTGTCTGACACTTGCATTTGGACCTCAGGAAGGAGGTGACTAATCCTAACAGAATCAGCATGTGTTCTCATCACTCTGGCCCCAGCCTGATATTGTTACCAGATGAGAACATGTCTTATTGGGTTTAACTGTGATGGCTGTGAAGACAGCACTTTGAGTTACAGGCAGCAGCACTGTGTCCTGAATAAATCCTGGGCCCTCCTACCTTGTCCTGGCCAGTCTAGGGCCAGGGTTTGCTTTGGGCTTTGAGACAGCAGCCCACTCCCACCCTCTCCCCACTGCCCATCTCTATTGTGCTAGGACCCCAGTTTCCCCAGCAGAGTAGCTGTCGCAGCCTACTCCCCCTGTGCTGAAACTTGGCTGCAGACACAGGCCCTGGGCTCCAGCCCAGCTTCTTGGGCTAATGCTCTCTCTACTGTTTCTCCCTCTGGAGATGAACATCTGCAACAAGCCCTCCAACAAGACGGCCCCTGAGAAGAGTGTGTGGACGGCACCGGCACAGCCCAGCGGACCCTCCCCTGAGCTGCAGGGCCAGCGATCCCGCCGGAATGGGTGGAGCTGGCCCCCTCACCCGCTCCAGATTGTGGCCTGGCTGCTGTACCTCTTCTTTGCTGTGATCGGCTTTGGGATCCTTGTTCCCCTCCTGCCTCACCACTGGGTGCCCGCTGGCTACGCTGTATCCTTGGGAAAGCGTAGGGCTGGTGTGTGGAAGTGGGGAGGCAAAGGATGGCTGGCACAGCGGAGGCCCAAAGCCGGGTTGAGAGCCTTGGGGAGCACAGTCAGGAGAGTGGAGCAGGGTGGGCCCAGTCCTGGGGACTTGCTGCTTCCCAGCCTGTCTCCAGCCTCCACCTGACCTCTCCACCTGATAGGGTGAGTGGGCATGCCTAAAATACCTAGGAGCATATGAAGCCCCACAAAGATGTGAATCCTGTCCACAGAGGCACCACAGGAGCAGTCATAGAAGGAGGAGCCTCAAACCATCCTGATGCTAATTGTGTTCAGAGCTGAACAAAGGATGAAGTAGGGAGTAATTAGTCCATCTATCGAAGAATTTTTCACTTTTCAAAGAGTCACCGTAGAATTCTTTTACATAATAAGTGTCCTGGTGCCTTAAAATATGGTTTTATTCATGGACAGACTGTGCCCAGGACTGTTTATGGGCACATTGATTCTGTACATCAGACCCTTTTAGAGTGAGGTTGAATGTGACAAGAGATGGGATGGAGATACCTCGAATGCCCCTGGGAATAGTGACAAACCGAGACTCGCCTGAGCCCAGTGGTGTGATTGCCCCATCCCTGGCCACAGCCCCCAGGAGCAGAGGATGTGGCTGCAAGGCCAGGGGTTGCAGTGAAGCAGGCATCTCTGTGCTCCTTTCCAGAGAGTTCCTATTTGAGTGTCCTTCACAAAGATGACTCCTGTGGGGAAGGTGAGGGCGGTCTAAGGGTGGTTGGCGGCGATAAGCCTAAGAGCCTGGGACATCCAGCCTGTGGTGAGCTCTGTCCCTGCTCAGCACCTTCAGAGCTGCACGGGACCGAGCAGCTCCTGCCAGCTCTGTGGGTCTTTGCCTCCTCCTCTGTCTGATGGGAAGGCTCCTACCTGGAGCACTTAGGATATATGTGAGCACTAGAATTCATTAAGCCACAAATGTGAACATGCTCTTTTAGGAAACCGCAAAGCCCTGGGCTGGTGAGTGGCAGGGTAGGTATGTGGAGGCGGACCCTAGAGGAGGTTGTCATCCTCAGACACAGCAGTGCCATCTGGGGGCTTCTTGTTCACTAGAGCCCAGGGTCTGGTCATCAGCTCTGTGAATGGAAAACTGGACTTTCCCTGAGGTGACCAACAGGTCTTAGTGCTGTTAAGTCATGGGACATGGGAATGCGTCATGGGACATTCCTCCTGTGATCTGGAATGGACACGCCCCTCACTAGGGATCACCTGGGTTCCTCCCATCAGGATACCTGGGAAACCAGATTAACCAGATGAACAACCCCATGCCTTGTACAAGTAGAAGCAGAGCAAATCATGATAAACAGAAGGCAGTAGACTTTATTGAGCCCTTACATGTGCCAGGCCCTGCGTCAGCCACTTTACATGAATGATCTCATTTGGTCCTCATTGTAATCCTTAAGGAGGTATTCTCCCCATTTCCTAATGAAGAAGCTGGGCACAGAGGTTCTGTGACTTCCTGAGATCACATAGCGGGCACCCAGTGAGGCCAGATGGGCTGCCCAGGAAGCCTGACTGTCCTGAGAGGGGCGGGTTGAGGGCTTTGTCTCCGCATTCAGGGTTCGTCTGCTTTGAGCATTGCAGAGGCTCACAGAACCACCTGGTTCATGCCTGACCAGCCTATATGCTCTCCTTCCTTCCATCAAAGCCTTCTTTCTGCAGGCTCTCTCAGGTCCCCTGAGAAGTGAGGTAAGGTCATAATGGGTACCAGGTACCCACCTTGGGCCTGGAACTGGCCTGGGCCTTAGGGATACAAGCTGAGCCCTAGGGTGCTGGGCCCCCAGCTGAAGGGAAGGCTGGTGCACGCCACGTGGTGATCACGCCACATGGTAAGTGCAGCAGACTGTGAGGGCAAGCAGAGGCCACCTACACCAGTATCACCGCATGTCCACAGGCACACTCGTGGCCTGTGGCTCCCCCCCTCCCCCGCCCCACCTCTCCCCACATGCTCTTGGCTCCTCCCGCTTCCTTCCTAACTTAAATCCAGTCAGTCATCCAGCCCTGTTGATATTGCCTCCTAAATAGACATTGAATTGGCTCCCGGTTTCTGCCACTGCCAACTGCCTCTCTTCCCTGGATGACCGCTGAGTTTCTAAACGGGTCCCACACACACGCTCTCACCTCGGCCAGCCCATCTGCATTCCTGCTCTTTCCAAAAACCAAATCTGATAATGTTGCGCCCCAGCTCCAAGATTTCTAATGGTTTCTTCCTGCCTTAAGTAATGAGGCTCAAGGCCGGGCGCGATGGTTCACACCTGTAATCCCAGCATATTGGGAGACCGACGCGGATGGATCACCTGAGGTCAGGAGTTCCAGACCAGCCTGGCCAACATGCGAAACTCCATCTCTACTAAAAATACAAAAATTAGCTGGGCATGGTGGCACACGCCTGCAATCCCAGTTACTTGGGAGGCTCAGGCTGGAGAATCGCTTGAACCCGGGTCGGGGGGCGGAGGCTGCAGTGAGCCGAGATAGCGCCATTGCACTCCAGCCTGGGCAACAGAGGGAGACCCTGTCTCAAAAAAAAAAAACAAAAAACAAAAGAAATGAGGCTCAACATGGCGTCAAGGCTCCGCATTCTGGACTCTGCCTCTCTCCCCCATTTCCTCTGATGTGATTTTCCCTGTCCTCTTCTGTTTCCACGGCACTGGTCTCTGCCCGGAAGCCCCTTGTCTCTCTCCCTGCTCCCAACACGCAGCTAAATTAGAGGCCGAGAACTAGCAGCCCATGGGCCAGTCCAGCCTGCAGATTTGTTTTTTTGAATTGAAGGATAGTTAACAAAGAAAATGCACAGATCTTAATGTTCCTTCTATAGGCATGTTTTTTAAATTATTTATTTCCTTAACATTTAAACATTGAGAGATCTCACATAAAAACCCAGACTTCTGGTTCCTTTTGAGAAGCCAGAAATTGGCCACACAGACCCTCATTCTTGCATTCTTGCAAGACAGCCGTGAGCTGGAGGCACACTTCAGCCAAACTGCTGGTTGGCACTCCACATGTTCCCCACAGCCACAGTCCCTAGCCAGGCCCCCTTTCCTCTTTGCCTGCCAGGTCCCTGGAATCCATTCCTCTCTGTCTCAGCTGAGACAATACTTCCTCAGGTAAGCCTTCTGGACCCCTTCAGACTAGATGAGGTCATTTGGTTATAAACTGGCATAGTCCCACGAACTTTCTTCATTGTAATTAACTCATTATTTGATTGATATCCATGTTTTTGGGCAGGAGTGGTGGCTCATGCCTATAATCCCTGCACTTTGGGAAGCCAAGGCAGGCAGATCACCTGAGATCAGGAGTTTGAGACTAGCCTTGGCCAACATGGCGAAACCTTGGCTCTACTAAAAATACAAAAATTAGCCAGGCGTGGTGGCGAACACCTGTAGTCCCAGCTACTCGGGAGGCTGAGGCAGGAGAATCACTTGAACCTGGGAGGCAGAGGTTGCAGTGAGCCAAGATCGTGCCATTGCACTCCAGCCTGGGCAACAGAGCGAGACTCCATCTCAAAAAAAAAAAAAAATTCCATGTTTTCCACCAGACTGCAGTCTCTTCAGTGCTAGGGACTCTTGCCCCTGCCGTATCCCTCAATGCCTGTCACAACAAAAGACCTCAGTAGACAGCTGAATGAATGACCCTGGGGGTGAGGCGGGAGAAGAGTTGGAGCAGGCAGGGAGTAAATGTTTGCCCTCATTCAGTGTCTGAAGAGTGGATGGCATGGTGAGCACAGTAGCTGGTGATAGCAGAGAGGTTTGGGAGGAGCCAGAGGGAAAGGGACCTTAGCACTGAGCAGAGGAGTGAATTTCAGTCAGAGAGCTGTTGAGACCCACTGTAGGGTTGCAAGCAGGGAGGGCTTTGGGTCTGAGCTTTTAAAAACTTACTCTGAGACCATGTGAAGCATAGACTCAAGGGAACTCAGACAGAAGGCGCAGAGTTGGGAGGCTATAGAGTGGCACAGGCAAGAGATGAAGACTTGGCCATAGGGATAGAAGGGGTAGTGATGGCCACAGGATTGTCTCTCTTAGCTATGCTTATGGCACATTAGGGCGGAGCCTGGTTTATGCAGATATGTAGAGAAATTTGGCTGCTGGGAGGAGGAGGAAGGGAGGAAAAGAGATTGGACAGCTGATGAATGAAGGATGGCAGATGGATGATGGGTAGAGCATGAATGATGGAGGGATGATGTCTGCCTGGCTAGCAAGAGGACCAGTGGAATTTTGGGCTGAAGTGGGTGTGATCAAGGGAGGGAGAGTGGATGGCTGCCTGGGTGGAATCTATGGGTGAATTTTTAAACATCAGACTTTGTAGCAAATTGTCAGCAAACTTGTCTCCTGCATTTGGCCCAGTCATTGAGCAGTTAGATCCTGGAAGAGCTGTTTCAGCTTCAGAGACTAGCCATGCTGTCCCTGGCCAGGCCCTGAACATGGCAGGCCATTCCAGACACTCAGCCCAGGACTCCAGGTGCCTAGATTCTTGGTAGGGGAGGTAGCAAGTGTCCGAATCCGTGTCTGCAAGGGGTTCTCCATCTGGCCCAGCTACTGAAAAGGGGGGTGGCTGCATCCCTTTTGGAGGTGACTTCCTATGAAAGCAAGATAAGGAAGCTGGGACTTAAACTTCAGGTTCTTGGACCTTAGGTGGGGTTGATCTCTTTCAGTCTCACATCACCATTTGGAATCTGAAACCAGAAACCAGCCTGAGGTCAGACCAGCCAGGGCCTGCACCAGGCCTGGAGCAGTGAGGCCAGGACCCTGCGATTGGGCACCTAGGTGGCGACAGCAGGCACTGCTGGCTGGCTGTGGACTCCTTTCCTAGATGGCCTCTCCCTCTTTCCATTTGGGGCATAGGGGTTACCTGGAGAGGTCTGATGAGGAGGCTTTGGGGGACTGGAGGTAGGAGGTGGCAGAGGCAGAGAATCTGCACAAAGCGGGCTGGCATGGCAGTGGGGAGTTCTCTGGCTGCAAGGAACGGGGCAGGACTCCCAGCCGGCAGAGTGGAGTGAGTCTTTAACCTGCTGGGCCAGTGCATGGGCGCCATCTTTGCTGGCCACCTTGTGGTGCACCTGACCGCCGTCTCCATCGATCCAGCAGATGCCAACGTGCGGGACAAGAGCTATGCGGGGCCCCTGCCCATCTTCAACCGAAGCCAGCACGCACATGTCATTGAAGACCTGCACTGCAACTTGTGCAACGTGGATGTGTGAGTGTGTGTGGGTGCTTGTGGCTGCCGAGTGTGCTGTGGGGTGTATGGTGGAGAGGGGGTGCCAGGGCTTCACAGACATCCCTGATGCCTCAGAACCCTCATGTTTTATGCAGTCAAGAACCTTGATGGCGTGACAGAGTATTGGGTTACTGAGAAGGTGAGGAGAAGGTGATTGGAAACAGAAGATCAGTAGTATTCCAGCAGTTAAAGGAGGAAACATTTGGCCCTGCCCAAACATTTCTAATGAGCGGCTCTGCCAGTGACACCCTCACATCTCTCGCCAGTATTCCCATATAGGGGTGGGCAGGGGTGTTGATGCCTGACACTCACTGTGTGCTGAGCTCTTCCTGCAGCCACCCCGCATGGCTTTCTCACTTCATGGAGGAGGAAGAGCCCAGCGCTTAGAAAGGCTGATAGGCCAGACACAGCCACTGATAGCGGAGCCAGATTCACATCTGGCCGGCCAGGCCCCTAAGCAGATACTGCTGCCCTGGGGTCTACCCAGGAGGAGTCTGAGGCCCAGGGGGGCCATTTGGCTTGCTCAGGTCCCTCTGCTAACATGGAGGAGTCACTACGTGCTGCGCCCCGCCACCTTGGCTGGTCCCAGCTACCTCTCTAGGGGCCCCTCTCCACCCTTCTGGAGCCCCCCAGTCTCCAGGTCTCGGGTGGGGGATCAGGGATGGGGATATGGCCCAAGGCCAGCCCCCACCAGGAAGCCTGTTGAAGGGGTCTGTCTGCAGACTGAGCAAGCCCCTAGCCTTAAGGCGCCAAGGACTTGGACATGAGGCCATCCTGCCATTCACTGGGCACCCGCCAGCACACTTTCCGAGCAGCTGCTCCAGCAGCTGCTGCCCATTGCAGGGCTCTGCCCTGTTCTGGGGGAGGGGTTGTGCCTTTGGGCCTTCCCCGGTGCCTCCCTGGGCTGGGAGACTTCCCCTGAGCCCCTGTGGTGAGCACCTGCATGCTCACGCGGATGGCAGCCTGCACTTCTTTTGCCTCTTTTCTCTTAGTCCACACAGACTGAAGTTTCTGGAAAAATGCCAGTACCATTCCTATAGAATGGCAGGGAAACAGGGGCCCACTGCCGGAGGTGTCGGGAAGGGCAGTGCAGGCCCTGGGCCCAAGCCTTGCTGTCTGCAGCTCCCTGGGCCCACACCTGCATCTTCTGGCTTCTCTCGGGGTCTTTGCTTGGAAAGGACGCCCATTTTCTGTTTCATGGCGCATCAGCTAGGCGCACAATCCCAGAGCAGGAGGGGTGCACCTCCTTACCCCTCCTGCGGCCTCTGGGGTCCCCCAGCTCTTCGGGAGCGCTGCCTCCTCCAGGGGACCCACCCCGCAGCGCCTGCAGAGGGCGCGCGCGCTCCTCGTCGCCTCGCTCGGGGCTGTCTCAGGCCTGGCGCTTGGTCCCTCCACAGACCCCACTCAACCACCCCGACCGGCCGGGCCGCAGAGCGGGGAATGAGCCGGCCAATCGCGCTGTGCCCCCTCTCCCTGCAGGAGCGCTCGCTCCAAGCACTGCAGCGCCTGCAACAAGTGCGTGTGCGGTTTCGACCACCACTGCAAGTGGCTCAACAACTGTGTGGGCGAGCGGAACTACCGGTGAGGACAGCCCGGCCGCACGCGGGCCTGGGGATGCACTGTCTGAGGGTGGGAGCCACAGACCTTGCAGCTCGCATGGCAGGCGGGCGGGGATGGGGATGCTTCGAGGACCTGTGCCCGTTTTATGCGGGGGTGCTGCCCAGAGAGAGTGATGCTCCTGGGTGCCGGCTGAGATGGCCAAGGGTGGGCCTGGAATCTTCCACCAAGCTGGCCCAGAGAAATGTGGGCTGCCTGATGGGGTGGCCACCCATCTTCAGTTTTGCCGTATGCCTTTGGCTTCTGAGGAGTTGGGGCTGTGGGGTCACCCTCAGCCCTCTGAGCCCATAGCAATGACCCTACAGCCCCAACTCCTATGGGCCTTCTGAGGCTGGAGCTCCGGGGAGCTGACAGCGACCCATGGCTGGGCCCAGGCTCTTTCTACACAGTGTTGCATCCGCTTTACTGGGCGTCCTGCTCCTGGTGCTGGTGGCCACATATGTCTTCGTGGAGTTCTTTGTCAACCCCATGCGTCTGCGCACCAACCGACACTTTGAAGGTCAGTTTAGGCTCCGGGCCTATTCTCACCCCCAACCCTGGTCACCCGTCACGTCCCCGGCTGAGCACACACTGCCTGTGCCTTGCAGTCCTGAAGAATCACACGGATGTGTGGTTCGTGTTCCTGCCTGCCGCCCCCGTGGAGACCCAGGCCCCTGCCATCCTGGCCCTGGCCGCCCTGCTCATCCTTCTGGGCCTCCTGTCCACAGCCCTCCTGGGGCACCTGCTCTGCTTCCACATTTATCTCAGTAAGTGCCTCCTGCACCTGCCTTCTGGAACGCAGGGGTCCTCAGATTGCAGGAAGGTGCCCAGTTGGACGGTGGACCCTGAAACCATGCCCCTGCCTAGTATGGGCTCACTATGGTGGCCAGGTCTCACCTGATGGCTTCGTGTATTTGGGGACACTGGTTTCAGCCTGGGGCTGGTTGTCCTCCCTCCTGTTCTGAGCTCCAGAGTCCCCCTTCCACCGCACTGAGCCCTCTCCTCCCCCCACCAGTGTGGCACAAGCTCACCACCTATGAGTACATCGTGCAGCACCGCCCACCACAGGAGGCCAAGGGGGTTCACAGGGAGCTCGAGTCATGTCCTCCCAAGATGCGGCCCATTCAGGTATAGAGGATGAAGGGTGGGAGGGGGCCTGGGTGTGGGGGGTGTTGGGCTGTGCAGCGAGCAGCCAGTGAGGAGACAGGGCAAGGGAGGCAAGCCTGGAACAGCCGCTGGGGGCAGCAGGGACCGGGCTTGTGCTGAGCGTGTGCCTGCTCGCCCAAGCGTGGGCACAGCCAGAGGGAGCCCTGTGTTTCCCGGACCCCACGTACACACCTGCCCAGGCGCCAAGCATGCGCGGGAGGGCATGGGATGTGGGAGCCTGGAAGCAAGCAGGTTGGGGCTGCAGCAGGAGAGAGAGGGATGGACCAGCGACGGGGTCAGTGATGGGTGGCCAGGATGGAGCCATCACTTCTCCTCATCCATGACCTTGAGCGCTTATACCCATTACCCTAATTTATGCTTAGAACAGCCTCTTCTGCAGATGTGCCTACTGAGGCCTAGAAGGTTAACCACAAGCTGGGTCTGGGAAGAGTTAAGGTCTCTACGCTCTGGCCGGCCTGGCCAGGCCAGTGGCTGACCAGCCTATCCCCATTCCCACGCCCCATGGCTTCCTGAGGTCAGCCGCTGGGGTGGGGGTGATCCAGTCGTCAAAGGAGCCCCTAGGGACTAGGAAGGCGGGGCCCGGGCAGGCTTTGCTGGGGGAAGGCTGAGCCCTGGATCCCGAGGCCTCATGGCAACTGGACACAAACAGAGGCTGGTGGGTGGGTTGGGGAGGGCCTAGGACCCCACCTCTTCTGTTCTTGTCACCAGGGCTGGACACTACTTGTGGGCCAGGCTGCCAGGACTGGGCAGGCCTGGGCCTGGGGCATGCTGGCTGTGGGTGGCGACTCCACTGTTACACCACCGTATACCTGCCCCAGTGCTGGGCTCTGATGGTGGCAGCTGTGCTGGGGAGAGGGTACTGTTTCCAGCCCCACATCAAGAGGAGACGGAGGCCCAGAGAAGTAGGCAGGAGACTTTCTCAAGCCTCATAGGCAGCACCCACTGAAGCAGGGCGGGCTCTTTGGCCCTGCGCTGCCAAGGCTTTGGGGCCAAATGTGGCCACAGCGAAGACATTTAATTTCTGTTCTGTCCATCTGCAGTGACTTGAGGGAGGCAAACCCGGGGGACAGGAGTGGTGTTCTTGTCCTCTTTTACAAAGCAGAGAGCTGAGGCTGAGGGCCCAGTACCATTCAGGAATGTACACGGTTTTGAAGGTCTCTGAGACAGTATCCTCTGGACAGCCATGGCGAGAGAGGACAGGGCTCTGAGTGGGGACTCACTGGGGACGCTTTCAGACTTCTTGAGCTGGCTAGGGCCTGGCGCCTTTCCCATCCAGGCCCCTCAGCTTCTGAGACCTCCTCTACTGCTGGCCCCTCCTCTGCTCCCCCCTCTGGAGCCCAGGGCCCCCCAGTGGGCTTTGCCCCTCTGCTGGCCCTAGAGGGTCACTGAGTCCACACTGGGGCAGAAAAGAGGTGTGGGGGAGAGTGATCTTGAGGTTTCCAGTCCCTGTGACTGGCCTCTGACCCCTGACCCCGCGCTCCTCGGCCCAGGCTGGCGCCCCCACACCCCTCTCCAGAGCAGCAGCCAGGGCAGAGGTTGGGCGGGGCCGCTGGCTGGGCTCCTCCCCCAGATCTGTCAGGGCCCTGCAGGCAGCCACCCACCCCCACCCCAGCAGGAATGCGGGAGGGGCCCCTCTCTGGAGCCGTTGCCCCCAAACATAGGCTTGTTTTAGAGACGGCCTTGCTGTTACAGTGTCCTCTCTGCATTAGTCAGGACGCCTCCGTCTCCATGGAAACGGCTGCTGAACTGGCGACAGCTGTCCGGGTGCTCCCGGCAACCCCTCCCGGCTCCCACCCCGCCCGGGACCCGCCCCCATCTCGCACCACGCCCTTCCCGGGCCTGCTTTCCCCAGGCTTTTGTTTCCTCACCTGGAGTCCTTCTGGGCAAAGCTGGGGCGAGTCCTGCGGGCGGGGGTGCAGGACTAGGCCACTCCTGCAACCCCCTGGCCTCAAGGCCCCTTTGCTCTCAGGGGTCGCGTCTGCACCCTCAGGGTTGCTGTGAAGATCAGGGCTTGCCCATAAGCCTGGTGCTCAGTGGGGCTGCGGCTCTGTTTGTTCCACCACCTGCTACCTTCCCTTTTGGTGTAGTGGCAGGGAGACCACCGCATGTGCATTTACGCAGCCCCTTCTCGGCAGCCTGGATCGTGGCTGGTCCTCTGTGAGGGCGAGGGGTGTGCCCAGGACTCAGCTCTGCGGGAGCTGGTGGATGCACACTCAGGCCTGTTTCTCAGCCAGGGGAAAACAATTGGTTCAGAGGCTGGATCCCTGGGGACACCAGGAGCAGGTGCGGGCAGCTCTGAGCTTCCCACCACTCCCTGGCTGAGCCTCTCTAAACTGGGCCTATAGACCCATGGGGGCTGGGAGCCTTCCTGCAGGAGGCAGAGGCTGAATAGATGAGGTAAGGACCTGGGGATGGGGCAAGGGCCAGAAATGGGTGTTTTAAGCCTTACCCTACAGATGGGGTTTTCCCAGCATGGCTGGGAGCCTGGCATGAGGCCTGAGATATCCCACAGAGGCCAATGAGGGCAGGACTGCGTGGGCTTAGGGCTCAGCAGGCTCGGGAGCCACACCTGGCCTCCCAGCCTCCTTGACTTCCACCTTCCCCAGGAGATGGAGTTCTACATGCGGACCTTCAGACATATGCGCCCAGAGCCCCCTGGCCAGGCCGGGCCAGCAGCAGTGAATGCCAAGTGAGTGCAACCTGGGCATGTGCCACTGGGCATCTCCAGTTAGCATGGCAGGGCCATCGAGGCAGGAGAAGGGGGTAGGCTAAGGTCGGGGCATGGGTCAGGCCCTTCTCTGAGCTAACAGGAAGGGAAGCTTCTCTCAGCACCTCCAGTGGGGAGGGATTTGGGGAACAGGCCCCAGGCTTACCCTCCTGCTTCCCCCTCAGTCCCTCCCAGTTTCTTGCCACCCGTGGCCAAGCGGAACCTCCACCACCCTCTTCCCCAGACACTCTCGCCCTGCCTCCCCGGATCCGACCCCAGGTAGGAGGGACTGTGCTGGGCCTCCGGTCCAGGTGGAGTGGGATAGAAAGAAGCCTCTACCCTGGCGCTCGCCTCTGCTTCTTTTGGCGATGTGGGGCCCTCAGGCTCCCCCGTGTCTCTGCAGAAAAAGAGGAAGAGGCGCGTGTATAAAGTGCGAACGTCTGAGACCTCGGATCCGGCGTCGGGTGAGCGCCTCTCCCTGTCCGGGTCCTGCTCTGGGAACTCGAGGGAGGGGAAGGCAGAGCCACAAGCGAGCCGCAGCCACTGGGCTCATGTTCCCTTCCCTTGCGCAGGGCCTAGGGCCCCCAGCCGCCGCTCCAGCTCGTCGACGGATTCCGCGGACGCCAGCCCTGTGCACGCCGCTGGCCCTGCCGGCGCCTACCACTCGGCGTCGGCAGAGTCCGTGGACGAGATTCCAGTGGCGCAGACGCGCCTGGGCAGCGCCGCTCTGGCCGCCCCGCGGGGCCGGGGCCGACAGCCCACGCTGGCGCGGCAGGCGCGTGCGCCCGCCGTTTTCGTGAGCCCGAGCAGCGGCGAGCCCAGGGCGCCGGGCGGCCGGGAGGCTGGTCTGGCTTAGCTGGGCCGAGAGGCCGGAGGGCCGAGTTAGAGCGGCCGGCCTGACTCTCTATGCAACACCCCATCCTTGCCGCACCGAGTGCACTTTAGGGGCCCCTACGGCCGGCGGGATCGGCCTCCCTCCCCCACGACTCAGCAATACCCGCCCCACCGGCTGTGATGCTCCAATAAACTTTTTTATGCTTTTGCGGACGTCGCGCTTACTTTCTTAATGGCAGGGGCCACGGGCCATCCAGAAGCCCGACCCTGGCCAGTGGACCGGGGGCGGGGAGGAGGTCCCTGTATAGTAGGTAGCCACCCAGGCTGCCCTGTGGAGGTGCTCACGTGCGGCTCGTGGTTAGGAAAGGCCTTAGAAGGCGGCCTGGAGGAGGTTATTTTTCTTAAAGATGGGCTTTGCACTGGGAGGCCGAGAGAAAGCAGGCTTTGGGCTCCGAAAGCAGCAGTGGGCGCTGAGGCTGCGAGGCCGTGGGGAGGTGGCGGCGAAAGGAGGGGGCCGAGCCAGGAGGTCCCGCAGCTTTTCCCCGGCAGCAGGGCTGCCGTCGAATGCCAGCATCCTGGGGCTGGGCGAGCGCGATTCGCTCGTAGGGAGTCCCCTCCCTTCTTCCCCACTGCTCCAGGCTCTGAATCCTACCCAAGAGAGCACGGGAGTTGTGGCCTGGGGGTGCCATCCGTTCAGTGGATGGCAGTGCTCTTGAGTCAACCGTATACCCCTGTCACTGAGGGAGAGCTCCTTCCCGATTCCCCAAGCCCCACCAATGCCCCGCGCAGCTCCCCAGTGGCCTCTGGTTGACTCTCTGGGGAGCTGGATCTCTTCTGGAGATTGGGGCCGCTTAGAGCTTTAGGCACATCCCAGGATGGGAGGCTGTTTCCTCAGGGGGCCGTCCGAAGACGCCCCGAACTGCAGAGCGCTGGTCTCGCCGTCGCGAGGACCGCGGAGTTGCGGGGGAGGGGCGGGATGCGGCTCCCGGAGAGTCTCGGGGAGGGCGGGGCCTCGTGGGCGGGGCCGGCGTGACCTTGGTCACTCTCCCGCCGAGACAGCCTCGGGGGTGGGACTCGCCGTCTCTATGGAGACCGAGAAACAGGGGATAATACGGCGGAGCCGCCTGGGCTGCAGTCCCACCCGGGAGCCGGCAGGGAGCGGAGCTGCGGAGCCGCCTGGTCTCCCGCGTCCATCGGTCCATTCCTGCGTCGTTCTGTCCTTCCGAACGCACACTTCAGGAGCAGCCGCGAGGTAGAAGCCCATAGGAGACCCAGATGCCCGCCACCCCAATCAGTATCCTGCACGATGAGGGTTGGGGGGAGCAGCCTGGAAAGGGTCCCAACCTCCGGCGGTCCCAGCCGAGGAGCCAGCTGAGCGGCCCTGCCCTGGCCCCAAGCATTCCACCTCGCAGCCCCCACCTCCTGGTCCGGCTGATTGATGACTCCAGCTGTCCCAGTGGGAGCGGGACGGGTGGCTCCAGTTCACGGGTGTGGCCACTCCATCCATGGCCTGCAGACCCATGGGGCTGCGGCCTGCAACCCAGCGCCACCTGACCGCGCTGAGATGACCAAGAATCCATCTTTCCACGGACAGGAGTGAGCACTGCACGCAGGATCCGCCCAGTGCTTGGGCCAAGCACCCTGTGGCATCCAAGCTCCCCTGGACGTTACCCTTGGTGAACCAAGTGCGGGTCTTGGGGTCCCTGGTGGGAGGTTGCACCCAGGGAAAGGGAAGGGGAGTGCAGCGTGGACTGGGGTTATGGTCCCTGTAACGTAGGAACCACCGGTGCTCACAGTCCCAGAAACTGCCACTTAGGGATGGGAGTGTGGTCACTGGCGAGGAGTTTTTGGTGGAAGATGGGGCAGCCGGGCAGAGCCCAGGCCGTGGTCACTGGAAGCCCTAGTGTAAAAGGCAGAGCTAGAAGATGGTTGCTGAGACCGAGGGTGTGGTCAGGAGGTGGCAGTGGAGGAGGGGGATGTGGTGGGGAGGTCTCTACGCAGGGGATCTCCGCATAGTACCTGGGAGTCTTATAATGTTAGTGTGTGGATGTGGACTGGGGCCTTCAGTGCAGGCTGAGGGTGTGGCCAGAGGGCTGAGGGTGTGTGGACAAAGGGGTGCTGAGGGTCAGGGCGCCTTGATAAAGGGCTGCGGGTATTGGAGGGGGTGAGTGGCTGAGGCTATGGTCAGGGGTCTCAGGAAGGGATGCAGGTTTGTGGCCAGGGGCCTCAGCCCCAGGGCTGCGGGTGTGGGGATGGAGAAGGCTGCTGTGTAGGCTCAGGGTGTGGCCAGGGGTCTGCAGCGGAGGGCTGTGGGTGTGGGGGGCACTTTAGTGCTGGACTGTGGGTATTACTGGGGTTGGCGCAGGCTTGTTAGTATATATGTGGGGGCTGGTGGCCGAGGGCTGTGGCTGTGGGTGTGAAGATGGAGGATGGAGGGCTGAAGGTATGGCCAGGGGTACAAGGCCCAGGGGGTGGCAGGCCAGGGCTGAGTGCACAGGGTCGCTGGGAATGTGGGCTGGTGTGGCCAAGTTCAGGGCGTGGCCAGGGGAGGTCTGAGGTGTAGACATGATGAAGTGTGTTTCAGCCACAGCCCCACTTGCCAGCACGACTCTTGGGGTTCGTAACTCTACAGCCCCCACGCTACTAGCCCCCAACCTCCTGCTCCCCCAAAACTCCACAGTGGGAGGTTACAGCACCAGTCGGTGGCAAGGGGCCAGGAAGCCACGGTTATGCCCTAGGCGCAGGGAGTGCTGGCGTGCCCCACCCGTGGGCCCCAGCTTCCCAGCCCAGCCCAGCCCCTCAGCACTGGGAGCTTCTCCCTGAGCTGCCCTGACACCATCCTGCCCTTAGCAACATTCTCCAAGCAGCACCACCCTCCCTTAGCAACCGTCTCCAGGCTTCACAAACTGTGGCCAGGCCAGCCCCAAGCTCCCCTCATGTTTTTGTTTAACAGCAAATAGTAACAAGGCCTTGCTGGACCAGCTGCACCCCTGCCCAGGGCATGCACCCGTGCCCAGACTGGCTCTTGCTGGGTCCTCATGACCCTTACAGAGATGCTGTCCTCACTGAATGCCTGCCCGACCAGCAGCCTGGCCTGGCCCCAAGCCAGCTTGGCATGGAGCTTCCAGGGAGGGGGCCTGCTCTGCCACCCTCACTTCCACCCAAGCAAGGCCTTGTGCCAGGGCCAGACAAAGCCAGGGCCCCAGCTGCTGCCCTAACAGTCTTTCTGGACAGTGCCACTCTGTTCCCTGTGGGCATCATTATTTCATCTGCTGAACCCTGCTGAGAGCCAGGGCTGGCATTAGTGACAAGACCGTGCCTCCCGGGGCTCTTCCTTGGGGCTCTGTGGCCCAGGGCGACAGTGACGGGCCCCTCTCCCCAGGCAGCTCCAGCACCAACTCTGTAGCAGAACCTGCCCAGGTCTTGCAGGTTTGAGGTAGAGGCTGGGATGTTCTGGGCTTGGGGGAGGGGAAGGGCAGATTGGCTGGGAGATGACCCAGGTGGGTCTCTATAGGGTGGCATGGCAGCGAGCACAGACATGGCTGGGCTGGAGGAGAGCTTCCGCAAGTTTGCCATCCATGGTGACCCCAAGGCCAGTGGGCAAGAGATGAATGGCAAGAACTGGGCCAAGCTGTGCAAGGACTGCAAGGTGGCTGACGGAAAGTCCGTGACAGGGACCGATGTGGACATCGTCTTCTCCAAAGTCAAGTGAGCCCTAAGCAGCCCCTGCTTCTCATGTTCCCAGGAGGTGGGGAACTGGGGGGCTGGAACCAGGGAGGACATCAAGAAGGGGTCAGGGAAACACCATGATCACGAAGGTCGTTCTTCCAGGGCAAACCTTATATCTATTGCCCTCCAGAGTTGCTGACCCCTGCGACTTCCCCAAACGTGGGAAAGAAACGCAATTGCATAATTTGTGGTGGCAGCAAATGTGTTTGAGCTTTCCCCTGGGGGAGAAAAAAGAAAGGGGAACCCTCATGGTGCCCACATGCCTGTCAGGGGGAAGTCTGCTCGGGTCATCAACTATGAGGAGTTCAAGAAGGCCCTGGAAGAGCTGGCGACCAAGAGATTCAAGGGGAAGAGCAAGGAGGAGGCCTTCGATGCCATCTGCCAGCTGGTGGCAGGCAAAGAGCCAGCCAATGTGGGCGTCACTGTAAGTGCCCTGCTGGTCTCGGGTGGCCACGGAATGGGGTGTGGGGAATCGTGGCTGTGGGTGGGAAGGGCTGGGCTCCCTCATCAGGTGCCCCTGGGGAAACTCTGTCCAAACAGAAAGCAAAAACAGGGGGTGCTGTAGACCGGCTGACGGACACCAGCAGATACACGGGCTCCCACAAGGAGCGCTTCGATGAGAGCGGCAAGGGCAAGGGCATTGCGGGACGGCAGGACATCCTGGACGACAGTGGCTACGTGAGCGCCTACAAGAATGCAGGCACCTACGATGCCAAGGTGAAGAAGTGAGGCTTGGGAAGACCGCCCTGCCAAGTGCGGCTGCCCCTGCCAGAGGCTCAGGCCTGGGTCTAAGGGGCACGTGGAGCAAGAGATCCTGGTCCCCTCCCTGCTGGACCTGCCACCCAGAGCTTCCTGCCTAGTCCCACTGGGCTGGCCCACCAGGCCTCTGACCCAGGCTGCTCTGCGGCCCCTTCCTCCTCCTCTTCCTGCTCCAACTTCTGTCCACCTGGGGACAGTCTGTGCCTGTAGCCTCATGACCCCAACCCAGCCCCAGGCATGGCTAACCCCTGACTGCTTGCCTCATATTTAAGCTGCTGCTCTGGCCAAGTGCCTAATTTTAACCCAGACCTCAATAAAGACACCTTTTGTACCAATATGGCCTGGTTGACGATGATGGGGGAATGACATTCACACTCCAGTGACCCCCTCAGTGTCATCACCCCGCTGCATGCCACACACTGCTAATCACTCCCCTTCCCCTGGCAGCCTTGCCCAGAAAAAGGCACTCATGAGTCCCCTTCTGTTAGCACAGAGCCATTCTGTCTGAGGAGACTCCTGGGGAAGTCCAAAGCCTTTTAGCTGGGCCTGACGGGAGTCCTGACATCAAAGCTTGCCTTCCTGTGACCAGTGCCTTGGGTTTGGAGAGTTGGCCCCCTCTCCACTTTCACAGCAGTAGGAGGGATGAAACAGCCGACTCAGCCTGGGCCAAGCATTGGCAGAGGCCCCAGAGCCAGGCATCAGCTTTCAGTCTGCGAACAGGGGCTACCGAGGCAAGTCATTTTGGGTTCTGGCTCAGAATACAGAAAACGCAGGGCCAGGCAGAACCTTAGAGAGTAGCTCATCCAGGCCGGGCGCGGTGGCTCACGCCTGTAATCCCAGCACTTTGGGAGGCTGAGGCGGGTGGATCATGAGGTCAGGAGTTCAAGACCAGCCTGACCAACATAGTGATACCCCGTCTCGATTAAAAATACAAAAATTGGCTGGGCATGGTGTTGCGTGCCTGTAGTCCCTCCCAGCTACTCAGGAGACTGAGGCAGGAGAATCGCTTGAATCCAGGAGTTGGAGGTTGCTGTGAGCCGAGATCACGCCACTGCACTCCAGTGTGGGCAACAGACACTTTGTCTCAAAAAAAAAAAAAAAAAAAAAAAAAAAAAAAGAGAGTAGCTCATCTGACTCCGTAATTTTATAGCTGAGGAAACATCCAGAGAGGTGGAGGGGCTTCTGCAGACTAGAGGCCAGACCATGCCTCTTGCCTCCCAGGCCAGGCTCTTTCTAGCAAGCCCCAGCATTGACTTCCAAAACTGGGACTGGCTGACTGGTGATAGGGCTTGGCACCCAACACTAGCCTGTGGTGGGAGCAGGGCATCCCTCAGTAAAGGGGCCTCCTCTTTGATGTCCTCCCATCTGTTCCACATCCCTAGTGGGGGAAGGGAGCCTCTCTGGTCCTGAGGATGCCTGGGCGTTTCCAGATCATCTCACTGAGGCTCTGGGTGTTTTGACAGAGCTATTCCCAAGCCAAGGCTTTCGGGCTACCTCTCCTTCCTTCCTTGCTGTGAAAATGGGGCTGGATGGGACTTTAGGGCCTACCCAGGAGAGGGTGGCTCCCAAAGGGGCTAGAAAAGGTATAAAAGGGCCAGTTCCCAAATGCCTGCTTTCCTGACCCAGATCACAAGACAAAGCAGCACCATTGTTTATCCTCTCATCCCACAGTCTATTGGGGGATGCTCCTGCCCAGGTGGCCCCACATCCCTTAAGCCCAGCTTTCCTTGGGGACAGGGGTGTAGCGGAATAGTATGGCTTGAGACAGGGATGTCAGGCGGGAATCGGCAGGCAGCAGGTGGGCACCTGGCCACAGCAGAGCCTTGCCTCACAGCGCGGCTCCTCCTGACCCAGCTGACCGCGTCTCCTTGAGTGGCCCAGGGAAGAGCTTCAGGGACCTTCAGGCAGATCCTCCCACCAGCAAATGTTAAGAGGTAGAATGCAAGGCGTTTAATGAAAAAAAAAAAATGCAGAGGAACAATTCCTCTAGCCCTGGAAAATTCGTTTGAATTGCAAGCTTAAAATGAACATAATAGGAGTGAAACCCAAATCCTCTGGCTTTCACCAGAACAGCCTCACAGGGAAACAAATTTAACTGTGTTCCAAATTGGGCCAGGCTCCCACTATTCCACTGCAGGTGACAGTACCATCCAATGGTAGAGGGCCCAGCGGCTTCTCCATTCCTGTGACTGGCAGTATGGCTTGGAAGAACACAGAGAGAATGGCTGAGCCCCAAAACCCCACGTCATAGGAGTAAAGCCGCCTCTTCTCGAAATGCCGTTATGAAGCCCGAGGGAATTTAAGGCCCACTCAGGGCTGGGAGGACCCTAAGACCAGACGGGTCTAGCAGAATCTGGCACATGACAGCCATTGCCCAGCAATGCCACTGCCCCTCCCCTAACAGCCTCCTTGTGGTTGAAAGCTTTGGATACCCTTGCTAGCAAAATCAGGTTAGACAAAGGAGAGGTTAGGATCAGAGGGACAGAGCCTTTAAAACCTGCTCTGTATGGCTGGGAGAACTCCCAACCTAAGAGTGGCTCTGCCCCTCCCTCTGGACATAGAACCTCCCTGAGGACCAGTCTCCATCCCAGACCTGTCCTGCTTTCTGGTGGTAGTGCCAGGCCTAGGGTGTGGGATTCTGCTCCACGTGTTTTCTGCTTGTTTAAAGGGTCCTCCGCTTTCCATGTTGAGTCCAGTTTGCCCTGAGCTCTTTGGCTCTCTCCTTAACATCGCAACCCCTACCCGTGCCCTGTAGAACAAGTGCCATACAGGGAAAAATCAGAAACAGATGACTTCCCCAGGAGTGGCCAGCAAACCTAGCAGGTGCCTGGCCTGGGGCAGGGTCGGTCACTTTCAATGACAATGGCAAATGGGGTGGAGGGTGGCACACACTGGGCCAGGCTCTTTGTTCCCCTTAGGAGGTGTCCTGAGTGGATTCTGGGGCTAGCACCATCAGGTGTTCATGGAGGAGGCAGGAAGGGCTGGGTTGGAGGAAAGCAGTGCATTATTCCTCCCTGCCCCCTGGTGTGTCCATTAGGTTGGCCTGTGCACTGGGCTGAGACCCTGAAATATAACAACTCAGGGATGCAAGGCCACTGGCTGATGCTCCCCTACCTGGGAGACAAAGACAGGCCCAGGAAAGAGGCAGCGGGGGTGCAGGGAGGCTGCTCTTACTGACATTTCCACAGAGCACAAGCTCGCTCTAGCTCCCTCAGAGCCTTGCAGCTCAAAGAAACTTCTGGCTCCTCTGTACAAGCTGCTTTTGGGAAGCCACTTAAAATCCAGAAGTCTGTGGATTTATAACTTAGAAACTTGTGACTGTCATGTCTTATTAGTATGGTGGTGGCTCTCCTTCCCTGCACAGCATGGAATCAGGGGTACAAGTAAATTATCTAATCCTTCCACCTGTCTCTCTCTCTGATGTGGCCCTGAAGGTGAAGAGAAGAACCATGTGGCATTAGGTTGAAAATCCTTCACTTTCTACACACTCTCTGGCAACATTAGCACGCTGGGAGGCCACTGAAGCAGAAACATACCTAGAACCACTTACATCATCTTTCCCCATTGATTTTTCAAATGCCCAATCAGGATTAAAAGTACAGGGCACCTGCATGTAAACTGGATGCTGAGCCCAAAGCTAACATATTCAGAAGCAGCATATCTAGTCCGGCCTGCCTCTGCCTCTTCTTTGGGCTGCCTAGCTCCGCTTTGGTCCCCCGCTACTTCACACATGATCAACCCATTCTCTTCTTCTCTCCTCCTGCTTCTTCTTCTTTCTTCTTCTTTTTTTTTTTTTTGGAGACAGGGTTTTGCTCTGTTGCCCAGGCTGGAGTGCAGTGGTGCAATCATAGCTCACTGCAGCCTTGAACTCTTGGGCTCAAGTGATCCTCATGCCTCAACCTCCCTAGTAATTGGGCCCACAGGCATGCACCACTGCGCCTTAACTTTTAAAATTTTTTTGTAGAGACGGAGTCTCACTATGTTGCCCAGGCTGGTCTCAAGCAATCCTCCCGCCTCGATCTCCCTAAGTACTGGGATTACAGGTGTGAGCCCCTATGCCTGGTCCTGAGAAAGCTTTTCAAACACAGTCTGTCACTCCTCTGCCTTCCCAATCTAAAATCTTCAAAGAGTGGTGCAACCTTGCTCCTGCTTACCTCCTCTCAGCCCCTCAGCTCCCTGAAGAAACCACGTCCCTTTCCATTTCCCGGCCTTCGCACATGCTGCTGCTCTCTGCAGCTTCTCCCCATTGCTCTTGCCCTCAGCCACATGCTTTGCCTAGTAACCTCTTCATGTCTCCCCCTTCATGAAAGATCACTTGCTCTGGGGACATTCTCATGACATTACACCTCTTCCATGTCCAACACTTCTATCCCTGCCCCACTATCCCCCTGTGGTGTTCCAGACTCTTCTGTGTACTCTTGGCCTGGGAGGCTCTGCATCCCCTCTACCTGCTACCGTTCTTACTCATTCTGCAGCATCCATTCAAACAAGCCTCACTGACACCTCCAATCCTACAGTGGCCATTACTCACTCTTTCTCTCTCTTCAGGGCATCTTTAGGCTTTTGTTTAGATCTATTTAGTACCAATTCGAAGCTTTGGGCCCCATCACATGAGTTTGCTTTTTTCCCTGACTAAATTGTTGGCTGCTCCAGGGCAGACACCAGGTGTTGTCAGCTTTTCACCATGGCGGGAGGTAATCAAACCCTGTTTGATGAATCTGGCGGATGTTCTTTTTTAACTTTCTACCACACAGTTTCAAATGACACAGGGGAAAAATGTCTAGTGTTTTTTTCCCTTTCAACATTTTCAGCCAAATGTCTCTATGCAATGTCTATACAATAGCTGGGACCAAGTGCCAACTATTTCTGTGGGCAGAAGGAAAGAATGACTCAACAGGGGGAGATAAATAGAGATATAAAAAGAAGGACCAATACAATCTAATCAGAATACATTTCTTTCTTAATCTTTGTGAGTACATACCACCATACTGGTGGCAATGGCGGTGAGAGCCTCTGTGGACCAGGGAAGCTGTGGTGTGAGTTCCATGCTAGCTCTATAAGCCAGGCTCTGGGGCAGCATCCAAGACGCTCTGTATTAGATACTGACCAGTCTCATGTGCCACTGGTGAGGAGGAAGACAACGTGCTTTTCCCAAAGGGCGATGATCTCCCCAGATGATGACCCTTCTCAGGAGGCAGGAGCGCTTTCCCGGAATAACCTTTTGGCTCCTTATTCAGCTGCTGCAGCAGATACTCATTAGTTACCACCAGGGATCTGAGGCCCAAGGGAAAAAGGCAGTCATGAAATCATAAAAGCAAGAGAGATACCATGCAGACCCAAAATGTCTCCCAAAGGCAAATGTGAAATGAAGTCACATCTTTAAATAGAAGGAACTGTCCAATTTATGATTGAGTTATTTTAAAAGCAGACTTAAAGTTTCTTCATTACAATTCTGTTTGATTATATTCCAGACTTACTGAAGCAATAATACATTTCCCATTTTATATATAGCTAGCGGTTGTTCTGTTCTTTCAAAAGCACTTTGATGATGAGGTAAGTAGAAGCCTTGGGTCACTGGCACCTGATCAGGCCTCCAATTTCTACCCCAAATCATAACATCTACTTCTAATCTATCCTGCCACTGCAATTCACTAATGGTGCTAGTCATGGCTGCATTGAACTCTGTATTACCATCTAATTTTTTTTTTCGAGATAGAGTTTCACTTTTGTTGCCCAGGCTAGAGTGCAATGGTGGGATCTTGGCTCACTGCAACCTCTGCCTCCTGGATTCAAGCAATTCTCCTGCCTCAGCCTCCCAAGTAGCTGGGATTACAGGTGTGCACCACCACACTCAGCTAATTTTGTATTTTTAGTAGAGACAAGGTTTCACCATGTTGGTCAGGTTGGTCTCAAACTCCTGACCTCAAGTGATCCACCTGTCTCAGCCTCCCAAAGTGTGGATTACAGGCTCGAGCCACTGCACCTGGCCTGTATTACCATCTAATGTTAAAAGCCATCCACACACTGGCAAAAAGAAAAAAATGTATGCACGATACTATTCATTATAGCACTATTTTTAATGGCAAAATATGTTAAACTAAATGTCCATCAATAGAAGACTAATTAAATAAGTGGTATATCATCCACACAACTGAGCACTATGCAGCTAGAAAAAGGAATGAGAACTAACTCTATACACCACTATGAATGCATTTTCAAGATGAAATGTTAAAGCAACACTGAGTCTTCTTATGTAATAATTAGGGAATACAAATATACACCCACACCTACAATAGAAGGATGGTGGGAGGGAAGGAAAGGACAGCAAAGACAGGAAAGGAAGCTGGATTTTTCTGGATTTATCTTATTTCATAGAGTTGACATTGGGACTGTGTAAATGTTTTACATAATTATGAAAACAAGATTAAATCAAAATTATTTTTAAAATTCCCTAAGAATCAAGGGCAAAATAAAACAAATGAACCTGTATGGTTTCAGAAGGATTATTTCTGGTTAATTTAAAAGAGAGTATTTTGACTGTACGTCACTAAAGCAATATATCCTAATGTTTTCAAAGTGTGGTCCCCAGACCAGTAGCAATAGCATCACCCAGAAGCTAATTAGAAATGCAGATGTTCAGTTCCCAACCCAGACCTGCTGACTCAGAAACTGTGGGATGAGGCCCAGCAATCTGCATTTCAACACGTCCTTCGAGTTAATTTGGAGGCATACCCAAGTTTGAGAACTGTATTATGCTATCCTCTTTACTTTTGTAATGTTTGAAATAATTATAATGAAAAGCTTTTCAGACAAATCCAGAATGGTTCTGGGTCTAATCCTCTGAATATAAAGTTAACCAAATGAAAATCAGGAAGTGAAGTAGAAGGCTTGAAGGTTTGGGGATGGAGTGCTTATATTTAAACTGCAGTGAAAGTCCTCGTAAATGTGTATTATCGGCAAGCCAAAATCTCAAGGGCTTCTCTAAATGTAGCCATAGTCTTGAAGTCTCTTCTGATTTTTTTTGCCTTGCCTGTATCCTGGGGTTGCTTTTTTTTTTTTTTTTTTTTTTTTTGAGACGGAGCCTCGCTCTGTTGACAGGCTGGAGAGCAATGGCGCGATCTCGGCTTGCTGCTATCTCCGCCTCCCAAGATCAAGTGATCCTCCTGTCTCAGTCTCCCCAGTAACTGGGACTACAGGCACGCGCCTTAAACTTTAATATGCTTACAAATCACCTGGGGATCTTGCTAAAAGTAGATTTTAATGCAGTAGGTCTGAGGTGAGGCCCCACTTGTTTAGCAAGCTCCCAGCTAATTTTTTTATTTTTAGTAGAGACGGAGTTTCACCACGTTGGCCAGGATGGTCTCGATCTCTTGACCTCGTGATCCACCTGCCTCGGCCTCCCAAAGTGCTGGGATTACAGGCGTGAGCCACCACACCCAGCCGGGGGTGCTGTTCTTTAAGGACTGATGCTGTTGAGCTCCTCTGAAGGAAACAACGCACTTTGAGTTCTTTATCACTCCCTGCCAAGTGCTCTTGATGTCTTTCGTGACCAATAGCAGGCACTTTCCAGAGGAGCCAGATGGCCGACTTTAGGGGTATGTACTGACCTCCCAAAAAAGTTAGCTGACCCAAACAAAGGTCCCATCAGATCCAGTGAGAAGCTAATTATCGAGGTGTTGCAACCCACCAATGCCAACAAAGACGATTAGTCCCTGATGTGTCCTGGGAAGCAGTAATTTTTATAATCCCTGAGCTAACTGGCCAGATACAGGAGGTTTACACACAGAATGGAGTTCACTTGCAAAGTGCATAGATATTAACTTTCCAAGCAAAACAAAGGAGATAAAAGGAGTAAATATCTGCTTCTAGAAGCAAGCTAGATAGACCCTCTCCTACCTCTGACTTTCATGGAGAATGGCAACTGTCTTCTCCAGCTTTTTCAGCTGGGCAAGCTCCTGGTTCAGGCAAGCCACCTGCATGGTCAGCTGTTGGTTTTTGTGCAGAAGATCATCTACAAAGGGCACAGTAGCCAGGGGTGAAAAGGATTCCAAGCTGCTAGTCTTTGAGCAGAATATAAGTATTCAGATGGACATCTTGAGAACTGGGGGCCCCATGGCACCCAACTTCACACTCCATTGCCTTACTTGGAGATAGGAGATATGGTGGCAAGAATACAGGGTTTGGCAACAGATATGAGTTAAAATTCAGCCACTTAATATTGCACGTGGGCCAGGCACGGTGGCTCACGCCTGTAATCCCAGCACTTTGGGAGGCTGAGGCGGGTGGATCACAAGGTCAGGAGTTCAGGACCAGCCTGGCCAAGATGGTGAAACCCCGTCTCTCCTAAAAATACGACAATTAGCTGGGTGTGGTGGTGGGCACCTGTAATTCCAGCTGCTCGAGAGGCTGAGGCAGAGAATCGCTTGAACCCAGGAGATGGGATGGAGGTAGCAGTGAGCACAGATTGTGCCACTGCACTCCAGCCTGGGCAACAGAGTGAGACTCCGTCTCAAAAAAAAAAATATTGCACATGTTGGTTCATTTTTCTGACTTTCATTAGAGCTAATAACCCTGCCCCTTAGCCCTGTTATGAGGATTCAATGAGACACCTACCCTCACTTAGCATAGGCAGTCAATAGATATTGGGTCTCACACCGTATTCTCCATTTTAGTTTGTTTTGTACATCCTTCACTCCCTACGTAGTATGTGAAAACATCTAGAATGGTGTCAGGCACACAGTAATAACTCAATTAATACTTGTAGAAACTGAATTTGTGGCTAAGACACTTATACCTAGCTTCCCCAATATACTACCATTACCTGCAATAATAAGGAGGTAAAAGAAGAGGAACTCCGGTTGTAATGATGCCAATCTTCTATACTTAAACTTTTTTTTTTTTTTTTTTTTTTTTCTGAGGCAGAGTTTTGTTCTTGTTGCCCAGGCTGGCTGAAGTGCAATGGCGGGATCTCAGCTCACTGCAACCTCCACCTCCTGGGTTCAAGCAATTCTCCTGCTTCAGCCTCCTGAGTAGCTGGGATTATAGGCACATGCCACCACGCCCTGCTAATTTTTGTATTTTTAGTAGAGATGGGGTTTCACCATGTTTGCCAGGCTGGTCTCAAACTCCTGACCTCAGGTGATCCACCCACCCCAGCCTCCCAAAGTGTTGGGATTACAGGCGTGAGCCACTGTGCCCAGCCTTAAACTGTAATATGCTTACAAATCACCTGGGGATCTTGCTAAAAATAGATTTTAATGCAGTAGGTCTGAGGTGAGGCCCCACTTGTTTAGCAAGCTCCCAGGTGATACTAATGTGGATCACATCTTGAGTAGGAGAGTTCTAGAAGGTGGAAAACAAGGCTGCAAAAGCTTATTTATCACCAGTAAGCCAAAATACTATACTGGGCCTCCTGGCTGAATGAAAGTAAGTATCTAGTGGACAAATACCTACTTTTAATTTCAAAGTAGGTAAGTGGAGACTGATATCTTGATTATTCGGGCCTGTGAGTATCAGATAGTGCTGAGAATTATTTATTTATTTAGTGCTGAGATTTAACAATGGAAATTCAGTGCTTCCACATCAGAACTTTGAAATCAAGTTCCTTGTATAAATCCATGTACCCATAATTTGCTTAGGGGTGCTAAGCTAGTCTGTCAAGCGCAAACTTTATCTAACATACTGGCCTAAACTATGCTGATAATAAAGTAGTACAATCAAGATTTAAAAAGGATATTATTTTTCACTTATCACAATGGCAAAATTTGAAAAAATGCCCAGTGTTGGCAGAGGGGAGTGAAAGGGGCATTCAAGTACACTGCTGAGGTGGGAGTAAACTGAAACAATTTTCTTGGGAGTGATTTATGTAACAAAAGCCTCAAAAATATCCCATCCTTTGACTCACTAATTCTACTTCTAGGACTGTCTCCTAGGAAAATAGTCTGAAATGTACACAAAGATTTCTGTACATAGACATTAATAGCAGCATTATTTATAATAGTATAAATATTAAATATTAGGACTCTCAGCTCCATCAAAAGGGAAGAAGGTTAATCTCAGAAAAGCATTTGATTCTAGGGTCTTTTCCTTCACTTCAGGTCTTTCTTTTGAATGTTTAGAAATAATTTAAAATCATTTTATTCTAAATATTATATAACCATTATAAAAACAACTATATAGAGGACAAAATAGATAAATATGGTATATTCTTGTGATACTGTAGAAATGCCTACACTATGAAATTAATAACATTAGGATGTAGAAATCAGGTCTGTGATTACTTGAGGTCAAGAGTAGGGGAAACTGACTACACGAAGGTATGAAGAAACTTTCTAGAAATGTTCTGTATTTTGATTGAGATCAAACTTAAAATGTGTGCATCTAATTATATGTAAATTATTTTTTAAAACCAGGACACAGTTTTATTATTATTATTTTTTGAGAGGGAGTCTTGCTCTGTTGCCTAGGCTGGAGTGCTCAGCTCATTGCAACCTCTGCCTCCTGGGTTCAAGCAATTCTGCTACCTCAGCCTCCCGAGTAGCTGGGATTACAGGGACTTGCCACCACGCGCAGCTAATTTTTGTATTTTTAGTAGAGACAGGGTTTCACCATGTTGGCCAGGCTGGTCTTGAACTCCTGAGCTCAAGTGATCCGCCCACGTTGGCCTCCCAAAGTGCTGGGATTACAGGAATGAGCCACTGCACCCGGCCTATTTTTATTATTATTTTTCTTGAGACAGGGTCTCTCTTTCACCCAGGCTGGATTGCAGTGGCATGATCAAGGCTTACTCTAACCTTGAACTGCTGGGCTCAAGTGATCCTTCTGCCTCAGCCTCTTTGGCTCTATAGGTGCACACCACTATGCCTGGCTAATTTCTTATTTTTTGTAAAGACGGATTCTCACTATGTTTCCCAGACTGGTCTCAACTCCTGGACTCAGTCAATCCTCCTGCTTTGTCCTCCCAAAGTGCTGGGATTGCAGGTGTGAGCCACTGCACCTGCCCAGCCACAATTGTAAATTTGGAGTTAAAAATATAGAGAGGTATGGTAGAAGAAAATATACCAAAAACACTAATGGAAGTTATTGCTGGATCATGGGGTTATATTTTCCTTGTATTTTCCAAACTTTGTATAAAGAACATGTTCTTGGTGTTATAATCACAAAAGCATGTGTCATTCTCAAAATTAATGGCAATAGTAACAACATTTGTACATGCTTTCCACTGACAAGAGCTTCATCTGGTAACTCAAGCCACCTGCATTACAATTCTCTGAGGCAAGATGATTGTTTCTGTTAACTGCCAGGAAAACTGATGACCAAGTAGGCCAAAGGCAGCCACGTGAGCTAGCATGATGAAGGTTACTAAATGGGTCATCTATAAACAAACAGTTGTCTTGAGAGGCCTCATATATCATGGCTTTCCTCAACTTACCATAAGTATGTGACTGTTGCCCACTCACAATTGAGATGGCAGCACCTTCCTCCAACTGTTGAATTTTTTCTGACAAAATGAGGTTTTCCTCCAGCACTCTGACCAGTTTTTGCTTCAAACTTTCCTTTAGATTAGAAAACAAAATACAAATACATTAAGAATCTGACATTCTAGGCTGGGTGCCGTGGCTCACGCCTGTAATCCTAGCACTTTGGGAGGCTGAGGTGGATGGTTTGCCTGAGCTCAGGAGTTCGAGACCAGCCTGGGCAACACGGTGAAACCCCGTCTCTACTAAAATACAAAAAATTAGCCAGGCATGGTGGTGTGCACCCGTAACCCCAGCTACTCGGGAGGCTGAGACAGGAGAATTGCTTGAACCTGGGAGGCGGAGGTTGCAGTGAGCTGAGAAAGTGCCATTGCACTCCAGCCTGGGCAACAGAGCGAGAATCCGTCTCAAAAAAAAAAAAAAAAAAAAAAGAATCTGACATGCTAAGGTGTGTTTAGAGAACTGAAAGATCTTTTCCTCTATTTAGTGATAAACTGATTGGAAGTCAGCATCTCTTTCTCACTAGAATTTTAATTCATTGGTAAATACAGCTCAAAAGCAGTAAACAAATTTATTACATGGACTAGCAATCTTTCTTATGAGTTATCTACTACTCTTGCAGAACAAACATTTGTCATTTTGACAAATGGCCAGCATTCTTAGTGATCTATCTAAAGTTTCTAGAACTGAACTTGGTGTCTGAAAATCCTCTAATGTTAAGAAAAGGCGGCTGAGGCCGGGTGCAGTGGCTCAGGCCTGTAATTGCAGCACTTTGGGAGGCTGAGGCAGGCGGATCATGAAGTCAAGAGATTGAGACCATCCTGGCCAACATGGTGAAACCTTGTCTCTACTAAAAATACAAAAATTAGCTGGGCATGGTGGCGTGTGCCTGTAGTCCTAGCAACTTGGGAGGCTGAGGCAGGAGAATCGCTTGAACCCGGGAGGCGGAGCTTGCAGTGAGCCGAGATCGCACCATTGCACTTCAGCCTGAGTGACAGAACAAGACCCCATCTCAAAAAAAAGAAGAAAAAAGGCGGCCAGGTGCAGTGGCTCATGCCTGTAATCCCAGCACTTTGGGAGGCTAAGGTGGGTGGATCACCTAAGGTCAGGAGTTTGAGACCACCTCGGCCAACATGGCGAAACCCTGTCTCTACTAGAAATACAAAAATTAGCTGGGCATGGTGGTGGGCACCTGTAATCCCAGCTACTTGGGAGGCTGAGGCAGGAAGAATTGCTTGAACCTGGGGGGCAGAGGTTGCAGTGAGCCGAGATCGTGCCACTGCGCTCGAGGCTGGGTAACAGAGCAAGACTCTGCCTCATGAAAAGAAAAGAAAAGAAAAGAGAAAAGGGAACAAAGCATGGGGATATGAGTTGCTTCTTCCTTTCCTAGAGCCAGCAGGCTGATGCTCTAGAATGGCCCTTAGCCCCTGGTTCAGGGCTCTCAGCTCGCTTAGAAGGGAGGAAAGACAATCCCAGATACATTTGCTGGGGTGAAACCATAACCTTCAAGAACATTATCCTAAACATTTCCACTCTAGAGCTATTTTTTGGAATTTTTGTTTGTTTCTTCTTATTTCAAGTCTTTCTTTAGAATTTTTGGATTAGGGTTAGGATGAGGGAGTCATCCCTGCAGAACTTCCAAGTTGTCCCTGTCCTAGCAAGTTTTGTATTCCTGCTGTGCCCAGACTTTTGCCATATTTTGGTTAGGTGTTCACGGTGATGCTGATCATTAAGGCAGAGATGTTGTAGTTCTGCTGCTCTGTCCTTTTCTAAAGGGAGATGAGAGGGGCATACCATGTCATTAGGGACCAGCTGCGCAGCCTCCTTCAGTTCAAGCTCCCTCCTGCAGAATGCTTTCATCGTGTCTTCAGGATGTGAGCAACACCTCGGCTGAGAAGGAGCCGGGACTACCAAAGACAGAAGCAAATCTCGGGCAGGACCTGCCAAAAATTCAGGATGGGCACACAGGCCAATCTTAAAAGCTAAGGCACAGCATTCCTAGTCAGTAACTACCAGCTCTCTGGATCAAATAGGCTAATGTATTATCTCCTTTTTACCAGAACTTAGTAAGTGGCAGAAAGAGGTGTTTTTAAGAGGACAAGAAATTATATCCTACATCCTCTATGGAGAAACAACAGCAGCCCCTTGTGAGTGCATAATTCCTTAGTCATTGATTAGTGGCCCTGGGGATAATTTCCTACAAAATGGGAGCAATAGGTCAACATGAGAAGGAAAATAACTGTGTTAGGATTTCTTCTTCTGTATGTCCCTTTAGATATTTTTTAAAAAGTTTTTTTAACCCCAAACAACGTTTAAGTTTCTAGTTTTTTTGTTTTTTTCATTTGTTTGTTTGTTTTCCGAGACGGAGTCTTGCTCTGTTGCCCAGGCTGGAGTGCCATGGTGTGATCTCGGATCACTGCAAACTCCACCTCCTGGGTTCAAGCAGCTCTCCCGCCTCAGCCTCCCCAGTAGCTGGGATTACAGGCGCACACCACTACGCCTGGCTAATTTGTGTATTTTTAGTAGGGACAGGGTTTCACCATGTTGGCCAGGCTGGTGTCGAACTCCTGACCTCATGATCCACCCACCTCGGCCTCCCAAAGTGCTGGGATTACAGGCGTTAGTCACCGCATCCAGCCAAGTTTCTAGTTTATATTTAAAATTTTACCACCAACGAAATTTCCTTAATTATTCTTCTATTAAATAGCCAACAAACATGTTAAGGATCAAAAAGAAAATAACAACAAATAAATGCATGAAGCCAACATTTGCAAAACTGTTTTCTCCCATGTTTCTAAAGAACGAACCCCTAAAGGGAGTCCAGGTCATTTACTCATTCGAGATTTTCAAATCATAACATTCTAACAGTCATCTCAAAACTCTGATGATCAAACCCAATTTCTGTTGTATTCATTATTGGCACTTTCCCAAGGATCACAAAATCTTTAAAAAAATTAATATAGTCACTAATTTACATATCTGGTTACTCTATATATTACCAAAGACTAGCAAATATTTACAGGAGGAACAAAACAATCATTATAAAATAATTAGAAGAGGTGCTGCTTTTAAAAAATAATGTAGAATATGAGAAAAATGTAGATTTGTTAACTATGATGTTTCTGAGATGTTTCAGGATGTGATCATGAGAACAACTTTCCTTGCAAGTGAAGAGAGCTAAGTGGCTTTTAGCAGAACACAGAGCAGAGGAAAAGTCCAACTCCTGTCCAAGGACAGAGAATGCATTCACTCACCGAGAAACTTCTTGTTGAGGAGGAGGGAGCCGGAGCCATTCCAGTGCTTATCCACAAGCTCCAGGAGCTGTCTGAGGACAGTGGCCACATGGGGGGTTCTGGCAGAGATGGGGGGACTGTGGTTTCCAGCCAAACCGTGCAAACTACCCAGGTCACTAGAGAGAGGCTCAAGAGAAAAAAAAAAGCAAAAACAAACAAACAAAAAACCCAACCATTTGTCATTCTTACACAATAAAGGAAGTAAGAATTTAGACATTGAGACTTTTTTTTTTTTAATTTTTTTTTGGAGACGGAGTCTCGCTCTGTCACCCAGGCTGGAGTGCAGTGGTGCGATCTGGGCTCACTGCAATCTCTGCCTCCCAGGTTCAAGCGATTCTTGTGCCTCAGCCTCCCAAGTAGCTGGGATAGGCGTGTGCCACCACACCCGGCTAAGTTTTGTATTTTTAGTAGAGATGGGGTTTCACCATATTGGCCAGGCTGGTCTCCAACTCCTGACCTTGTGATCGTCCCGCCTCAGCTTCCCAAAGTGTTGGGATTACAGGTGTGAGCCACTGTGCCTGGCCTAGACTTTTTAAAAAGTGAAAAAGATGATTTCATCTTTCAGTTTGGATTTGAGTAGCATAATATTATTTATGTCTAAGACAAAAACATAAGATATTCCAGGATAATATCAAAGGTAACAGTATCTTGTATCATAATTTTTAATAGAAATTTTCAGGCCAGGCCCGGTGGCTCATGCCTGTAATCCCAGCACTTTGGGAGGCCGAGGCAGGCAGATCATTTGATCTCAGGAGCTCGAGACCAGCCTGGCCAATATGGTGAAATCCTACCTGTACTAAAAACACAAAAATTAGCCAGGCATGATGGTGGGCAGCCTGTAATCCCAGCTACTCAGGAGGATGAGGCAGGAGAATTGCTTAAACTCGGGAGGCAGAGGTTGCAGTGAGCCGAGATCGTGCCACTGCTCTCAAGCCTGGGCAACAGGGCAAGACTATGTCACAAAATAATAATAGAAATTTTCAGAAGAAAATTAAAAATTTGTTGTTTGACACCTACATCTATGGTTCAATATGTTATATAATAGAAATATTAAATTGCAGAACATTTTAAAAATAGTATATTTTATAAAACAAATGGGAGTAATATAAAAAATTACTCTAAGGTTATATTTAATATATTAATATATAATAAACATAAATATTCTATAATATTTTATGTAAGACAGGGTCTAGCTTTGTACCCAGGCTGGAGTGCAATGGTGTGATCTTGGCACACTGTAGTCTTGAACTCCTGGGTTCAAGCAATCCTCCTATCCCAGCTTCTCGAATAGCTGGAACTACAGGTGTGCACCACCGTGCCTGGCTAATTCTATATTTTATTTATGTGTTTATTTATTTTTTGAGATAGAGTCTTGCTCTATTGCCCAGGCTGGACTGTAGTCGCATGATCTCAGTTCACTGCAACCTCTGCCTCCCAGGTTCAAGCAATTCTCATGACTCAGTCAACCCAAGTAGCTGGGATAATAGGTGTGCACCACCATGCCCAGCTAATTTTTGTATTTTTAGTGGAGACAGTGTTTTGCCAAGTTGGCCAGGCTGGTC
The DNA here is from genome assembly GCF_000001405.40 of Homo sapiens. Taxonomy (NCBI): domain Eukaryota; kingdom Metazoa; phylum Chordata; class Mammalia; order Primates; family Hominidae; genus Homo; species Homo sapiens. The sequence continues at coordinate 67,373,811 of NC_000016.10, read as the reverse complement.
AAAAACTCCTGGCCTAAGTGATCTGCCTGCCTTGGCCTCGCAAAGTGCTGGGATTACAGGCATGAGCCACCGTGCCTGGCTTTTTTTTTTTTTTTTTTTTTTTTGAGACAGAGTCTTGCTCTGTCACCCAGGCTGGAGTGCAGTGGCCCAATCTTGGCTTGTTGCAACCTCTGCCTCCTAGGTTCAAGTGATTCTCCTACCTCAGCTTCCTAAGTAGCTGGGACTACAGGCGTGCATCACCACACCCAGCTAATTTTTTGTATTTTTAGTAGAGATGGGGTTTCACCGTGTTGGCCAGGATGGGCTCAAACTCCTGACTTCAGGTGATCTGCCTGCCTCGCCTCCCAAAGTGCTGGGATTACAGGTGTGAGCCACTGTGCCCGGTCCATGCCCGGCTTTAAAAAAAAAATGTAAAAAATGCTCTTCTTGGAAATTTTCTGACTTACACCTTTCAGAAATTAAAAAGTATATTTCTTTTTTATTTATATTCAAGCAGCTCTTTTAAAGCTTTCCATAAAGAGAAAAATAATGTCTAACAGAAAAAAAGGAGCTTTTAAGATCGTCTAGAAAAGCATATTGAAATTTTAACATTTATTTATTTGTTTGTTTATTTATTTTTTTTTGTAGAGAGAGGGTCTCCTATGTTGCCCAGGATGATCTTAAACTCCTGGCTTCAAGTAATCCTCCACCTTGGCCTCCCAGAGTGTTGGGATTACAGGTGTGAGCCACAGCATCTAGCCAGATTTTAACAATATAACATGAAATAGAGGTTAAAAAATTTCCTAGAGCATGTCTGATTAATATAACATCCCAAATATGCTAAATGTTGCTGGATCTTCACTCTGAATACAGTAACACACAGTTAGTGTTCTTGTCTGGTAAAATAGGCATAGGGGACTGAGAATGAAAAGAGGCCAAAAAACTAAATAAAACATTACAAGACTGCCCCCTTTGGTGCACAAAAATTACAGCCACTTCCAAAGTTCTGAAAACTGAATAGGAAGTCTTTAACAGTAGAAAACAAAAACAAAAAAACACTCCAAACAAACAAACAAAAACCCTGTAAACCCACCCCAATGTGTAAGATTTCCAACAACTGAAAAATAAGTAACTAGAAATGGCTGTTTTTGACCAAATCTCCTGCTTCCTTACAGGGCAGTAAATTATTAATTGACAAATGGTTCCTATGGCAAAGGTTCTTGGGTACAAGGGAAGAGAAGACTCTAAGAGCTGGGGTTCCTCTAACCACATGGATGGATCTTCCTCATGATGGAAGTAGAACCTGGAGAAAAATGAACATTCAAAAAGACAAGAGAGGAGAGTAGAAGGCATTCTCCACAAGGGATGTATGCAAAGGCAGGAGCAAAACTTGTTAAGAAGTGATAATGATAAAAGTTTTATTGTATGACACTATCATACTAGGATATTTTATTTTATTTTATTTTTTTTTTTTTGGAGACAGAGTCTCACTCTGTTGCCTAGGCTGGAGTGCAATGGCGCGATCTCGGCTCACCACAACCTCCGCCTCCCAGGTTCAAGTGATTCTCCTGCCTCAGCCTCCCAAGTAGCTGGGATTACAGGCAGGTACCACCAAGCCCGGCTAATTTTCTATTTTTAGTAGAGATGGGATTTCTCCACGTTGCTCAGGCTGGTCTCCAACTCCCGACCTCAGGTGATCCGCCCACCTCGGCCTCCCAAAGTGGTGGAATTACAGATGTAAGCCACCGTGCCTGGCCACTAGGATATTTTATAAAATGAATTACATGTATATTGTTTATGTGGGAATGGTTCTTGATTTTTAAATCATTCTCTGAACTAAAAATCCCTTGGATAATCTAATTCATCTTCTGTTTGCTTCTACATTGGAAAAAAATTTTAAATCCTTTTAACTTCTAGACAGAAAAGCAAAGCAATGCTTTTATTACTATTATTTTTTACGAAACTGAGTCACTCTGTCACCCAGGCTGGAGTGCAGTGGCGTGATCTCGGCTCACTGCAACCTCCACCTCCTGGGTTCAAGTGAGTCTCCTGCCTCAGCCTCCCGAGTAGAGTAGCTGGCACTACAGGCGTGCGCCACCACACCCAGCTAATTTTTGTATTTTCAGTAGAGATGGGGTTTCGCCATGTTGGCCTGGCTGGTCTTGAACTCCTGACCTGAGGTGATCCACCCACTCAGCCTCCCAAAGTGCTGGGATTACAGGCATGCGCCACTGTGCCCAGCCTGAAGCAATGCTTTTATAAGAACTATTTCATGTGTGGCCGAAGCAAATGTGTAAATATGATGAGACTGTAAACATAGATGCTACAGAGTTCAATCTTCAGCCGGAAGTAGATCAGGGACAGTTCTCCCTGTGATATAGGTGAGAAAATGGCAGCAGTGGGGGAATGACTTTCCCAAGGGCAGAAGGCTCAACAGGTGTTAGCTTGGCAGTATTAGCCACCAGCCTCTGAAAATCTCTTTGAATTTCTAGCCCTGTTGGTCAGAACCACCTCCATTCCCAACAGAACCCTCATTCTGGTCTCGAACCTGACCTGTTTCTCGCACAAACACAAACAAGCCAACACTTGCCTCGCTGCCTGTAGCATCTTGGAAACCATGCTTTAGATTCAGGTTGGCAAGGATATTGTCCTTCCATTTGAATCCTCTCTTCGATGGGCTTAGTGACCTCTTGGTAAAAATCTTTCTGTGTTCTGAAGTCCCAGGAGACAACAGCAGTGTCCGCAGAGGAGTTGTCCTGTTTCCCAGGACAGCGTTGTTTGGGACAGAACCATGTGCTGGTGTTAAATCATCCAGGCTGGTAGATAATTGTTGCTCTACATTGACAAGTACAGCAGGGTCACTGTTGAAATGGGTTGTGGCATACAGATCTGTGGAGGAAACAGGCTAACAGATGAACCTGCCCTCTGACTGCCTCATGTCTCACTTCTATCCATACCTTGCCTGTAGTCCAAGGGTCATAATAACCACTCCCTAGCATACATCCTCAACTCTCTGACAAAACTCCAACTCTGGTTAAATCTAACCGTCCACATGTTCCAAGCCTACACCAGAGCAGGGGAACATAGCTGGAGAAAAAAACGCATCTGTTCTGACCTTTCTCACTTTAAACTCATGACCACTATTGTAACTGCGCCCTTAGTGGTGCCCAGTTCTTCTGATTTTTTTTTTTTTTTTTTTTTTGAGAGAGTCTCGCTCGATTGCCCAGGGTGGAGTGCAGTGGCACAATCTCGGCTCACTGCAACCTCTGCCTCCTGAGTTCAAGATATTCTCCTGCCCCAGCCTCCCGAGTAGCTGGGTCTACCCACCATGCCCAGCTAATTTTTGTATTTTTAGTAGAGATGGGGTTTCACCATATTGGCCATGCTGGTCTTGAACTCCTGGCCACAAGTGATCTGCTGGCCTTGGCCTCCCAAAGTGCTGGGATTACAGGTGTGAGCCACTGTGCCCGGCATCTCCTAATATAATACTCTGGCCAATTTACTCTTCTATTCTCTGAGACAAATATTTCACATCTCTCTTCAAACTTCCAACACCTTCTCTTCCCTCCTTACACCCAGGTGCCAACCTCCTTTATTTCCCTGAGAGGCAATCAAAGAAAACATCTACATGATCACACCATCAAATCTACCAACTCTCCTGTATCTGTATTAATAAATTCTCTGCCTTCCTTCTTATTACAATAGATGAACTATCTGTGCTTTTATTTAAAACCAGCCTCTCCACTGGTGGACTGGATTCCATTTTCTTGTAACGGTCCCTTTTCTCCCTGGCATCATCAGTTTTCCCTCTACTAGATCACTTCTACCAGGATCTCCTTGACCCCATCCCTTCTCCAGCTAGTTCCATTTCTCTGCTTCCCTTTACTGCAAAACTCCTTGAAGGGGTTGATATGGGTTGGCTGTGTCCCCACCCAAATCTCATCTTGAATTGTAGCTCCCATAATTCCCACATGACATGGGAGGGACCTGGTGGGAAGTAACTGAATTATGGGGGCGGGTCTTTCCCATGCTGTTCTTGGTGATAGTAAGTCTCACGAGATCTGATGGTTTTATAAAGGGGAGTTCCCCTACACAAGCTCTCTTGCCTGCCACCATGTAAGACGTGACTTTGCTCCTCATTCACCTTCCACCATGATTGTGAGGCCTCCCCAGCCATGTGGAACTGTGAGTCAATTAAACCTCTTTCCTTTATAAATTACCCTGTCTTGGGTATGTCTTTATTAGCAGTGTGAGAACAGACTAATACAAGGGTTGTCTATATTCAGTAACTTTACTGCCTTGCTTCCAATTTTTTTCTTGAATTCACCTCAGTGAGGCTTTCATTCTCATGCATCCCCTGAAGCTGTTCATTAATGTCTTCTTCATTGCCAAATACCATAATCACTTCTCAGTCCCAGGCTCCCTCCCTCCCTATCAGGAGAAGCATTTGACCTAGCATTGATCACTCCCTCCTTCTTGAAACACATTCTTCACTTGGCTTCCAGGATATTACTTCCTCTTGGCTTTTTCCCCTCTATCTTACTGGCTGCTGCTTTCTCACTCTCCATGATGGTTTCTCTTTATCTACTTCTAATTGTTGGAGGGCTCAGGACCAGTCCTCAGATCTCTTTTCTATCTATATTCACTCTTTTGGTGAGATTTCATCCAGTCTCAGAGTTTTACTGTCACCCATACACTTATAATCTCCAAATTTATATTTCCAGCCATACCTTCTTCCCTAAACTCTGGACTAGTATGTCCAATTACCAAATTGGCATCTCTGGAAAGTTTTAATAAGGCACCTGAAACTTAAGATGTCCAAAACCCAACTCTTGATATTTATCTTAAAATCTCTACCTCCCATTCTTTTCCATCTTAGTAAATGAAAGCTCTGTTCTTCTAGTTATTCAGACTCAAAACCACAGAATTACCATTGACCCTCTTTCTCCCACACTTTATCCTGGATCCATCAGCAAACCATGGAGTGTCATCTTCAGAACATATTCAGAATCTGACTACTTCTCACCACCTCCACCGCTATCTGTCTAGCCCAAGCCATCATCATCTGTTACGCTGATTCCAATCTCTCCAAAGCATTTTAAAAAAATTTCTACCCTCCTCCCCATAGTCTATTCTCAGCCCAACATTCACAGTAATTCTTAAGTGAGATCACATCACTCCCTTGCTACAAACTCTCCAACTCCTTCTGATCTCACCCAGAAAAAAGTCTGGCATCTTTCTTACTTCATCTATACACTCTACTTTCTTTGCTGAGGCCGCACTGGCCTCCCTGAGGTTCCTTGTACATGAAAAGTATGTTCCAGCCTCAGGACTTTTGCATTTATTCCCACTGTCTAGAAAGTTCTCCTCCCAGACCCACATGGCTTATACTCCCACTTCATTCAAGTCTCTACTTTTATGGTGCCTCATCAGAGAAGCTTTCTGGACCATTCTATCTAAAGCATCGCCTCCTCCTTATCACGCTCTATGCCCTTATATAATTTTTTCACAGCATTTACCATAACCTGACATATATTTGCATGCTAAAATGTTTATCATGTGTCTTACCCCATGAGAATGTAAGCTCTATGAAAGTAGGGACTGTCTTCTTATTATGGTAAAATATACATGGAACTTTATTTTGGTTGCTACTTTATCTCCAGAGCTAGAACAGTGTCTGGGACACTGTAGGTGTTCAATGAGTTTGGTTGAATAAATAAGTAACAGAAGAGTGATCTCTGTCACTAACTCTGAAACTAACTTCTGTTTTTGTTTTCAAGATGGAGTCTTGCTCTGTTGCCCATGGAGTGCAGTGGCCCGATCTTGGCTTACTGCAACCTCTGCCTCCCAGGTTCAAGCAATTCTCCTGCCTCTCAGCCTCCTGAGTAGCTGGGATTACAGGCGCATGCCACCATGCTCAGCTATTTTGTGTGTGTGTATTTTTGGTAGAGACGGGGTTTCACCATGTTGGCCAGGCTGGTGTCGAACTCCTGACCTCGTGATCCACCCGGCTCAGCCTCCCAAAGTGCTGGGATTACAGGCATGAGCCACCGTGCCCAGCCTGAAACTAACTTCTTCTGAAAGTAAGTCAGAATAGAAGTGACTGTGAGTAAAGACTAGATGTCCTGGGATGCTGCTTAACTAAAATAGCAAGTAGCTGCAATGCTCACTTTCCTACAAATTTTCCCTAATATATATATCATGTTAAACTCATACCCTACAGATTTCTCGAGGTTCCAAGAACCACTGGTGACCCTAAAATACAACTTAAGAAATGCTAATACAATTTCAGAAGGGTTAATTCCAAAATTTTCACTTATATCTTCTATCTTCATGCCTATGAAGAAGACCTGTAAACTGACAGGAAGCTGTTACCTGAACTAAGCTTCAAAAGCCTTCCAGTGCTGGAGTCAGGGTTTGACAGAGAAGTTAATAAGTCTCCACAGGAATGTGAAGCGGTGGTCTTTATGTCATTTGAAGGCTTTATGCTATACTCTTGATAGTTCTTGCTTCTCTGAGGCCTTTTACCAAGACTTCCATGCAGGGATAGAGTTTGAGAATAACAACTGTCATAATTTTCCAGACCAACATCTGAAGGTAACTGATAGGGATGGATCTGGCTAGAATCACCCACATCCAGGCATTTACTCAATGAGGCATCATGGGTAAGATGAAAAGTATCAGGTTTTGGTATCAATTCCTTTTCTGGAGAAGAACCTGAAGACTTATTGTCCAAAAAAGATACTTGGTACCCTTCTCTAGTCATCTTCTCTGGGGATCGGACTGTGGACTGACGAGGCGAGTAGTGTCTGAACTCTAAACACCACCAAGGCAAAAAAACAAAACATGATAAGAATTCTTTGTGGCCTAGCTGGGAGTACCTCTGTTCACTGAACATATTCTCTGTCTGCCAGAAACACCTCTCAGGAAGAGGTGGTTTATAATTCTGATCAATGGTAGCATAAAGTGATGAAAGGACTTCCACATGGAACACCACCACCACCAATAAAATGTGGGACTTTTGTGTAAACAGTAAAGAATCTATAACATTCTGGAGACAAATTCTGTTTCTTTTTTTTTTTTGAGACAGGGTCTCACTCTGTCGCCCAGGCTGGAGTGCAGTGGCGCAATCTCAGCTCAGTGCAACCTTCGCTTCCCAGAGGGAAGCGATTCTCGTACCTCAGCCTCCCGAATAACTGGGATTACAGGCACATGCCACCATGCCCAGCTAGCTTTTGTATTTTTAGTAGAGATGGGGTTTCACCGTGTTGGCCAGGCTGGTCTCCAACTCCTGACCTCAAGTGATCCACCCGCCTCGGCCTCCCAAAGTGCTGAGATTATAGGCAAGCACCACCATGCCCGGCTAATTTTTGTATTTTTTGTAGAGATGGAGTTTCACCATGTTGGCCATGCTGGTCTCAAACTCCTGACCTCAGGTGATCCACCTGCCTCGGACTCCCAAAATGCTGGGATTACAGGCATGAGCCACTGTGCCTGGTCCGAAAAAAATTTTTTTAATTAGCCAGGTGTGGTGGTAGTCCTAACTACTTGGGAGGCTGAGGTGGGAGGATTGCTTGAGCCCAGAAGTTTGAGGTTATTATGAGCTCTGATTGTGCCACTGTACTGTACTCCAGCCTGGGCAACAGATTGAGAACTTGTCTCAAAAATAAAAAAAATTAAAAAAAAAGAGAGAAGGAAGTGGGAAGAGAGAGAGAGAACGAACTGCCTAGAAATCTACACCCATCTAAAATACCCTTCAAGAATGATAGTGAAATAGAGGCATTATCACACAAAGAAAAGCTGAAAGAGCTCATCACTAATAGACCTACATTAAAGTATGTGCCACTGTAAGGCAAAGGAAAATGATATCAGAAGGGAAGCCTGGGAAGAAAAAGGAAGTGAACAAACAGTAGTAAATTAATGGATAGATTTAAATCTACACTGACTATATAAAAAATAATATCTTGTGAAGTCTTTAAAAATATAGAGAATTAAAATTCATAATAACAACATATAAGTCAGGAAAGAGTAAATGAAATAAAGTACTGTACGGTTTTTGAATTATCCAAAAGAAGACTTAAGGTATTAACAATTTAAAAATTATGTAAGTTAAGGATACATATTATCATTTGGGGAATAATACTAAAAGTATAGAAAATGTATATAACTTATAAACCAGTAGAGAGAAACAAATGGATGAATAAAAAATAATAAATACAAAAGAAGGCAAGAAAGGTAACAAAAAGAATAGTCATCCAACGCAAAAAAAATCAAGAACAAAGGAGGTCAGAATATGCACTCTTTAAGCAGAAAAGTCTCACAGGTTACTAATCATCCAGGACAGTCCCTCACAAAAGCAGAAATTAGTTGACTAAATAGGGCCCCCATATTGAGACATCTTCATCTCCCAAATCCCATCACATCCAGACTTCTCTGATTAGTGTGGGGGAAAAATACTCAGTGAGCAAAATATTTACCATCTTCCTGGTGATTGTCACTTGGCATCTCCCTTCTTGCTACTTCCTGTGTCTAAAAAAAGTTCGAAAGTTTAGGTAGAAGGAAGTCCATGCGCGTTCAAATGTGAGCTTATTAGACTAGGGGTTCAGAATACCTTCCTATTAATGGGAAAGACTATCCTTGCAAGCTAGGGAAACAGACCTTTAAGCAAAGGTCCAGTTTAAGTCTATTTTAAAACAGTCACAATACAAGGAGATTCCAGAGTTGCTTGAATATCCTTAGGAAGTAAAGGACATAGCAAACAATGACTGTACTTTCTCTGCCTTAGATAGCTCATAGAAGGTAGATGAGGGCCACTTTCCAGCTTTGCTTTTTCTGTTTAAAGGACTCTCATGCTTATTTTACCAGCTGATAAAGCTATCAACCACCATAGCTAAGGGGGTTTTAATAGGCTGAAAATTAATCTGAGGCATAACTAGGCAAGGACTGAAGGAAAACAGAAAGCCATCTAGGGTTTGCTTTTAAAAAAATTATCTTAAAGTATTCAGTGTCTTTTTGGTAGTCATGGAGAGAAAGAAATCCCACTTCCTTATTTCTTAAACTAAAAAGATACAGCAAACTATTCAATTTCCTTTTTTCTCACTTCAAGAAGTAATTTCAGAGAAGTTTTTTTGTTTGCTTTTTTATCTAAGAAGTGCTATTTAACTGGAGATTGCAATACTCTTTGTCTCCATTTCCTTAAGTCAATATGGTTTTAAAAAATGGTAACTGAGATTGTTTCTAAGTCACCCAAGTATAATCTCCAAAAACAAAGAAACTGATTAAATGCTTATCTTTTTAAAAGATGAAGGTAGTCTATACCCAAACTGAAAAGAATAGTACTAACTTTTTACTAATTCAGTCTTGATTGTCCAAATTATGGATTAATCAGAGCCTTTGCTGCTTTTCTTTCTCCTCCTGGCTATTTTCTACAATTTTATTGCTCATAAATGTATCAAAGAAAAGGCACAGAAAGGGAGAAGGTGAATATAAAGTAGTCAGTTCTGCTCCTTGTATCATATTCACTCACACAAACAAGTCTTACATAATGGTTGCATCCCTTCTGTCACCAATTTTTTCACTAAAACCTTATTTTTCACTCCTCCCCCATCTTGCATGATCTCTATCTTCCCATTGCCCACAACTTCCATGCCATCTTTACCCCTTAAACTTTACTTTTTCTGTTATACTGCAGAGGCAGCTTTGGGAAAGTCATACCTAAAATGTAAGACTCAGTATTAAAGGGTGTAGGTAGAAAATGTAAGAAGCAAGGCAACAGGAGATGGAGATATTGGATAGAGGGGAGAAAATTTAAAACCAGCCAAAAACTGTAACAGTTGCATTCTTGTTTGAGGACCAAAATGCCTTTCATAGATATGCTAAAGTTATATGTATAAATATATGACATTAGATAACAGGTTAGTGTGAGAGAGAGGGAAATGGGAGATTGAAATTAATGGAGAAGGTACTCTGCATTCTGTCCTGCCCTTTCCTTTAAAAGGGTCTAAAATGCCTTCATCAAACAAGTCCTCTGAGACCTTCATAAATAATTGAGAGCCCACTGAATTATCAGTATTAATCATTGACTAGTCAACAGATCAGCAGGAGAGTGAATACATTACCTGTGTCCCCAGTGGGAAGGTGTCTAATTTCTGATCACGTGTACCATTGCCCTGAGTTGCAGAAGTACTTAGGGAATCCTTTATTTCCCGGTTGGGGAAGGGAATAAAAAGTCCTTTGTTTGAGTCTGTGTTAAAAGAAAAAGCAAACAATAAAGCACTCACTGACCAGACTTCAAAGGCAGCATGTCTAATGGATAGATACTAAAAGGAAAGTCACAAGATTGAGTGCTAGTTCTGGTGCCACCACTTGGAGACCACATGAATTTGAGCAAATCACTTAACCTCTCTACTTCTCTCACTTCGTTTGGAAAACAGAGATGATAAAATCTAAACTGCCTATCTGTTAGGGTTGAGCCAGGTTAAAACAGGATAATGGATATGAAATGGCTTCATAATTTATGAAGTGCTCAACAGAAACTGAGTGGAAGGCAAATATTTTGCACATTTCCTAAGCGAATAAATAATTAACTGTGATACCAATTCCATAATCTCCAACTACAGGGGGAGATGCTGGGAATAGACTCCTGGCATTATACATCTCCAGGGTACTAATCAGCAGTCAGCACTGATTGACCATTTCAAACTAGCCTTTTTCTGCCTTGCTTTCTCTCTTTTGTAAAAAGAGAAAACTAAGCTGGGCGTGGTGGCTCACGCCTGTAATCCCAGCACTTTGGGAGGCTGAGGTGGGCAGATCACTTGAGGTTAGGAGTTCGAGACCAGCCTGACCATCATGGTGAAACTCTGTCTCTACTAAAAATACAAAAATTAGCCGGGCCGGGAGTGGTGGCGCGCGCCTATAATCCCAGCTACTCAGGAGGCTAAGGCAGGAGAATTGCTTGAACCAGGGAGGTGGAGGTTGCAGTGAGCCACGACTGTGCCACTGCACTCCAGCCTGGGCGACACAGTGAGACTCTATCTCAATAAAACAACAACAACAACAACAACAAAAACAAAAAAAAGAGAGAGAAACCAGTCAGGACCTATTTCATGGAGAAGAATGCTAAATCCTTAGGTCTCCCAATGTATTTTTTACAGTTTATTTTGTTTTATTCAATTGTAACTAATGCTATTAGAGAGATTCTTGTTTTATCTTGTTTTTTGGTTACCACACAGAGAATGTGGAAGTATCATCCCCTGCTATTTATAAAATCCTTGTAAATTGATTAAATTAGTGATGGGGCTGGAAATATTCACCATGAGCTTAAATATATTTATTAGTAGTACTTTAGGCTCTGTATATATATTCAAACTTCTGGCCAGGCACGGTGACTCACATTTGTAGTCCCAGCACTTTGGGAGGCTGAGGCGGGCGGATGATGAGGTCAGGAGTTTGAGACCAGCCTGGCCAGCCTGGTGAAATCCCGTCTCTACTAAAAATACAAAAATTAGCTGGGCGTTATGGTGCACACCTGTAATCCCAGCTGCTCGCTAGGCTGAGGCAGGAGAACTGCTTGAACCCAGGAGGTAGAGGTTGCAGTGAGCCGAGATCGCGCCACAGCACTCCAGTCTGGGCGACAGAGCAAGACTCTTTCTCGGGAAGAAAAAACAAAACAAAACAAAACGTATTAGAACACTCTGTATGTTATTTTGTGTGAGATTTGTTTTTGTTTTTGTTTTTTTTAATTTTTACATTAAAAAAAAGTTTTAATAGAAATAGGGTATCCGTATGTTGCCCAGGCTGGTTTAGAACTCCTGGGCTCAAGCAATCTGCCAGCCTTGGCTTCCTAAAGTGTTGGGATTACACGCGTGAGCCACCAGGCCTGGTAAGATTTGTTTTATAGTTAAAGAAAAATAATTTTTTAAAAGTAAAGGAAATAGTGTTCCATTTTCATTAAAAAATACTGTTAGGGCCAGGCATGGTGGCTCATACCTATAATTTCAGCACTTTGGGAGGCCAAGGTGGGTGGATCACCTGAGGTCAGGAGTTCGAGACCAGCGTGGCCAACATGGTGAAACTCCGTCTCTACTAAAAATAAAAAAATCAGCCAGGCGTGGGCGCCTGTAATCCCAGCTACTCAAGAGGCTGAGGCAGGAGAATCGCTTGAACCCGGGAAGCAGAGGTTGCTGTGAGCTGAGATCGCACCATTGCACTCCAGCCTGGGTGACAGAGTGAGACTCCATTTCCAAAAGAAAAGAGAAAATCTCATTAGTATTTTGCAGTTCACCTTTCAAATTCTGATGTTAGTTTAATACATATATTCACAAAAAAGTGATAAATTTTAACTTTTTTTCCTGTATTATAATTTTATTTTTTTACCAATATTTTTACTGTGATTAGAAAAATTATTTTAAAAATAAAAAGTAAAAATAACAAAAACTGTAGCCCAGTTCTGGCCACTTTGGAAACTGTTATCAAGAAGAGCCTGTCAGCAATTCTATCAAAGGCCAGGCACAGTGGCTCGTGTCTGTAATCCCAACACTTTGGGAGGCCCAGGTGGGTGGATCACTTGAGCCCAGGAGTTCAACACCAGCCTGGGCAACATAGTGAGACCCCCATCTCTATTGAAAATACAAAAATGAGCCAGGCTTAGTGGCATGAGTCCCAGCTATTTGGGAGGCTGAGGTGGGAGGAACCCTTAACTTGGGAAGTCGAGACTGCAATGAACCAAGATTGTGCCACTGCACTCCAGCCTGAGTAACAGGAGTGAGACAAGAATGACAAGAAAGAGAGAACGATTCTATTAGGTTGTCATATTTGTACAAACGTTTTTCCACTCTTGATCAATACATTTATTAACGTATAATTCTGGGATTTGAGGTCTTCTGGGGGGACTTGAATGAAAACAAGAGTTTTGCTTTTGTTTAAGGAATTTTTTTCCAGCAGGATTATGTAAGAAGATAGTAGCAAGAATTTGGGCCTTTGTCAAACAATGTGCTCTTATGCTCACTTTCATCTACTGGTTCTGGCAACAGAAAGTCACTACAAGCCAGTGCAACTGAGAGTAGACAGTGAATAAAGCCAGCCTCTTGAGAACCAGCCCCTCCATCCATCTGAGGCTCTAAGATGCCTTCTATTTCTGAATTGCCTTCTGGGACTGAAACGTCCTACTTAAACACAAGATGCTCTTCCAACCACTGGACTCGACAGAACTACTTTTCTGCAAGTGACATGAGCTATCAACCTTTTTGTCCTGTTCTCACTGCAGTAGTACTACAGAAGAAACAAGGTGAAGCAGAAACTGCTAGTTGTAACACAGCTTTTGTGCAAATGAGAATGGTTAGTAGGCTGTGACTTTGGGTTCAGGGCTCCTCTTACTCTTATCCTGTGGAACAAGACTTCGCAGGTGTTCAAGACCCTGCTCCAGCCTGTTTTTCCTCCCACAGCACATATGCTCTTTTCCAGATTCACAGGTTCCTTTTCTTTCAACCTATGTCTTGGTTCAAATCCCCTACCGCCTGAACTTCTTGCTGAGTGCTCTCATAGTTCTCCTGGGTTTTAGCTATCACTTACATCTGAGTGACTCTAAATCTAAATCTCTTAAGTCTGGTCTCTCTTCTGATGTACAGACCTAAATTTCCTGAACAGCCCCCAATGAGTACCTGCACACAACCAAAAAGTCAATATTTTCTTTTCTTTTTTTTTTTTTTGAGACAGAGTCTTGCTCTGTTGCTCAGGCTCTGGAGTGCAATGGCGCAATCTCGGCTCACTGCAACCTCCGCCTCCCGGCTTCAAGCAATTCTCCCGCCTCAGCCTCCTGAGTAGCTGGGACTACAGGTATGCACCACCACGCCCAGCAAATTTTTTTGTATTTTTAGTGAAGATGGGGTTTCACTGTGTTTGTCAGGCTGGTCTCGAACTCCTGACCTCAAATGATCCGCCCACCTTGGCCTCCCAAATTGTTGGGATTACAGTAGTGAGCCACCATGCCCAGCCAAAAATCAGTATTTTCTAACCAAACTCATTATCTTCACTTCCAGGCCTACTTCTGCTGCTGGTGCCTCCCCCAATCTTGTTATTGGCATTACTATCACCCAATCACTTAAGATACAAACTTGTTATTTGACTCATCTGAAATCTCAATTACCAAGTTGTACAGAATCACTCTATGACTGTGGGAGAAGCTTTATTTTAATTGAGATATAATTCATGTGTCATACAATTCATCCTTTTATAGTGTACAATTCAGTGTTTTTTAGTATATTCACAAAGTTATACAACTATCACCACTATCTAATTCTAGAATATTTCATCACCCCCAAAAGAAACCCCATAGCTGTCATTCCCAATTTTTCCCTCCCTTCCATCCTCTGGCAACCAACAATATACTTTCTGTCTCTATGCAATGGCCTATTCTGCAAATTTTATATAAATGGAATCATACAATATATGACCTTTTTGTCTGGCTTCTTTCACTTAGCCTGATGTTTTCAAAATACATGTTATAGCATGTGTTAGTACTTCATTCCTTTTTAATGCCTGAATATGGATATATCATATTTTGTTTATTCATTCTTCAGTCAATGGCTATTATGAATAATGCTGCTTTCATTCCTGGACAAGTTTTTGTATGAACATAGGTTTCCATTTCTCTTAGGTATATATACCTAGGAGTGGAATTGCTGGATCAAATTTAACTCTATGTTTAACTTTTTGAGGAACTGCCAGACTGTTTTCCAAAACAGTTGCACAATTTTACTTTCCTACCAGCGATGCATAAGGACTCCAATTTCTGCACATCCTTGACATTGCTTTTTTTATAGCAACTTTTTAAATTGCAAAACATATCTTATTTTTTATACATGTTACTTCATCACTGGATATTAAGCCCAGTATTCAACAGTTATCTTTTCTGCTCCTCCCCTTCCTCCCACCCTCCCAGCCATTGCTTATTATCTGTCCTTTAGATTCTATTTGGCCTAGTGGATGTGAAGTGGTATCTCCTTGTAGTTTTGCTTTGCATTTCCCAGATGAATAGTGATGTTGAGCATCTTTCATGTGCTTTTGGCCAGCTGCATATCTTCTTTGGAGAAATGTCTATTCAAATTCTCTGCCCACATTTTTTTTAATTGGGTTGTTTTTGTCTTTTTGTTATTGAGTTGTAAGAGTTCTTTATGTAGAATGGGTTGAATACGTTAGCTCATGCCTGTAATCCCAGCACTTTAAGAGGCCAAGGTGTGAGGGTCGCTTCAGGCCAAGAGTTCAAGACCAGCCTGGGCAACATAGCAAGACCTTATCTCCACAAAAAATAAAATAGCTGGGTGCAAAAAAAAAAAAAAAAATTAGTGGCGACATGCCTGTAGTCCCTGCTACTCAGGAGGCAGGAATATCACTTAAGCCCAGGAGTTTGAGGTTGCAGTGAGCTGTGACTGTGCCACTGTACTGCAGCCTGGGCATGCCACTACATTCCGGTTTTTAAAAATATAGAATGAATATTAATTAGATCCTTGTCAGATATACAGTCTGCAAACATTTTCTCCTATTCTGTGGGTTGTCTTTCCACTTTGATAGTGTCCTTTAAAACACAAAAATTTTAATTTTTATGAAGTCTTTTGGTTGTTTTTTGTGTCATATCCAAGATACAGGATCACTCTTGAAAAAAAAAAAAAACTGATGCCTTGCTCTGCCACTATTATGACTAAGTACGTCATATACAACAATCAAGAAAATGAAGCAATTTGTATTCTGAGATTATTTTTTTCTTGTCTTATACTTCAGTTTATTCTTTTTCTTCAGATACAAAATATATCCAGCCCTTAATTCCAAAAGCAAATGTAATTATGACCTGTTGTCCAGCCCAGGTTTGAACATCCATATAATCAATGCGACAGGACAATTTGTTTGAAAATTGTTTTCTATTTGTAATAACAGAGAAAAGGCTTTATCATACAGATACAGGGGCAAGTAACTAATAGCTACTTCTACTACCAGTAATCCCAGCTGGATGAGGCTCCACTTCACATGTTTGTACAAACACCCTGCAATCAATGGGAGGCTGAGATCTGGCCAGATCCCCTTCAAGGAAGGACTTGCTGCCTAGCTGCTGGAGGGCACTTCAGCCGTTTGCTCTTCATTCGGAGTCTGTCTTAGCTATCAAGAACCATCTCCTGATGCCATTCTCTTCCAAGGACAGTTCACTCCCCGTGACAGAGCTAGGCAGGGGTACAAAGACCCAGGCATTTCAGCCTAGTAAGGGACATTCTGAAGGAAAGTTCTTACTCTAGAGCTCTCTCTCTGCTTAACCCTCTTTCCTCCCCTTCCTCTCAGTGTTAATCTCAAATAAACATATTGTACCCCAGATTCCACTGAGATAAAAATATAAGAGCAGAAATAACTTGTCTTTCACTAGTCTCCAAAACCATTTCTTTTCCATTGCTAATTACCAATAAAAACAACACAATCCCTGACATTTAAAATATTAATATGTAATAACTATTGCAGATATGATAATTATTAAAGGAAATTGGTGAGGTGGTTTTTTTCCCATCATGAACAGACTCCATGTAATCTTAGTAACCTTGTATTTTTCCCCCTTTAAATAATAGTTGTGTCTTTTATTCAGAAATTCCATTCTTCTGAAGTTTGAACTATATAGCAAAACACTGCAGGTAAAAATACTTCATGTTTTGTATCCAGGCTTTATTTTCGTATCCTCCAGGACTTAATCAATCTGTGCTTCCTCATCTGCATTTTACCATTGGCCTCCGAGGACAGGTCCTCATTACCTCCCACTAACTAAATCTAGCTTGAGTTATCTCTCAAATCACACGTTTAAGCATGCCTCACCTCTAAGAGATCCTTATTATTACCTATTTTCAAGAGAATAAAATGAACATAATTAGTAAAGAGGGCCTTTGCAACTTGGCCTTATCTCTAGCCACAAGCTGAGTCAATTTCCTGATATGTTTCACCTGTCTTTGCTGCTGCTTTTCCCTCTACATTGAATACCTTTTCCCCTCAACTATGCCCACTGAACTCTATTTTAATGCCCAACTAAAGTGTTGTTTTGTGCAGCCTTTTCCCAGGCCTGCAATGAGTACTAACTGCAACCGCCTCTCCTCCATCCCTCTATATCTCTGCCATAGTAGAGCTCTTGTCTCACAGTGAAGCCTGACTTGTGACCTAATTAGCTGCAATAAATCTTTCCAAAATGGGAGTATGTGAAGACGTGACACTATTTTAATCATGTCCTTGTCTGCCTACCCCCAACACAGGATTTGCCCAGTAGATATGCACTTCTTTGCTGAATTGCTCTCATTTCCACTGACTGAGATTGCTAACTGCCTCTCCCCCATATTCATTATTCCTCCCTTAGAACTCTCCCCATGACAGCCGTAGACTGTCAACATCTGGATTTCTATAAGAGAGATAAATGAACTTCTAGTTTAAGTGACTATTTTGAGAAGTCTCTGCTATTCCAAGCTGATTTTTATTCAGCCAAAACTCCATCATGGCTAAACCAAGAGATGACATGGATCAACATGTTGAAGTGGGATGGATTTCAATGAGTTATAAAGAAGACCCTGACACATCTGCTAGACACAGGAATGAGCCACTGAGGGTGGCTGTGGTGGATTTTTCCTTGTTATTTTAGAATAAGATATTAGATCAGTATATTTTCAGCAAGACTCTATTTAAAGGCAAATAGAACTGGCAAAAAGAGTGAGTTAGGTTGTTTCAACTAGTACCTACAGGATAAACGTAAATTGTTCTTAGTAAGACATTCACTGTTCTCCAGAACCTGACCTTCTACCCAACATAAACCTTCCACCCAAACCACACCGACACATGGCTTTCTTCATGACCTACCATCCTCCTTACCACTTCCAGACAGTAATTCACACCAACCCCACCAATCAAAATGTGCTGCTCCTCTTTTCAGGCCATCCCATTGCTCTCCAGCCTGTAAGGTCTGATGGCTTTGTTTCCATATCTGCCATAAAACCTTTCTCCACTGTCCCCAGCACACAGTGGGCTTCTGTAGCATGTCACCAGCCACATCAGTGTTTCTCAAGCTCAATGTTCTAATCAACTCTGAGAACAGGAGTCCAGTTTGAGAAACTATAAGAAACTAAACTCAGTATATAAAAAGACATCTTAAAAGACCGGGCGCGGTGGCTCACGCCTGTAATCCCAGCACTTTGGGAGGCCGAGGCGGGCGGATCATGAGGTCAGGAGATCGAGACCATCCCGGCTAAAACAGTGAAACCCCGTCTCTACTAAAAATACAAAAAATTAGCCGGGCGTAGTGGCGGGCGCCTGTAGTCCCAGCTACTTGGGAGGCTGAGGCAGGAGAATGGCGTGAACCCGGGAGGCGGAGCTTGCAGTGAGCCGAGATCCCGCCACTGCACTCCAGCCTGGGCGACAGAGCGAGACTCCGTCTCAAAAAAAAAAAAAAAAAAAAAAAAAAAAAGACATCTTAAAAAGATTATATTGGAACAATTTGGCAGTTTCTTACAAAGCTCAACATACTGTTATATGATCCAGCAATCATGTTCTTTGGTAAGTACTCAAATGAGTTGAAAACTTATGCCCACACAAAAACCTGCACAAGGTTGTTTATAACAGTTCTAGTCATAATTGCCAAAACTTGGAAGCAACCAAGATGTCTTTCAGTGGGTGAGTGGATAAATAAACTGTGGTACATCCAGACAATAAAATATTATTCAGCACTAAGAAGAAATGAGCTGTCAAGCCATGAAAAGGCATGGAGGAAATTTAAGTGTATATTGCTAAGTGAAAGAAGCCAATCTGAAAGGCTACATACTGAATGATTCCAACTATATGACATTCTGGAAAAGGCAATACTATGGAGACAGTATAAAGATCAGTGGTTGCCAGGGATTAGAGAGGATGAAGGAATAAATAGGTAAGCACAGAGAATTCATAGGGCAGTGAAGCTATTTTTGTATGATACTACAACAGTAGATACATGTCGTTTATACATTCATCAAGCCCATAGAATGTACAACACCAAGAACGAAACCTAATGTAAACTGTGAACTTTGGGTTATAATGATGTGTCAGTGCAGGTTTATCCAATTGTAACAAATGTACCACTCTGGGGCAGGATGTCCATAGTCAGGGAGGCTGTGCATGTGTGCAGGTAGGGTATATGGGAACTCTACTGCCTGATAAATTTTGCTGTGAATCTAAAACTGTTCTAAAAAATAAAATATGTTTTAAAAATCAGATTATTGGCCAGGTGCAGTGTTTCACATCTGTAATCCTAGCACTTTGGGAGGCCCAGGTGGGTGGATCACTTGAGGTTAGGGGTTTCAGACCAGCCTGGCCAACATGGTAAAACCCTATCTCTACTAAAAACACAAATATTAACCAGGCGTGGTGGTACACGCCTGTAATCCCAGGTATTCGGGCAGGTGAGACATGAGAATCACTTGAACCCGGGAGGTGGAAGTTGCAATAAGCCGAGATGACGCCACTGCACTCCAGCCTGAGCAACTGAGTGAGACTCTGTCTCAAAAACAAACAAAAAAAGTTTCATTAAAATGGATGGGCTTTGGTCTGGGTCATAAAGAAGGGTAGGATTTGAGTAAAGCATTACAAGCAGGGGGACAGCATTAGTTTAGGGACAGAGGAGGGAGAAAGGAAGGACTATTTGGGGGAGGAAGGAGTGGTTTGATTGAGTATTGGACATTGTAGTTGACAAACAGGAGATAAGCTTTCAGCTTAGGCTGAAGAGACAAATTACAGATAGAGCTTAGGGGAGTCTTATACACCAAGTAAAGGAGTTTAGACTTAATTTAGTAGGGGAGTGGGAGCCAGAGAAGTTTTTGAGCAGGCAAGCATAATAAATCATCACAGCTGTGTTTTAAGAGAATTAATCTGGCAGCAAAGTACAAAATGAATTGAAGGAGTAAGAGACTGTGAAGCAGTATCATGTAATGGTTAAGAGGACTTTGATGACAGATGGACCAGAGTTTGCCTCCTAGCTCTGCCACTTACTGCATAACTAGGGCAAGTTATTTCCCCTCTTTGGGTATCAGTTTCCTCACCTGTAGAACCACCTTCAAGGTTGTTGTGAGGATTAACTGAGATAATTAACCATGCCTGGTAAGAGACTATCAAGAAATGGAAAGGGGCTGGACGTGCTATAATCCCAGCACCTTGGGAGGCCGAGGAACGTGGGTCACTTGAGGCCAGGAGTTCGAGACCAGCCTGATCAACATGGTGAAACCCTGTCTCCACTAAAAATACAAAAATTAGCTGGGCATGTTGGTGCGCACCTGTAATCCCAGCTATTCCAAAGGCTGAGGCACGAGAATTGCTTGAACTTGGGAGGCAAAGGTTGCAGTGAGCCGAGATCTCGCCACTGTACTCCAGCCTGGATGACACAGTGAGACTCTGTCTCAAAAAAACAAAACAAAACAAAAACAAAAACAAAAAATAAAAAAAGAAATGGAAAGGAAGGCTCGTCAATTGTGGATCATACTACAGGGCATGAACATTCAGCTCAGAGTAGCAGCAGCATCAAACCCCAACATGATTCTGGGCCAGGGTAATGGGAAAGCTGTGGTAATACTGATGAAACCCTAGGAGCTGTTTAGGGTTGAGGGAGAGGGGCTTATTTGTTTGTTTGTTTTGGGGGTTATTTTGGACATGTTTAGCTTGAGAGGCTGTTAAACAGTGGTGATTCCAAGTGTATATTACAAGTTGGTCAACAGAAATATGGGCCTGGTGCAGAGAGAGACCAGTGCAGGTTGTCAAAGCTAGACCAATATATTTAAGATATGAGGAAAGACTATAAAATAAATATAAATAAATAAACAGGCTGGGCACAGTGGCTCACGCCTATAATCCTAGCACTTTGGGAGGCTGAGGGGGGAAAATTGCTTGAGCTCAGGAGTTCAAGACCAGCCTGGGCAACATGGAAAAATGGCAAAACCCCCTCTCTGCAAAAAAATACAAAACTTAGCTGTGCATGGTAGCACACACCTGTAGTCCCAGCTACTCAGGAGGATGAACTGGGAGGATGGCTTGAGCCTAGGAGGCAGAGGTTGCAGTGAGCTGAGTTTGCACCACTGCACTCCAGCCTGGGCAACAGAATGAGACCCTGCCTCAAAAAATAAATAAATAAATAAATAAATAAATAAATAAATAAATAAATAAATAAGACATTTATTTATTTATAAATAAGGCCGTAAAATAGATGAGATCAATAGGGGCAAAGAGAAAAAACAGGAGAGCCCAAAGATATAGCCTAGGTACGCCTATTTCGGGGATATGGGAAGAGAGAGAGGAACCTTTCAAAGAGTCAATGATTATGTGGTTAGGAGAATAAGAGGAGGATCCAAGACAGTGGAGGTTCAGTGCCCATTCGCAATGATTGGTGGGAAAACACCATTGGGAACAACTGAGCTAGTGAGAGATGTTCTCCAGAAAGTTTTCTCCTAGCCTGTGGCATGGCCATTAACATGGCATAACCACTTTGATCATATTGGATTACCAACAGTGCTTACTGGCAACACTCCCCAGGGAATCCAGCACAAACACAATTTTCAGTGGAAAACAAAGCTCCTTAACGTTTCGAAGTAGCAAAATAAATTTTATATTAAAAAAAATCCAGGCAACAGCTGGGGCTTCTAAGAACCTTTAGAAATGGGCCCTCTAGCAAAGCAGTTTGTTCTTAGAAGAGAAAGTACACTTTCAGACTTTTTAATTGTGTTAATGAAGTAATATGGCACAAATGAAGTCTAATTCAGCTTATACAAAAACAGGTTGTCAAATTATGCTTCAATGTATTTTTCTCTGTCTGGAAATGGATACTTAAATGCCTGTACCTAGAAAAAAGACTAGGCTGTATACCAAAGGTGGTATACCAAGGAAGGCTGTATACCAAAGCATTAACTAGGACCAAAATGTTGTTTTTCATGCTTTTCAGTCTTTTCCAAAATTATTACAATAAAATTGTATCAATTTAAAAATATTAAAAATGCTATTTAAAATGAAATAAAGTAATCCATACTCCCAATATTTATATGTACTGGGACATCCAAGAAATGAACATTAAAGTCACACCTCATTATGTCTTTTTGTGTGTTTGTTTTTTGAGACAGAGTCTCACTCTGTCGCTCAGGCTAGAGTGCAGTGGCGCAATCTGGGCTCACTGCAACCTCCGCTTCCCGGGTTCAAGCAATTCTCATGCCTCAGCCACTCAAGTAGCTGGGATTGCAAGCATGTGCCACCACGCATGGCTAATTTTTGTATTTTTAGTAGAGATGGGGTTTTGCCATGTTGGCCAGGCAGGTGTTGAATTCCTGGCCTTAGGTGATCTGCCCATCTCAGCCTCCCAAAGTGCTGAGATTACAGGTGTGAGCCACCATGCCCGGCCCGTGTCTCATTTTATCACAAAATACTCTAAAAATCATTTGTCAATAAATGATAAGAAATCAAGAAAATAAAATACATGTTATAAACCGAAAATGCTTAATGTCTGAACTACAGTGTAGAGTCAATCTACTAAAGTTATTGCTTGGCTTTTAGGAATTGATGTTTAGAGTTTGTGTATAATTCACTAGATTCTTCCAAGGGAAGAGGCACTGAGACCGAAGAATATTTTCTCAAGTAAAAGGTCACTTGATTTATCTGACAGTGCCAAGCTAATCCACAAGGATTCACTGGATGCAACTTCTCTGGTGGAAAGCTTTCTCCCGGCCTGTGACATGACCATTAATGTGGCATAACCACTTTATTTATTTTTTATTTATTTATTTTTTTAAGATGGAGTTTCACTTTTGTTGCCTAGGCTGGAGTGCAATGGCGTGATCTCGGCTCACCACAACCTCTGCCTCCCAGGTTCAAGTGATTCTCCTGCCTCAGCCTCCCGAGTAGATGGGATTACAGGCATGCGCCACCAAGCCCGGCTAATTTTGTATTTTTAGTAGAGACAGGGTTTCTCCATGTCGGTCAGGCTGGTCTTAAACTCGCAACCTCAGGTGATCTGTCTGCCTCGGCCTCCCAAAGTGCTGGGATTACAGGCGTGAGCCACTGTGCCCAGCCTGGCATAACCACTTTAGCTATATTGGCTTATCAACTGTATTTACAGGAATATAGTAAACATTCCCCAGTAATATATCCCAAACACAAGAGATTCTACAGCTGCAAAGGTTCTTGGTTGGGCAGCCCAGGAAGCCCAGGGTGTGAGCTGGATGTATGCAGATGAGTCGCCAGTCTCTAATTAAATCAATCACTGATGTAATTTTCTGGGTATACTAATGATGTAAAGTGATGTAAATGAAATTGAACTCTCCAAGTACAGCTTGTGCTTTCATGGGCTCTGGGTTAGGCCTGCTCTGTAAGGTCCTTCTGGCAGTGAGAGGATGGAAGAAAAACACAGCCAGTAAACCTGTGCTTGCTTCAAATTGGTTCTTTCTCAACTATGTGTCTTCATCTTACCCAATATTGGCTATGGCAGCTGAGATAACTGATGTTTTAATCATTTTATAATCACAGGGAGAAAACTTACCCATTTCAATCCTGCTGTCAACATTAGCACTGACTTTTGATGCAGAGCTCTCACCTGTTACACAGTTTTTCATTGTCTTCTCCCTAGAGCTGCCACATAGAATAATTTATTTACAACTCAAAAAAAAAAAAAAGGCTTCTGAGATCACCAGTAAATGCTATTTAGAAAGCAGTCTATGGTGATCAGATTTTTCTCAAATGCTCTAGAACATATTAATTTAATTATGTTTCAGCCGGGCACAGTGGCTCACCCCTGTAATCCCAGCACTTTGGGAGGCCGAGGCGGGTGGATCACCTGAGGTCAGGAGTTCAAGACCAGCCTGGCCAACATGGCGAAACCCTGTCTCTACTAAAAATACAAAAATCAGCCACGTGTGGTGGCGGGTGCCTGTAGTCCCAGCTACTCAGAAGGCTGAGGCAGGAGAATCACTTGAACCCAGGAGGCAGAGGTTGCAGTGAGCTGAGATCACGCCACTGTACTCCAGTTTGGGTGACAGAGCAAGACTCTGTCTCCAAAAAAAAAAAAGTTGCACAAATATTTCAGTTAAAGCCATACTTTATAAGAAAAAGTAATATTTATACTGGGAAATATGAGAGAAGGACACTATAGTTCAGCCTGTAAAATGTGAAAGCCAGAAGATTTAGAACTTAGATACTCTGTTTTCTTGACACATACTTAGATCTGAATGATTGAGGGGGTAGGACAGTTTCTTTTGAATTAAAACACTCATAGTTAGGACACAGAAAGGAAGGTTCTGCTGCCAAGAATTATAGAGGAGACAACTATAGCCATTATTTAGAAAAGCAGACAAGAAAGGCAGGTAGATACCTTGGGTAGTACAGTAAGTACACAAAGCCTAGGCTGTATGTATCAGATGCTTTATAATCACCATTTCATGTAATCATAAAAGGCCCCCTACTGGTCATTATCTCCATTTTATAGGTGGGGGAACTGGGACTCAGAAAGGCTTAAAAAAAAAAAAACTTCACCCAAGGTTAGAGAGCTTATAAGATATTAATGTTAATACAGGGTACTTGAGTAACATTTTTCCTCCAGTTTTGCAATCATTATATGGTAAATAAACAGATAAATGATGGAATTAATTTATCTGTTTATTAGAAGGTTTATTCAGTTACACATTAATTAATCTCTGTATTTTTGTAGTGAATGTTACCCATTGCATTTAAAATAGAAATTAATCCACAAAACATATAAACAATGTTTTAGAAGCATTCAATTTCTATCTAAAGAAGAGTGACTATTCCATGCAAAGTAACCTCAATAAATCTGATTTTAAAAAATAGGAAACTAAGAAAAAAATAGGAAACTAAGAATGTTCACTGAAGGCTGCACTAAAAAACATATAATGGATCAGAGCAGAGACAGGCAAAGTCACTGGGAAAGGGAAGGATCTCAGGCCAATAGGCACTGACCTCATTCATTCATCATTCAATACATTATTTCTTAGCATCGTCTGTATTCCAGACACGGTTCTAGCAACTGGGATACTGTAATAAGCAAGACCAACAAGATCCTTGTTCTCATGGAGTTTATGTTCTAGTAGTAAAGGTAAAAGCAATAAACAAACAAAAGACTTATTCTGGAGAATAATATAAGAATAATGTTGTGGGGATATGTTCATGATAGCTTGTTAAATTAAAAATGGTGAGCTAGGCAGTGGTGTGCACCTGTAATCCCAGCTACACAGGAGGCTGAGGCAGCAGAATCACTTGAACCCGGGAGGTGGAGGTTGTAGTGAGCCAAGATCGCACCACTGCACTCCAGCCTGGGTGACAGAGCAAGACTCCGTCTCAAAAAGAAAAAAAAAAAGGATATTTACCAGAATATAATGAATGTTTCTTTCTGAATGGTAGGATTATGAATTACTTATTTTATCCCTTGTGTTTTTTTCTGTACTTTCCAAATTCTCAACAATAAGCATGTATTACCTTTGTCATCAGAAAAAATGCTGATATTATCTATATGTGTCTATAGTACAAGGATATCTGGAAGGATATATACCAAACATTACTAATAGTTAACTCTCAATTGTAGGATATGAAGTGATTTTGACTTTTTTCAGTGTACTTTTCTGTATTATTAAAATTGTAATGGACTGCTATCTATTTTTAAAAAATAATAAAACTACTTTTTAAAAAGCATAGGTTTGGGGGTAGAAGATAATGGTAACTTCTTTTGATAGGATTTTAGTAATGGACAAAGCTACCATTCAGAAATTTTAGAGCCTCAATGTTTGTTCACT
The DNA here is from genome assembly GCF_000001405.40 of Homo sapiens. Lineage (NCBI taxonomy): Eukaryota > Metazoa > Chordata > Mammalia > Primates > Hominidae > Homo > Homo sapiens. The sequence continues at coordinate 67,348,027 of NC_000016.10, read as the reverse complement.
TTTTGTTTCGAAGAGAAATGCTTCTCTTCCCTTCCTTTAACAAATTTATCTCTAACAATCTTGCCCATGGTAATGTAATCCTAATTCAATAGGACAAGATCAGGAACTGATTGATAACTCTACTGAGAAAGAGTTGGTAAGCATTTATAGGAATAAGTAATCTCATAGTATCCCTATCTATAACCTGTGAACAACAACTTTAGAGAATTTCTAACAATTATACCCAAAGTTCAAGAAAACAGGAATGTACCCACTGAGGGCCAGATTATCATCCCAGATAAATCTCAGTTTGCAGAATAAATACTTTTATTCCTGATCTGAGGATTCTTACAATTTGTGGGAAATTTCTGCTGGAAAATGAAGAAAGCTAAGCAGGAATTCACTATTTCCTATGTCCAGAACCAAACTTTAAAAATTTTGTAAAGAATCTTCTTACCTTTTTTCCACCTCTAAAAGAAAATTTTCACTGTTGCCCAACTGACTAAAATGCAGCTTGGCAGCTTTTCTCTCACCTTCACGTACAGTTCGGTCATCTGGAGGCAAAAACCGTGGTCTGAGCATGTTTCTTTTTTTGGCATAGACATAACTAGTAGTTAATCAGAAAACCATATTCGCAGAGGAAAAATTAGGACCAGTCTCATCTTGGTGTGTTAGAGACAGGTCACAAAATAATGCTATTATGTTGTCACTGGAGCAGGCAGGAACTCAGGGAGACTGCAGGAAGCCATAGCGACCACTGCCTCACAGTTGTAACTACCCTTCAGGAAAGCAGAGCTTGGACAGTAAACAATTCAAAGGCCTAATGTTAGGGCTGAAAGTCATACCATTGTCTGAAAGAGTTTACTTAGTTTCCCTACAATTACTTTCCCAGGGCCATGTGAAATCCAATTTTGTATCAATAAGAAATGTATACTCAACAATAAAATTATAAGGAAGTCCAGTCTGGGCAACATGATGAAACCCCATCTCTACAAAAAACACAAAAATTAGCTGGGTGTGGTGGTGCGTGCCTGTAGTTCCAGCTACTTGGGAGACTGAGATGTGAGAATTGCTTGAGCCTGGGAGGTCCAGGCGGCAGTGAGCCAAGATCGTGCCACTGCACTCCAGCCTGGGCAACAGAGTGAGACCCTGTCTCAAAATAAATAAATAAATAAAAAATAAAGTAAAATAATAAGAAAATATAGACCAGCTCATTTGAAGGAATATTTCTTCAACTAAGCCCCCAACTAAGCCCCCAAATAAATTGTATTAGCTTTCTATTGCTAATACAGTTGCAAAGTTGGGGCACCTGGAAAAATAATTCTCAACCTGGAAATTTTGTGTTGAGGAGGAAGGGGCGGTGAAACCATCAACTGAAGAAAACTAAAGCTGGAAGTAACTAATAAAATCATAGACTGTCATTCAATAAACAATAAAAGAACTCGTCATACATCCTGCCAACACAAAAGAGTTACATAAATATTGACTAATAAACAAATATATCCTGCCAGTGCACACTGTGGGCCAACATCCAAAAGGTTAAGGGGCAGCTGATTTAAAGTAAGATTCTGTGGACAGGAACAGAGAAGGAAGGTCTTACCTAATTTCTCCAGAGTTTGTAGTGTATATACAGCAAAGAGCCTATAATCTGTATCTTTCCTTACAACAGGATTAAGTCTCAAATCCAGTTCTTTGAGGAAGGGTAACGGTTGTAGACGGGACACTTCCACTAATGAAGGAATGTTGTTATAATATAAATTCAGGTCTTGGAGTGAACATAAATACTGGATTCCCTACAAGGAAAACACCACATTATGAAATGGCATATTGGTAAAGACTAGGAACCTCATAGATAAAGATGGAAATATATGTTACTTTCCGTCCTTAAACATGTTATCCAAGTCCCCGTGAGAAAGGCAGGGCTGGAACTCTCACTTAACTTGTCCGAAAATAAGACCACTGCAGTCCATGAGCACTGGGTGTTCCATACGTTAAATAATTCACATATATAATACATTTCCTTCTTTACAAAATCTGACACTCAAATATCTGCAGTCAATTCTCCACTTCTGTTGGCTCTCCAATTATTCTCCCAATGCAATCCAATCCTTCACAGTGGTTTCCCAGTGGCCAAGCCACATTAGAATTCTCTCACTTTTGTCCCAACCCCTCTCCTGATCCCAAAAGCACCTTAATTTACAAGAAGAAGGGAGGTAAGCAAAAAAGCTGGTTCTGGGGGAAAGGGGCATGGTTAAAAAAAAAAAAGTGTGTGTGTGTGTATGTGTGTGTGTGTTGTGTTGTGTTCTCATATCTCAGTGCCTCACTTATATGGTCAAAGGACTATTTAGGGAAACAAAACAATGCTATCTCCAAGTCCTCACTCCTGGACCAGTCTAGGCCTCCTAGACTGTTTTCCTCTTCAGAGTTCCTGCTACCACGCAAGCTTCCCATTTAATCAATCAGTCAGTTCTCCTTTGCAGAAATGTTCTTCCTTGTTCAGTTCTCTTTCTTGTGGATTTAGCAACCCCACCCTCTACCTAACTGGCAACAGTACAATCAGGCCTGGCAAACTCAAGAGGAAAAGCCACAGTTTTCTTCCTCTGCTGAAACCTGCTATTGAAAAGATTTCATCTTTATGTATTTAGCTAGTTAGCTGCTTTTGCCCAATACTAAATTTCAGGACAATTTCAAAACATGTACATATGTATAATCGCATACTTTTTTTTTTTTTTTTTGAGACAGGGTATCACTCTATCGCCCAGGCTGGAGTGCAGTGGTACGATCAGAGCTCACTGCAGCCCTGACTTCCTGGGCTCAAGTGATGCTCTCGCCTCAGCCCCTGAGTAGCTGGGAATACAGGCATGTGGCACCACACCTGGCTAACTATTTTTTGATTTTTAGTAGAGACAATGTCTCACTATGTTGCCCAGGCTGGTCTTGAACTCCTGAGCTCAAGCAATTATCCTGCCTTGGCCTCCCAAAGTGTTGGGATTACAGGCATGAGCCACTGTGCCTGGTTAATCATATACTTTTAATAGTACAAATGCAAAAAAAAAAATAGTAAAAATGCTTTCCATAAAAGGAATTCTGTCATTGAGAATTATTTTGGAAAGGTGAAATTATTTTCCATCATGTATTTATAAAATAATGTTTTTATTCTCCTCCCATTTAAAATTATCATTTTCTCATTGCAAGAAATTTAGAAAACCCAAAGATAGATACAAAACATTCCCAACACAACCCTGTTTATACTTTGATGCATTTCTTTCTGTTTTGTATTTGTTTTTTTTGTTGTTGTTGTTTTCTCCAATTCCATTAACTTCCATATTGTTAATGGGTCAGTGGTGAGGAATAGCTATCAGTGCCCTTGGCCTCACTCTCAGGGCAGTGCACCATTAGGACTGTCTTTCATGGTCTAATGGCCCAGCTCAAGTTTTTTTGTTTTTTGGTTTTTTCTGAGAGGATCTTGCTCTGTCACCCAGGCTGGAGTGTAGTGGCATGAACAAGGCTCACTGCAGCCTTGAACTCCTAGGGCAAGGGATCCTCCTGCTTCAGCCTCCCAAATAGCTGGGATTATAGGCACGCACCAACAACTATGGTTTTTGTTTGTTTGTTTGTTTCTGTTTTGTAGAGACAGGGTCTTGCTTTATTGCTCAAGCTAGTCTCAAACTCCTTGCCTCAAGTGATCCTCCTGCCTCAGCCTCCCAAAGTGCTGGGATTACAGACATAAACCACCACACCTGGCTTAAGTAATCTTTTAATGTCTCTCAGTGTAAAAATTAAGGAAACTCTTATCCTCTCACTTTTACCAGTTGTCATGAATTTATGTATTCCCCAAAGTTACGCTACAAATAATCACAAAACATTTTCTCCCAGGAAAATTAAACAAAGGGATTCAGAACTGTTAAAGATTAATATAAAATCACAGATGTGGCTGGGCATGGTGGCTCATGCCTCTAATCCCAGCACTTTGGGAGGCTGAGGTGGGCAGATCACCTGAGGTCAGGAGTTTGAGACCAACCTGGCTAACATGGTGAAACCCTGTCTTTACTAAAAATACAAAAATTAGCTGGGTGTGGTGGTGGGTGCCTGTAATCTCAGCTACTCAGGAGGCTGAGTCAGGAGAATCTCCTGAACCTGGGAGGCGGAGGTTGCAGTGAGCCAAGATCACACTACTGCACTCCAACCTGGACGACAGAGTGAGACTCTGTCTCAAAAAAAATAAATAAAAATCATAGATGCAAAAAATATAGAAAACTAACATTACTGAGTGCTTCCTATATGCCAAGCACTGTACCAGGAGTCTTATATATGTTCTATTTGATTACACGTGTTAACTTGATTTTTTTTTTTTTTGAGATGGTCTCACTCTTTTGCCCAGGCTGGAGTGTAGTGGTGCGATCTAGGCTCACTGCAACCTCTGCCTCCCAGGTTCAAGCAATTCTCCTCCTTCAGCCTCCCAAGTAGCTGGGACTACAGGCGCCTGCCACCACGCCTGGCTAATTTTTGTATTTTTAGTAGAGACGGGGTTTCACCATGTTGGCCAAGCTGGTCTCGAACTCCTGACTTCGGGATCCACCCACCTTGGCCTCCCAAAGTGCTGAGATTACAGGCATGAGCCACCGTGACCAGACAACTTGATTTTTTAAAATAGAGATAGGGGTCTCACTATGTTGCTCAGGCTGGTCTTGAACTCCTGGGCTCAAGCAATCTGCCTGCCTCAGCCTTCCGAAGCGCTGCATTATAGGTGTGAGTCACCGTGCCCAGCCCTAATTTGATTATTTTCCTAAGTTTTTCACCCAGTTTACCGAAGTGAAAGAAAGGAAGTATAAAAACAAATTACAGCAATGTTCACTTAATTTTTTAGCCAGAAAAAGAATAAACAAACAAAAGAGGAGACCTAAGCAACTCTGAACTAATACTTTCTTTTTATATTTTATCTTTTCATTTTTTAAATTGGATCCTATCACCTGTGAAAGAACTAATCCTTTCTGAAACTGATAGGCCAAATATAAATGGCTGCTAAAAAATAGTCTAAAGACCTAGTTGAACTTGGAGTTGCTGATTTTAGAGTCCTAGATGGAAATTTGATCTTAGGGCTTTTGATCTTTTAGGCCCTTAGCTAAACCTTGGGATTGGGTCTGGATGTGTTGTTGAACAAATATCCCCTAGGAAGTGCAAAACTGGTAGATGACCCAGAAGATCAGTAACTAATCCTGGATAGCATCTGTGAGTCTTTGTCACGCTCGATCTTGCATAGAAGGGCTTTGCCAAGACAGGTGCAGAGCTTGGGCAAAATGGGAACATGAGGAAGAAGCAGTATTTGGGGGTCTACCACAAAGAAAACAAAACTCCATCTCTGTGTGTGCACACTCATGTTTGTAGAGTTCTTTGTGCGTGTTTGCTAATCCACACGCACACTGTTCATGCTTGGTCCCTCCTGCCTTCCTATACTGCCCTCTGCTCCATCATCCCCTGACTTAAATTTTCCCAAGACCACACCTTCCTTCTCCTCATAGAAAAAACTCACAATAACAACACAGGCCAGTGTTTCTCCATGTATGCTCCATGTACCACCATCATCAGAATCCCCTGAGTATGTCCTGAGCCTACCCTAGACCTACTAAATCAGACCAACTCTCACAGTAGGGACTGAGAATCTGTACTTCTACAAGTGTTCTTCATAATTTTTTATACACACTAAAATTTATGCATTTGCCCTAGACAGTGATATCTTAATATAGTTTTCCGAGAGTATAAAATAAATTGCCCTCCCAATATTTTATAACAATTTAAAATATACTGCAAAGTTGAAAGAATTTTATAAGAAATAATTAAATTTAGTTGGGAATCATTTAAAGGGAAGGTCTTATATTCCCCAGGATGACATGATCTATCTCTTATTTCTTCCCATCAAAAAAATAAATTGGGCAGACCTGGCTGGTCATAGAATATATAACTTACCTTAAGGCTAGTGATCAAATTCCTTGATAAATCTAAGGATCGGAGATTTTTAAAATTTCTGAAGGCATCACCAATGGAATGGATTTTGCCAGCATAAGATCCCTGCAATGAAAGAGACTCCACCAGTTCTGAAAAGAGATCATCAGTAGATATATTATGATCCCTGCTCGGATCAACAGCAGAGTCAGTGAAAGTAGGCCTTTCTTCCTCCCATATCTCAACTGTGCAAGGCCCTACATCCAAGCCTCATAAGATCAGATCTTCTTTTTAAAAGCAGCAGTATGGTCTAATATAGTGACATTGAACCTTAGTTTTATAGAGCCCTTGAGTTTTTCTAATTTCCCTGAAGGATGTACTAAAAGTCTCCAAAAGTTCTCAAAACAAAATTTCAAAAGATATTCAGCAACCCCACTGCTAGGATTTAGCCCTATGGATAATAACCACAAAATTTTGGCAGGTTATATAAAATATAGCACAAGGATGTCAATTTCAGAGCGGTTTTAAGATAGTAAAAAAAATTAAAAAGAAAGAAATAGAAAACTGTCAAAGGTCCATCAGCAGAAAAATAGAGCCAGACAGCCTAAATAATAGTACATTGATACGAAAGACAATATACTACATCTGCGACCTTGTTCAAGTCACTTAACCTCTTTGTGCATCAGTTTCCTCATCTGTAAAATGGGGGTAACAATGGTACTCAATTCATAAGGTGTTACAAGAATTAAATTAATGCATATGTACAAAACATATATATAGACTATATATAGTCTATAGTCTATAGTCTATAGACTGTCTATAGACTATAGATAGGCTATAGTATATATAGAATATATATAATTATATATAATTATATATATTAAATTATATATTAAATGACATATATTAAATCTATATATAGAATATGTAGAGTACATATTCTATAGAATATGTAGAGTACATATTCTATAGAATATGTAGAGTACATATTCTATAGAATATGTAGAGTACATATTCTATAGAATATGTAGAGTACATATTCTATAGAATATGTAGAGTACATATTCTATAGAATATGTAGAGTACATATTCTATAGAATACATATTCTATATATAATATACATATTCTATATTCTATAGAATATATGTAGTACATATTCTATATTCTATAGAGTATATGTAGTACATATTCTATATTCTATAGAGTATATGTAGTATATATTCTATAGAGTATATGTAGTATATATTCTATAGAGTATATGTGGTATATATTCTATAGAGTATATGTGGTATATATTCTATAGAGTATATGTGGTATATATTCTATAGAGTATATGTGGTATATATTCTATAGAGTATATGTGGTATATATTCTATAGAGTATATATATAGAATATACATATATGAGAAGAAGTAGATAAAAGTCAACTAGACTTTTTTTTCTATTTTTTTTGAGATGGAGTCTTGCTCTTTCGCCCAAGCTGGAGTGCAGTGGTGTGATCTCAGCTCACTGCAACCTCCACCTCCCAAGTTCAAGAGATTCTCCTGCCTCAGCCTCCCAAGTAGCTGGGAACACAGGTGTGCACCACCACACCCGGCTAATTTTTTGTATTTTAGGTAGAAACGGGGTTTTGCCAAGCTGCTCTTGAACTCCTGACCTCAGGTGATCCACCAGTCTCAGCCTCAGCCTCCCAAAGTGCTGGGATTACAGGCATGAGCCACTGAGCCTGGGCATCAACTAGACTATTAACAGTCCTGAAAAGGGGAGAATCTCAAAATTGTCAGTAAGAACTCACTGGCAAGGGTGGTAGGCCAAACTGCGAATAGCAACCAAAACTGGAAGAGAGTTCTACAGAATCCAGTTTGCAGATAAGTGCCAGGAGACTGCATTGAAATAAGATCTTAAGTTGCTAGAGCAGTCTGGGTCCCATAAACTTTATTTTATTTTATTATTTATTTATTTATTGAGATGGAATCTCACTCTTGTCACCCAGGCTGGAGTGCAATGGTGCGATCTTGGCTCACTGCAACCTCCATCTCCTGGGTTCAAGTGATTCTCCTGCCTCAGCCTCCCAAGTAGGTGGGATTAAGGTGTGTGCCACTATGCCTGGCTAATTTTTGTACTTTCAGTAGAGACGGGGTTTCACCATGTTACCCAGGCTGGTCTCAAACTCCTGACCTCAGGTGATCCACCTGACTTGGCCTCCCAAAGTGGTGGGATTACAGGCGTCAGCCACCGTGCCTGGCCCCCATAAGCTTTAAATAGTCATAAACCAAAGATCCCTTTCAGGACAAGACCCATACCACGGAGAAATTAGTGGGAGTAGAATCTACACTGAATGGAACAGGGACATAGATGCAAAGGAAATAAAAGGTCCAGATATGAATAGGGGAGGGAAGCAGAATGGACGGATCTCAGGAAGCATGTCATGTTTTACACTACTCTGTGAACACAACAGAAGAGGGAGCTCCAAAACCTTGAAACTAAAAAAGCTATTCTGGCCCACCTTTCCCACCTAAGTGTAAGAAAACTTAACTGCACTTAAAGAGCCACAGAAAAGGATTATAGTCAAATCTTATATGAGGTTATTATTTTTTTAAAAGGAGCAGAATAATACCCCTAAAATTAAAAGCACTCCAGAAAGATACATCCACAAATGAAAACTGTAACTTAATATTTCAAAACAAGTTTAAAAACATCATAGCAATGTAGCAGCTCTCAAAGTATGGTCCCTAAACCCCTGGAGGTCCCTGAGACATGTACAGGGGTCCACAAAGTTAAAACTACTTTTAAAGAATTATTTTCATAATAATATGAAGACACTAATTGCCTTTTTTTTTTTTTTTTTACAGTATTAACATTTACACTTATGGTGCAAGAGCAAAAGCTACTGGCACCTTGAGAATGAATCATGGCTGGGTGCAGTGGCTCATGTCTGTAATCCCAACACTTTGGGAGGCTGAGGTGGGCGGATCACTTGAGGTCAGGAGTTCGAGACCAGCCTGGCCAACATGGTGAAACCACGTCTCTACCAAAAATACAAAAATTAGCGAGGCATGGTGGCACATGCCTGTGATCCCAGCTACTCAGGAGGCTGAGGCAGAAGAATTGCTTCAGCCCAGGAGACAGGGGTTGCAGTGAGCCAAGATCGCATCACTGCACTCCAGCCTGGGCAACAGAGCGAGACTCTGTCCCTAAAAAAAAAAAAAAAAAAAAAAAAAAAAAAAAAAAAAAAAAAAAAATTCAGCTTCCAAGCAGAAATTAGAAATTTGAAAAGCTTGTATCTGCCACCATGAACCTGATGGCTTCTCAACACTTAAAAGGTTTTTCAAATGACATTGATGATGATATTAACAAACATGATTTTTAAACATTATATAATGAAATTTGTCAATATTTGGAAGATCTACATAACTTAGTGAGTCAATATTTTTCAAATGACCAATGTGTAACGTTACAAAATCATGCATGGGTAAAAGATTCATCCATATGTAAGATATACCAATAGATTCTGAAGTAACAGTACAAAAATTTCATTGATGTTGTTTCAGATTCCACATTCAACTAAACTTTAAGAAACTACCACTTGTCCTGTTTTCATATTGTATCAAAGAAGAATATAAAAAATTTGATGAAAGACTATTAAAATATTCCTTCCTTTTCCAATTACATTTCTGTATGAGGCCAGACTTTTTCACATATTTCAAGTAAAACAATATATCATAACAAATTAAATACAGAAGCAGGTATGAGAATCTAGCTGTCTTCTTTTAAACAAAACATTAAGGAGGTTTGCAAGAATATAAATCAGTGATACTTTCCTCACTATTTTTTTATTTTAGGAAATAGTTATTTTTCATAGAAATATTTATATTAACATAATGTCTATGTTATGGTTACCTATTAATAAATTAATAAATATTTTAAATTTTTCTCAGTTTTAATTTCTGTATGGTAGATATTAGTAGATATAGTCCACATTAACAAAAGCTCTTTGAGGTCCTCAATAATTTTTTTTTTTTTGAGATGGAGTTTCATTCTTGTTTCCCAGGCTGGACTGCAATGGTGCCATCTCAGCTCATCACAACCTCTGCCTCCTGGGTTCAGGCGATTCTCCTGCCTCAGCCTCCCAAGTAGCTGGGATTACAGGCATACGCCACCACACCCAGCTAATTTGTATTTTTAGTAGAGATGGAGTTTCTCCATGTTGGGCAGGCTGGTCTCAAACTCCCGACCTCAGGTGACCCGCCTGCCTCGGCGTTCCAAAGTGCTGGGAACCACCACGCCCAGCCCTCAATAATTTTTTAAGGTGTAAAGGGATCTTGAGACCCAAAAATGTGGAAATTAACTGAAAAATGTAAATTAGAATAGACAAATTCAGAAAGATGATTAGAAAAGAAAAAAAATTGAATACAGAGAAGACAGAATTCAAGAAATAATAAAAATTAGGCCGAGTGTGGTGGCTCACGCCTGTAATCCCAGCACTTTGGAAGGCCGAGGTGGGCAGATCACCTGAGGCCAGGAGTTTGAGACCAGACTGACCAACATGGCAAAACCCTGTCTCTACTAAAAATACAAAAAAATTATCTTGGCCTAGTGGCACACGCCTGTAATCCCAGCTACTCAGAAGGCTGAGGCAAGAGAATCACTTGAATCCAGGAGGTGGGGGCTGCAGTCGCACCATTGCACTCCAGCCTGGGCAACAAGAGTGAAACTCCTTCTCAAAAAAAAAAAAAAGAAAGAAAAGAAAAATAAAAGAAAGAAATAATAAAAATTAAAACGTCATTTTTGAAATGAAGACCAAATAATGAAAATAAGAGCACAAAAGAACAATAGAATAACTCCACTTCTGGGTATATATCCAAAAGAATTGAAAGCAAGGACCTGAACAGTATTTGTACACCAACATCCATAGCAGCATTATTCAAAATATCCAAAAGATGGAAACAACCCAAATGCCCATCAACAGATGAATGAATAAACAAAAATGTGGTATATCCACAAGAAGGACTATCACTCAGCCATAAAAAGGAATGATGGGCCTGGCATGGTGGCTCAAGTCTGTAATCCCAGCACTTTGGGAGGCCAAGGCAGGCAGATCATTTGAGGCCAGGAGTTTGAGACAAGCCTGGGCAACATAGTAGGACCCTGTCTCTACAAAAAATTAAAAAAATTAGCCGGGTGTGGTGGCACAGCCCAGTAGTCCTAGCTACTTGGTAGGCTGAAGTGGGAGGATCACTTGAAACCAAGAATTCCAGGCTACAGTGAGTCATGATGGCACCACTGCACTCCAACCTAGGCAACAAAGTAAGATTACCCTATTTCCATAAAAAAAAAAAAAGTAGGCAAAAGAAAAACTGGATGCAGTGGCACATACCTGTAGTCTCAGTTACTGGGGAGGCTGAGACAGGATTGCTTGAGTCCAGAAGTTCAAGTCCAGCCTGGGCAACATAGCAAGAACCTGTCTCTAAAAAGCAATAAAAATAAACCCCAAACCAGACACTCCACTAAACAAACATATGAAAAAAATGGTCAACATCATAAATCGTTAGGAAATTACAAATTAAAATGAGATACCACTATAAATTTGTTAGAATGGCCCAAATCTTAAAACTTTCACAATGCTAAATGTTGGTGAGGATGTGGGGCAAAAGGAACTCTCATTCATTGGGGGTGGGAATACAAAATGGTGAAGCCACCTGAGAAGACAACTTGGCAGTTTCTTGCAAAGCTAAACACAAGTAAATCCCTTGGTATTTACTCAAGCAAGTTGAAACTTTATGTCCACACCCAAACCTGCACATGAATGTTTACAGCAGCTTTCTTCATAATTACCAAAACTTGGGAGCAACCAAGATGTCCTTCAATAGGTAAATGGATAAGCAAACAATGGTACATCCACAGAGTGTAATACTATTCAGCAATAAAAAGAAATGGGCTATTAACCACGGAAAGACATGGAGGAGCCTTAAATACATATTGCTAAGTGAGAGAAATCAGTTTGAAAGGTTACATACTATATGATTCCAACTATATGACATTCTGAAAAAGGCAACAATAAAAAGACCAGTGGTTGGGCCGGGTGCGGTGGCTCACGCCTGTAATCCCAACACTTTGGGAGACCGAGACGGGCGGATCACCTGAGGCTGGGGGTTTGAGACCAGCCTGACCAACCTGGAGAAACCCTGTCTCTACTAAAAATACAAAATTAGCTGGGCGTAGTGGCACATGCCCGTAATCCCAGCTACTCGGGAGGCTGAGGCAGGAGAATCGCTTGAACCCGGGAGGTGGAGGCTGCCGTGAGCCAAGATCGTGCCACTGCATTCCAGCCTGGGCAACAACAGCGAAAGTCTGTCTCAAAAAAAAAAAAAAAGATCAGTGGTTGTCTGTTGCGGGAAGTCAGGGACCCCAAACAGAGGGACCAGCTGAAGCCATGGCAGAAGAACATAAATTGTGAAGGTTTCATGGACACTTATCACTTCCCCAATCAATACTCTTGTGATTTCCTATGCCTGTCTTTACTTTAATCTCTTAATTCCGTCATCTTCGTAAACTGAGGAGGATGTATGTTGCCTCAGGACCCTGTGATGATTGCATTAACTGCACAAATTGTTTGTAGAGCATGTGTGTTTGAACAATATGAAATCTGGGCACCTTGAAAAAAGAACAGGATAACAGCAATGTTCAGGGAACAAGAGAGATAACCTTTAAACTCTGATTGCCGGTGAGCCAGGTGGAACAGAGCCATATTTCTCTTCTTTCAAAAGCAAACAGGAGAAATATCGCTGAATTCTTTTTCTCAGCAAGGAACATCCCTGAGAAAGAGAATGCATCCCTGAAGGGAGGCCTCTAAAATGGCTGCTTTGGGGGCAGATGTCTTTTATGGTCACAGCTGTAGGATGAAATAAGCCCCGGTCTCCCGTAGTGCTCCCAGGCTTATTAGGACGAGGAAATTCCCACCTAATAAATTTTGGTCAGACCAGTTGTCTGCTCTCAAATCCTGTTTCCTGATAAGATGTTATCAATGACAATGCGTGCCTGAAACTTCATTAGCAATTTTAATTTCACCCCGGTCCTGTGGTCCTGTGATCTCGCCCTGCCTCCATTTACCTTGTGATATCTTATTACCTTGTGAAGCATGTGATCTATGTGACCCACCCCCTATTCGTACACTCCCTCCCCTTTTGAAAATCACTAATAAAAACTTGCTGGTTTTATGGCTCAGGGGGCATCACGGAACCTGCTGACATGTGATGTCTCCCCCAGACACCCAGCTTTAAAATTTCTCTCTTTTGTACTCTGTCCCTTTATTTCTCAGGCCGGCCGACACTTAGGGAAAATAGAAAAGAGCCTACGTGAAATATCGGGGGTGAATTTCACCTGATAGTTGTCAGGGGTTTGGGGTGAGGGAGGGATAAACAGATGGTGGGGCACAGGGGATTTTTAGGTTAGTAAAACTGTTATTATAATGGTGGACACGACTGGCCAGGCACGCTGGCTCATGCCTGTAATCCCAGCACTTTGGGAGGTTGGGGCAGGCAGATCACCTGAGGTTGGGAGTTCGAGACCAGCCTGGCCAACATGGTGAAACCCCGTCTCTACTAAAAATACAAAAATCAGCCAGGCATGGTGGCACACGCCTGCAGTCCCAGCTACTTGGGAGGCTGAGGCATGAGAATCACTTGAACCCAGGAGGCGGAGGTTGCTGTGAGCCGAGATCGTGCCACTGCATTCCAGCCTGGGCAACAGAACAAGACTCTGCCTCAAAAAATAAAAAATAATGGTGGACGGCCAGGCGCGGTGGCTCACGCCTGTAATCCCAGCACTTTGGGAAGCCGAGGCGGGCGGATCACGAGGTCAGGAGATCGAGACCATGGTGAAACCCGGTCTCTACTAAAAATATGAAAAATTAGCCGGGCACAGTGGCAGGCACCTGTAGTCCCAGCTACTCGGGAGGCTGAGGCAGGAGAATGGTGTGAATCTGGGAGACAGAGCTTGCGGTGAGCCGAGATCCACGCCACTGCACTCCAGCCTGGGCAACAGAGTGAGACTCCATCTCAAAAAAATAAATAAATAAAAATAATAATAATAATGGTGGACACGACATAATTGTCAAAAACCATAGAACTGTACAACACAAAAAATGAGCTCTAATGTAAACTATGGACTTTAGTTAATAATCGCATCAATATTGGTTCATAAATTGTAATATATCACAATAATGCAAGATATTAAAATTAAGGGAAACGGGGTGGGTGGGGAGAGGTGCAAGGAAGGTAAGCGTATATGAGAACTCTCTGTACTTTATGCCCAATTTCTCTGTAAACCTAAAACTGCTCTAAAAAATAAAGTCTATTAATTTTTTTAAAAAAGGAATGAAGTATTAATACATGCTAAAACATGAATGAATAATGAAAATACTATGCTAAGTCAAAGAAGCCAGACAGAAAAGGCTACATATTATATGATTCCAATGATATGAAATACCCAGAAGAGGCAAATCCACAGAGACAGAAAGCAGTTTACTGGTTGCCAGGAGCCAGGGGTAGTGGGAAATGAGGTGTGACTGCCTAATGGGTTGATGAAAATGTTCTGGAACTATATATAGGTAGCAATGATGCTTGCACAACATTGTAAATGTACAAAATGACCCTGAATTGTATATTTTTTAAATGGGGCTACGTGTGGTGGCTCATGCCTGTAATTTCAGCACTTTGGGAGGCGGAGGCAGGTGGATCACTTGAAGTCAGGAGTTCAAGACCAGCCTGGCCAACATGGTGAAACCCTGTCTCTACTAAAAACACAAAAATTAGCAGGGTATGGTGGGACGTGCCTGCAGTCCCACCTACTCAGGATGCTGAGGCAGGAGAATCACTTGAACCTGGGATAGAGGTTGCAGTGAGCTGAGGTCGGGCCACTGCACTGCAGCCTGGGCAATAGGGCAAGATTCTTATCTCAAAATAAATAAATAAATACTAAAACGGTGAACTTTATAGTATGTGAATTATATCTTTTTAAAATGCACCCATCTCTACAAAAAAAGAAAAAATTAGCTGGGCATGGTGGTGCACACCTGTAGTCCCAGCTACTCAGTAGGCAGAGTCAGGAGGATTGCTTGAGCCCAGGAGGTCGGGACTGCAGTGAGCCATGATCATGCCACTGCACTCCAGCTTGGGCAACAGAATAAGACCATGTTTTTTTTAAAAAAAAATAAATAAATAAAATAAATAAATAAATAAAATTTTCCTGACTTTGAGGGCAGTGTATTGGTAATTCTGTGGTATGTTATGATCTAACACCCTGAGAGTCTGTTAACATGGGACAAAAGCTAAGGACAATTATGGTTTCCATCAATGACCCACAGCATTTCTCATGCCTTTCACTGCAGTCTATTTTGAAGAGCAGACATTTTAACATTTTAAGAAGGAATGTGAATTATTAAAATGATAAACTGCCACAAAGACAAACATTCTTTAATGATTCACATGAATGCATGTCTTAAGAGGTTATGCATTTCGTTTCAGTGTTTATTTATTTATTTATTATTTTTTTTTGAGACGGAGTCTCGCTCTGTCACCCAGGCTGGAGTGCAATGGCACCATCTTGGCACACTGCAAGCTCTGCCTCCCAGGTTCACGCCATTCTCCTGTCTCAGCCTCCCAAGTAGCTAGGACTACAGGCGCCCACCACCATGCCCAGCTAATTTTTTTGTATTTTTAGTAGAGACAGGGTTTCATCATGTTAGCCAGGGTTGTCTCGATCTCCTGACCTCGTGATTCGCCCTCCTCAGCCTCCCAAAGTGCTGGGATTACAGGCGTAAGCCACCGCGCCTGGCCGTTTCAGTGTTTATAAAGAGTGAAGACAAATCAGAGAACAAATCAAACACTGCACAGCATAGATGCCAAGAATAAAAGAATGATCTTCCAATTTTAATATATGGGTTACATAACCCCAGTGGGCAAAAATTTGCTATTTGAAAATAACAAATCAAGTAGTCTCTCTAATGAAAACCATTTACAGCTCATTTGGAAATTGAATTAACAACCTTTAACAAAGCTTATTTATAATGACAATGAATGTTTCTAATAAATAAAACTTTTTCTTTTTCTTTTTTTTTTTGAGATGGAGTTTCGCTCTCTTTGCCCAGGCTGGAGTGCAATGGTGTGATCTTGGCTTACTGCAACCTCCGCCTTCAGGGTTCAAGCGATTCTCCTGCCTCAGCCTCCCAAGTAGCTGGGATTACAGGCATGTGCCACCCCGCCCAGCTAATTTTTATATTTTTAGTAGAGATGGGGTTTCAACATGCTGGCCAGGCTGGTCTCAAACTCCCAACCTCAGGTGATCCACCCCCCTCGGCTTCCCAAAGTGCTGGGATTACAGGCGTGAGCCACTACACCTGGCCATAAAACTTTTTTAAAAAGACCTCAGGAGTCAACTTGAAAGATCACCTATTAACTAAAGTTAGGATAAACTGAACATCAATTATGATAAGAACTATAATGGATTAAAACTTACATTGAAATATATTGCTATGGTTTGAACGTCCCCTCCAAAACTCATGATGAAATGTATTAATTTATTCAGAGATAGGGCCTTGCTCTGTCAACTAGGCTGGAGGGCAGTAGCACTATCATAGTGCACTGCAGCCTAAAACTCCTGGGGTCAGAGGATCCTTCCACTTCAGCCTCCTGAGTAGCTGGGACTACAGGTACACACCACCAACACCCAGTTAATTTTTAAATTTTTTGTAGAGACAGGATCTTGCTGTGTTGCCCAGGCTGGTCTCAAATACCTGGCCTCATCCTCCTCCCTGGCCTTCCAAAGTGTGTAAGCCGCCATGCCCAGCTTTCATGTTGAAACGTAATTGCCAATGTAACAGCACTGCGAGGTGGGGCCTCTAAGAGGTGATTAGGTCAACGGTGGCTTCATGCTGTTATCATGGAGTTAGTTATCACGGGAGTTAGCTATCCTAATAAAGGAATTAGTTCAGTCTTCTCTCTCTCTCTCTCTCTCTCTCTCTCTCTCTCTCTCTCTCTCTTTCTCTCTCACATCTCACACATGCACCTTCTGCCCTTCCACCATGGAATGACCCTCACCAGATGTTGGCACCATGCTCTTGGACTTCTCAGCCTCCAGAACCATGAGCCAAATCAACTTCTGTTCTTTATAAATTACCTAGTCTATGGTATTCTGTTATGACAAGAGAAAAGGGACTAAGACATTTATTTATTTATTTATTTATTTAGACTGAGTCTCAGTCTTTCGTCCAGGCTGAAGTGCAGTGGTGCGATCTCAGTTCACTGCAACCTCTGCTTCCCAGGCTCAAGTGATTCTCCTGCCTCAGCCTCCTGAGTAGCTGGGATTATAGGCACCTGCCACCATGCCGGGCTAATTTTTTTTGTATTTTTAGTACAGATGAGGTTTCACCATGTTGGACAGACTGGTCTTGAACTCCTGACCTCAGGTGATCCATCCTCCTTGGCCTCCCAAAATGCTGGGATTACAGGCGTGAACGACCATGCCCAGCCCTAAGACATATATTTAAATCGATGAGTTTATAATGATACTGAGAAAGCAAAACAGTCCTCACTGGTCACCTTTGGAGAATGCTAAGAAAATAACTCATCATTCTGAAAGCTGGCATATAAGGTGAAAACAAATCAAGCTTTTATGCTGCCTTTCCTATACAAACTGTACCTCAGGATAAGCAAACAGTTGATGTGAGGAAATTTCTCTTTATAGAAGTATTACAGTTAATGAAGAAAAATGAAAGAAATAGACAATTACCATTTTGCAATCCCTAATGAATTAACTTAGGTAATCATATTCAGTGGCTGATATCACGAAAAGAAAGAACACTAGGCACCATATACTTCCTAACATAAACATACACCATTACCTATGAAATCGTCTTGTGAAAAAAAAAAAATCCAACCTGAATCTGATTAAGCCTCATCTAACTACCAATTCATAGGAAGTACAGGGAACACGGGAAAATGTTTAACATCTTAGGAATGCAATGAGCAAAGTTCAGGTTATAGTAAACTCTTTCAAAGCCAGTTTCTTCAAAAACAATTGAAAATGCGAGGGAAAAAAAATGGGGAGCCTACAGATCAAATAAGACTTAAGACATACATCAACCAATTGCAATATATGGACCATATACGGATTCTTATTTTATTTTATTTTTTAGATGGAGACTTGCTCTGCCACCCAAGCTGGAGTGCAGTGACGCGATCTCAGCTCACTACAACCTCCGTCTCCCGGGTTCAAGCGATTCTCCTGCCTCAGCCTCCCAAGTAGTTGGGATTACAGGTGTGAGCCACCATGTCCAGCTAATTTTTGTATTTTTAATAGAGATGGGGTTTCACCATGTTGGCCTGGCTGGTCTTGAACTCCTGGCCTCAAGTGATCCACCCACCTTGGCCTCCCAAAGTGCTGGGATTACAGGCATGAGCCAACGCACCCGGCCATGGATTCTAATTTTAAAAAATTATAGGACAACTGGGGAAATAAGAACACTAGTTAGATATTTCATGATATCAAGAAATCACTGTTCACTTTAGGAGGCTGAGTCACTTGAGGTCAGGAGTTCAAGACTAGCCTGGCTAGCATGGTGAAACCCCGTCTCTACTAAAAATACAAAAAAATTAGCCAGGCATGGTGGCACATGCCTGAAATCCCAGCTACTCAGGAAGCTGAGGCAGGAGAATTGCTTGAACCCTGGAGGCAGAGGTTGCAGTGAGCTGAGATCATGCCACTGCACTCCAGCCTGGGCAACAGAGCCAGACTCCATCTCAAAAACAAAACAAAACCAAAAAAAGAAATTACTGTTAAATTTTTTAGGTTGCATATGTGACTTTTTTTTAAAGTAATCTTAGCTTTTAAAAATACATACTGGCCAGGTGCTGTGGCTTGCACTTATAATCCCAACTCTTAGGGAGGCTGAGGTGGGTGGATCACTTGAGGTCAGGAGTTCAAGACCAGCTTGGCCAACATGGCAAAACCCTGTCACTACTGAAAATACAAAATTAGCCGGGCGTGGTGGCGGGTGCCTGTAGTCCCAGCTACTTGGGAGGCTGAGGCAGAAGAATCGCTTGAAATGCGGAGGTGGAGATTACAGTGAGCCGAGATCACGCCACTGCCCTAGAGCCTGGGTGACAGAGCAAAACTCTATCTGAAAAATAATAAAAACAATAAATAAATAAAATACTACTGAAATATTTATGGAGGAAATCACATACTTGGAATTTGCTTCAAAATAGTCAGTGTAGGGGGTTGGAGGTGGGTGGAGGATAGGTGAGGTATACGTGAAAGAAGCTTGGCCATGAATTGATGATAACTGTTGAGGTAGGCTAATAGAGTTCATTATTCTGTTATCTCTACTCTTGTATATATTTGAAAATTGCCATAATATAAAATTATAAAATAAGTGATAAATGCTTATATATGTAGAGAATATTTCTGGAAAACTATCCAAGATACTGGTAACAGTAATTGCCTTTAGGAAGGGGAACTAGGCCTATGAGACGGGGATGGGGGAGTAAAGACTTTCTTCTCACTGTACAATTTTTATTTTATTTATTTATTTTTTCGAGACGGAGTCTCACTCTGTCACCCAGGCTGGAGTGCAGTGGCGCGATCTCGGCTCACTGCAAGCTCCGCCTCCTGGGTTCACGCCATTCTCCTGCCTCAGCCTCCCGAGTAGCTGGGACTACAGGCGCCCGCCACCATGCTCCGCTAATTTTTTTTGTATTTTTAGTAGAGACGGGGTTTCACTGTGTTAGCCAGGATGGTCTCGATCTCCTGACTCGTGATCCGCCCGCCTCGGCCTCCCAGAGTGCTGGGATTACAGTCGTGAGCCACCGCGCCTGGCCCTCACTGTACAATTATTATATTACCCACAGAATAAATTAATTGAATTATTTTAACAGTCAAAATGAGTAAATATTACATATTTCCCCCCTCTACCAAATTAATCATTAGACTACCGACATGCTCTAGTATATCCTTCCTGTTCTGTTCTTGACTGCACATCATACGCTTCAGCTACCATCTATTTCTGCAGTCTCTTTTACAGCTAAAATTTTCAGCAAAAGTTCTTACTTTCACTGTCTCTTCCCCTCAAATATCATTTCCCTTTTTCATCCCACTCCAATCTGGTTTCCCTCCTCCCCACCCTCCCAAAACTCCCTCTGTCAAGGTCACCAGTAAGTTCCATGTTGCTAAATCTAACAGACACTCTGCATTTAAGTTGCTCAGCCTGTCAATAGCATTTGGCACAGTTGGCCATTGCTTGCTCGATACACTACCCCTTCTCAAATTCCAAGATACCACATTCTTCCTCTATACAACCTCTAAACACTGAAATATTCCAAGGTTGAGTCTTAAGCTTTCTTTCACTTCTCCATCGACATTCTCTCCTTAGCTGAGTTCATCCACTCCCGTAGCTTTAAATACCACCTATTGCTAATGTCTCCAAAATTTTCATCTCTAACCCTGACCTCTCCTCTGAGGTCCAGACCCATATATCCAACTGCCTACTAGGTACCTTACACTTGGATGTCTAATAGACATTTTATTATTTATTTATTTTATTTATTATTATTATTTTTGAGATGGAGTCTCGCTCTGTCGCCCAGGCTGCAGTGCAGTGGTGCGATCTCGGCTAACTGCAACCTCCGCCTCCCGGGTTCAAGCGATTCTCCTGCCTCAGCCTCCCGAGTAGCTGGGATTATAGACTTGAACCACCACGCCGGGCTAATTTTTGTATTTTAGTAGAGACGGGGTTTCACCATGTTGGCCACGCTCAGGTGATCCACCCGCCTCCGCCTCCCAAAGTGCTGGGATTACAGCGGTCAGCCACCGCCCCCCGCAGTTCTGTCACCTGCGGCAGGGTCCCCTGTTAACCTTGTTTCTCCTTCCCTACTTCACACTCCCCTCTTCTCTCTCAATTCCTCGGGCTCTGCCCCACACCCTCCCGTTACTTCAGTTCCTCCACCTCCACCTCCCTCTAACCTTCTGCCTCAAGTTATCCCCCCGCCCCCCAGCCTCAGGTACCGCTTCTCTGTGGTTCCCTCGCCTCTATCTCAGGTTCCCCGCCTTCCACTTCAGTTTTCTTTCCACAGCTTCTGACCCTACGTTCCCAGTCCACACCCTCCCGGCCAGACCCTACCCGGCTGCTCCAGCGTCAGCGCCCCCAGGCGGCGAATGCCTTCCTCGTCCAGCTCCCATTGCTCCGCCATCCCCGCCCGCCGCTCACCTGCCACCGCCCGCGAGACCACCCGGCGCACGCCAGGCCCCGCCCACTGCCCCGCCCCCCGCGCGCGCGCCGCCGCGACCCCGGGAACCGTTATTGGCCGGGTCACAAGCCCGCCCGCCCGCTGCTGGAGCCGCGACCATGGTACGGAGCCCGCTCTGGCGGGGGCGCCAAAAGCACCAAAGCGGCGAATGGGGGCCGCTGTGGCCAAGGATTGGGGCTAAGTGGTTCGAGACCTGGCTCTGGGGCATGGGAGAGAGCGAGGGGCCCCCAGCCGGGAAGGATTTGGGGGGCTGGCTCTGAGGAGTTAGAATAACGCTCTGTCTTGAGGGATGAAGTGTTCTGGCTCTGAGGATGTGGGGGACTCCGGTTCTGAGGGCTGGGCGTGTGCCCCTTTGACGGGGTGGTCTTCATATCTCAGCGCTGGGGGATGCTGACTTTGGGGCAAGGCGAGGGTGTGTGTGAAGGGGAGATCCAAATCTGAAGGATTGGAGCGTGGGGACAGAACTCTAAGGCATGATGGGGAGCTCCAGATCTGAAAGGTTGGGAATCCTGGCTCTGAGGAGTTGGGGTCCTGTCTTTAGAGCATGAGGAAGTTCTAGCTCTAGAAATTGACTTGGACGGGCTGGGCGCGGTGTCTCACGCCTGTAATCCCAGCACTTTGGGAGCCCGAGGTGGGCGGATCACCTGAGGTCAAGAGTTCAAGACCAGCCTGGCCAACATGGTGAAACCCCATCTCTACTAAAAATACAAAAATTAGCCGGGTGTGGTGGCACGGCCTGTAGTCCCAGCTACTCGGGAGGCTGAGGCAGGAGAATCGCTTGAACCCGGGAGGTGGAGGTTGCAGTGAACCGAGATTGCACCACTGCACTCCAGCCTGGGCGACCTGAGTGACAGAGCCAGACCTTGTCTCAAAAAAAAAAAAAAAAAAAAGGTAAGAAATTTACTTGGACGGAGCTTCTTCGGGGGAGAAGGATCAGCGTGGGAAAGAGAGAAGCTCTTTGTAATGGGGTGGGGATGACTGCTTTAGGGCTACCCCGTTTCCTGAAGTCAGTCCGGCAAGAAGCCTTTTGTCTTTCAAGCACCACAGGTTCCCCTAAGCTTGCCTGTGACTGAGGGCTGTCGCCAGGCTGCGATAGCTCTGCACTAACCAGCCCCTGAGTAGTCTTTGGGAAAGAACAGCCGCATCCCTAACCCCTACCCTCACTCCAGCAGGCACTTAAGAGCCCACCTGTGGATGGGACATGTATGTAAGAAGGAGCCAGGACCCTCTTGTCACACCCTATCCTTAACAAGAAAAGAGGGTGGGCTGGGCGTGGTGGCTCACGTCTGTAATCCCAGCACTTTGGGAGGCCGAAGCATGTGGATCACGAGGTCAGGAGATCGAGACCATCCTGGCTAACACAGTGAAACCCCATCTCTACTAAAAATACAAAAATAAAACAAAATAAAATAAAATAAAATAAAATAAAGCCGGGCGTGGTGGCGGGCGCCTGTAGTCCCAGCTACTTGAGGAGGCTGGAGGCTGAGGCAGGAGAATGGCGTAAACCCGGGAGGTGGAGCTTGCAGTGAGCCAAAATCGTGCCACTGCACTCCAGCCTGGGCTAGAGAGCGAGACTCCGTCTCAAAAAAAAAAAAAAAGAAAAAAAGAAAAAAAGAAAAAAAAGAAAGAAAGAAAAGAGGAACTGAGACCAGAACTGGGGCTCACCTTCGAGAAGTAGGTTTTCTTTGGCATCCAACATCTGCACACTCTGAGCACCCCCATTGAGCTCTCAGCCACCTTTAAGGAGAACAGAAAGCAGAATCAAGGGTCCTTCCTTGCATATTTATGCTTTCTGGTCTATGTGAGACCCTTAGTCACTCCATTTGTTACATTCAGCCTTTGCCTGAACATGAACTTGTAGAAAGGCTTTTAGAAGGGCTGGGACTTAGAATTCTAGGTTAGCTCATTAGATTGACTTTTCTGGCTCTGCTTCTGTCAGTTATGCAATCATTTCACAATTTGTCATATTTCTCTTATTACCCCCTTTAACTCTTCTAGTCTCAAATGTGGCATATATAATTGCTCTTCTTTATGTCTGAATATTGCTGTGGGAGAGATGGACCCCATCCCATTCTTTCTTGCATGCATTTATTTTCCTTCCTCAGCTGTCAGAATGGGAAATGCAGGTTCTTTCTGGAGCAGGGAGCTTTTCCTTTCTTAAGTAATCACCTCTTACTTTAACACTGTTTTTCCCCCACGAACGTCTTAATGCAATTTTATAAACACAGAAAGATTGAAAGAATTGTACAGTGAGCACCATATATCCACCACCTGCATTCTACAATCAACATTTTGCTCATATTTGTTTTATCACATGTCCATCTAGCAATCCTATCTGTCCATCAATCTGTCTTTTTTAAATTCATCTCAAAATAAATTGCAGATATCAGTACATTGCAGTCCAATCACTTCAGCCTGCATAATTTTTAATTAGAATTCGATATTGTTTTATGGTTCTTTTTAGGTAAAATTCTATATACTATTTACTACCCTTTAAAAAATATTTTTACAAGGGTAGTGCCCTTTATTTTAAAATTTGATATGGATGGTTTGTATGTTTGATGGCTCTCTACTTTTCCATCGTATTGATAAACTAGGTCATCTTGAAACAAAGAAGACAATTCACTTATAAATAGATGACCTTAAACTTTTTTTTCAACAACCTCTTGTCCAACAGATGTACAGATGACCTTAAACTTTTTTTTCAACAACCTCTTGTCCAACAGATATACAGATGACCTTAAACTTTTAACAATGAGCTGAGGAAGGTTAGTGATCTTTGCTGCCTTTGTATATATGAAAAGGTATCTATAGCATTCATCCTCCAGTAATGTAATGTCTCTGCAGGTAAGATCCCAAGAGAGTTCTGCATGCGCTCCATGGAATGGACAGTACCTCATCTTTTTTTTTTTTTGTAGATCTATTGAGATATAATTCACATACCATACAATTCACACATTTTAATGTGTACAATTCAGTGAGTTTTAGTATGTTCAGAGTTGTGCAACTATCATCACAATCAATTTTAGAACATTTTCACCATCCCCAAAAGAAATCCCATACTCATTAGTAGTCACACCCCATCTCCCCATAGCCTCTCCAGCCCTAGGCAACCACTAATCTATTTTCTATCTCTAGAAATTTGCCTTGTCCACACATTGCATGTGGATGGAATCATATGTGATTTTTTGTTTGGCTTCTTTCCCTTGGCATAATGTTTCGAATTTCATCCATGTTGTTATCATGTATCAGTACTTCATTCCTTTTTATTTTTTATTTTTTTAGAGACGTGCCTCACTCTGACGCCCAGGCTGGAGTGCAATGGCACGATCACAGCTCACTGCAGCCTCAAACTCCTGGGCTCAAGTGAATCTCCTGCCTCAGCCTTCCAAAGTGCTGGGATTACAAGCACAAGCCACCATGTTCATCCCATTCCTTCGTATTGACAAACAATATTCCATTGTGTGGATATACTACATTTTGTTTACTCATCTGTCAGTTGATGGACATTAGGTTTATTCCAACCTTTTGGCTATTATGTTCTATGAACATTAGTCTAGAAATTTTGGTGTGGACATATGTCTTTATTTGTCTTAAGTGTACACCTAGGAGTGGAATTGCTGGCTCATAGTAGAATAACTCCATGCTTTACATTTTCAGGACCCACCAAACTGTTTTCCAAAGTGCCTGCACCATTTTACACCTCCACCAGCAGTGCATGGGGGTTCTGGTTTCTTTGTCGACACTTGTTATTACCTATTGTTTTCATTGTAGCCATACTAATGGGTGTGAAGTAGTATTCTGTTGTGGGTTTTGATTTGCATTTCTCTGATGACTAAGGATGTTGAGCATCTTTTTTCGTTCTGTTGGTCATTTGTATATATTCTTTGGAGAGATGTCTATTTAGATGCTTTGCCAATTTTTAAATTTGGTTGTCTTTTTGTTATTGAGTTTAAGAGTTCTTTATATATTCTAAAAACAAGTTCTTTATCAGACAAATGATTTGCAAATATTTTGTTCCATTCTGTGAGTTATCTTTTCACCTTCTTGATGGTGCCCTCTAAAGCACAAATGTTTTTAAATTTTGATTAAGTTCCATTTATCTATTTTTTTGGTCACTTTTGCTTTTAGTGTCACATCTAAGAAAGTTTTGCCTACTCCAAAGTCATGAAGATTTTCTATTTTCTTCTAAAGATTTTATGGTTTTAGGCTGGGTGCAGTGGCTCACGCCTGTAATCCCAGCACTTTGGGAGGCCAAAGCAGGTGGATCACGAGGTCAGGAGATCGAGACCATGCTGGCTAACACAGTAAAACCCCATCTCTACTAAAAATACAAAAAATTAGCCGGGCGTGGTGGCGGGTGCCTGTAGTCCCAGCTACTCAGGAGGCTGAGGCAGGAGAATGGAGTGAACCCGGGAGGTGGAGTTTGCAGTGAGCCGAGATTGTTACCACTACACTCCAGGCTGGGTGATACAGCGAGACTCCGTCTCAAAAAAAAAAAAAAAAAGATTTTATAGTTTTAGGTCTGTTTCACTTGCAGCTAATTTTTGTGTATGGGTTGAGGTAGGGGTCCAACTTTATTATTATTGTTATTATTATCTTTTATGCATATGGATGGGCAGTTGTCCCAGCACCATTTTTAATAAGGACTATTCTTTGTCCATTGAATCATCTTGGATTGCTTATCAAAATTCAATTGATCATAAGTGTAGGGGTTTTAT
The DNA here is from genome assembly GCF_000001405.40 of Homo sapiens. Classification (NCBI taxonomy): domain Eukaryota; kingdom Metazoa; phylum Chordata; class Mammalia; order Primates; family Hominidae; genus Homo; species Homo sapiens. The sequence goes on along the minus strand of NC_000016.10, from coordinate 67,322,084 downwards.
TCTGTACTCTCAATTCTATTCCACTTATCTTTATATTTATCCTTATGCTGGTAGCACACTGTCTTGATCTAGCTTTGAAATAAGTTTTAAAAGTGTGGGATGTGAGGGTGATCTGGCTGTGACATCTGTCACTCCATTGATTGCCAGGGTTGATTTGGCTGATCTGGCTGTCTAGGCGGGTGTCCCCTTCTTCCCTCAACGCTCCACGTGCGTCCCTCCTGAAGCTGCGTGCTCAGTCAAAGAGGACGACCATCCCCAATAAAGGAGGACCAGTCTTCAGTCAAGGGTATACAAGTATCTGCTCTTCCTAGCTAGAACCTCCAAACAAGTTCTTAAGATCCGTTGTAGGAGAACGTAGGGTAGTCAAGCTTCCAAGACTTCAGACACATCCTAATGAGGCGCTGCATGTGGCAGTCTGCCTTTAAAAAAAAAAAGTGGGAAATGTGACTTCTTAAACGTTCTCCTTTTTTCAAGACTGTTTTAGCTATTCTGGATCCCTTGTATTTTCATATGAATTTTAGCATCAGTTTTTCAATTTTTGCAAAAAGTCAGGATTTTCACAGAGATTGTGTTGAATTTGTAAATCAATTGGGAGACTATTGCCATCTTAACGATATTAAATCTTCCAATCCATGAGCATGAGATATTTTTTCATTTATTTAGGTCTTTTAAATTTTCAACAATGTTTTGAAGTTTCCAGTGCACATGTATTTCATTCTTTTGTTAAATTTATTCCTAAGTATGTTATTTTTGATGCTATTGTAAATGGAATTGAATTGTTTTCTTAATTTCACTTTCAGATTGTTCATTGCTGAAGTATAAAAATACAACATTTTTAAATATTGCTCTGCATCTTTCAACCTTGTTGGGCTCATTTTTTTGTTTGTTTTTCTTTTTTGAGACAGGATCTTGCTCTGTTAGGCCAGAGTACAGTGGCACAATCATAGCTCACTGCAACCTCAAACTCCTGGTCTCAAGCCACCTTCCCACCTCAGGCTCCCAAAGTGCTTGGATTACAGGTGTGAACCACCATGCCTGGCCTGGACTTATTTCTAATAGTTTTCTGGTGAATTCCTTAGGATTTTTTATATACAAGATCATGTCATCAGCAAACAGAGATAGTTTATTTCTACCTTTTCAATCTGGATGCCTTTTTATTTCTTTTTCTTGCGTAGATCTCTTTTTCATTCCCCCTTTAGGAGGAGTCTGGCATGGCTCATGAATCAGCAGAGGACTTGTTTCATTTCAACGTAGGGGGCTGGCATTTCTCAGTTCCCAGAAGCAAACTCTCTCAGTTTCCAGACTCCCTGCTGTGGAAAGAGGCTTCAGCCTTGACCTCTTCAGAAAGCCAGAGGCTATTTATCGACAGAGATGGTTCCACATTTAGGCACGTGCACTATTACCTCTACACCTCCAAACTCTCCTTCTCCAGTTGTGCAGAACTGAACTTGCTGTATGAGCAAGCATTGGGTTTGCAGCTGATGCCTTTGCTGCAGGTAAGATGCTCTTGTTTTCTGGGAGTGGTGGATCAGTAACATGGCTTTACATCACTAAATATTGTTTCCTGTTATATATTGGTTGCTGAGATGACCCTCTTAATGGGCAAATGTAATAAGTGTGTTAAAGTAATAAATAATTTCCTCATTAGTATAGGGGTGAGTAAAAAGGAAAAAAAAGTAATAAACAATACACTGAAATTACCTGCTTTTGTTTTTTCGAGACAGGGTGTCTGCTGCAATCACAGCTCACTGCAACCTCCACCTCCCAAGCCCAAAGGATCTTCCCACCTCCCACCTCAGTCCCTCTGAGTAGCTGGGAACACAGGTGCATGCCACCATGCCCGGCCAATCCTTTCCATGTTGACCAGATTGGTCTTGAACTCCTGGGCTCAAGTCGTCCTCTCTAATTGGCCTCCCTAAGTGCTCCCTCAGCCTCCCTAAGAGCTGGGATTACCGGCATGAGCCACTACACCCCGCCTATATGTTCTTAATAAATGATTTCATCCCAACTGTGCTTTAGTTAGACTAGCAGCCACCATGGACCCAGAATGGGATTTACTATCCACTGAGAGGGTGCCCCTGGCTCTTGAAAATCCTATATTAAGCTACTTCTTGTTTTTTGTTTTTTGAATCTTAAAAGGAGAACACTTTAGATATTTTAGGATTTGCTATGTACATCATGTCTGAGATTTAAAATCTAAAAGATTTATCAAGAATATCACCTCTCATTGTGTCTGTTAGGTACACAACATGCATTTACACCAAAGCAAAAAGTTCTAATCTTGGGCCAAATGTCAAGAGAGAGAAAAAAAAAAACAAGTTCTGCAGAATCTTTCCTTTACCATCACTTCTTTGTCTTCCAAGAAACTTTATTATTATTATTATTATTATTATTATAAGAGCTTTAAATACCTTTACTTATAAACCATTAAAGTACTGCTAAAAACATTACCTTTCTTTCCTAATTTTTCTCCAAGCCACAGAAATCATTTTTGTGGCTGATCTTAAGTAGTTTATTCAGTAGTTTTTGAACAATTCTTTTTAACCTGGAAGAACTAAATATTACAACTGGGAAGGACCATTGAACATCCTCCGTATTAATCCTACCATCTGTACAAGGTGTTTATTCCGTCTCTATCAGCACTAACCCAACAAGCTGCAGTGTAGCTCAGTGTACCACCAACTGTGCCTCAACACTTTTTAGAAGAAAATTGAGATAGATCATGCGTATCTGGGCCATAGAGGAATGAGAACATTTCATAGTGCATGTTTTCATGGATGCTTACTAAATAATTCAGTGTTTTCTCTTAAAAGTCATTCTATATTTGGAAATCAGAAATTTTCTTTTTTTTTTTTTTCTTCGAGATGGAATTTCGCTCTTGTTACCCAGGCTGGAGTGCAATGGCGCCATCTCGGCTCACTGCAACCTCCGCCTCCCAGGTTCAAGTGATTCTCCTGCCTCAGCCTCCTGAGTAGCTGAGATTACAAGCACCCGCCACCACTCCTGGCTAATTTTTGTATTTGTAGTAGAGACGGGGTTTCACTATATTGGCCAGGCTGGTCTCGAACTCCTGACCCCAGTTGATCCACCCGCCTCAGCCTCCCAAACTGCTGGGATTATAGGCGTGAGCCACCGCACCTGGCCTAAAAATTCTTAATATACTACCAGGCAAGTTGTTGTATTTTTTTTTCTTTTTCAAGCTACCTTCTTGAATTTAATTTTTTTTTCAACTGCCCCAGGAATGGAGTACTAGAATTGTTTACAAGTGGCTTCAAAACCACTTAAATGGCCTGTCATGACAGGATTGCTGATGACTCTACGCCAAGGCATCATTTTGAGGTAGAAGGGAGGGAGTAACTTGCTTGTTGCAGAAAATCAGAGATCAAGGCAATTTTTAAAGAACATGTTAAAGAATACAAGCCTATTCTACAGTGTATTAAGCCCTTTAAACCCTTTGCTGTCCTCACTTCCCAAATTGAAACAAAATATATCAAGGAAGCAGCTTCTTTTTTTTTTTTTTTTTTTTTGAGATAGAGTCTTGCTCTGTCCCAGGCTGGAGTGCAGTGGCGCTATCTCGGCTCACTGCAACCTCCACCTCCTGAGTTCAAGCAATTCTCCTTCCTCAGCCTTCAAGTAGTGGGATTACAGGCTTGTGCCACCATGCCTGGCTAATTTTTGTGTTTTTAGTAGAGACAGGGTTTCACCATGTTGGCCAGGCTAGTCTTGAACTCCTGAGCTCAAGCGATCCTCCCGCCTTGGCCTCCCAAAGTGCTGGGATTACAGGCATGAGCCACCGCGCCCAGCCACAAGCAGCTTCTAAATGGGGGGCTGCTCCTCAGAAGCCAATGGGTTGGTCCAATTCCAAAGTTCCACATTGTGTGAGGAGTAGAAGTATTTGAAGAATCATGTGGCTCTGCCTCCCTAAAAAAAGACTGTAAAGCAAGTGCTTACACTTTGAAAATGGTGTTGTCAAAGAAATAAATATTTGAGTTGGCCCAAGTGAAATGGTGTTTATTTCTTGAAGCAGAGTGTAAATACAGCTGGGAACCAACAGTCACCTCAAGCTAATCAACAGCTTCACACATTTCCACCACTTTCCCACTGCTAAGGTCTATCAGATACTCAGATTTTTTTACTAAATGAGCAAACACTTTGCTTGGAGAAATTGGAGTTTGCCAATTCTTAGTCTTTAGACTCTACTCAGGCAGCCCAACTTAATGCATTCACCCAGTATTTATGAAGAGCATTCTGGGTTCCAGGCATTATTCCTGTGGGCTTTGGGGAAAACATAGGATGATCCAATAAAAATATAATGTGAGCGACGTATGTGAGCCACTTATGTAATTTTATACTTTCTATAGCCACATCTAAAACAGTAAAAAGAAACAGATGACATCAATTTAATAATATATTATTATACTCAAAATATTAACTGTATATTCAAAGTATTATTCAATATATTCAGAATGTTATTTCAACATGTAATCAATATTTAGAAATTGAGAAATTTTACATTCTTTGTACCGTGTTCAAAATCTGTTGTTTTATACTTACAGCACATCTCAGATTCAGACTGTCACATTTCTTTCTTTTTTTTTTTTCTTTTGGAGACAGAGTCTCACTCTGTCGCCCAGGTGAGAGTGCAGTGGTGCTATCTCGGCTCATGGCAACCTCCGTTTTCTGGTTCAAGAGCTTCTCATGCCTCAGCCTCCCAAGTAGCTAGGATTACAGGTGTGCAGCACCACGCCCAGCTAATTTTTATATTTTTAGTGGAGATGGGGTTTTGTTATGTTGGCCAGGCTTGTCTCAAACTCCTGGCCTCAAGCAATCTGCCCCTCAGCCTCCCAAATTGCTGGGATTACAGATGTGAGCCACCGTGCTGGGTCTCAGACTGTCACATTTCAAGTAGTCAATAACCATACGTGGCTAGTGGCTACCATATTGGGCAGCATATATCTAAACTGCTCTAAACTGTTAGTACTCCTCACCATAGAGTCCTTCAGATTCAGCCCCTAACAATAAAAATGTGACTTTGCCTCCTGCTAACTAAGGTTCCCATGCACTCAACAAATGCATATTCTACTCAGAATTATCTGTGACATAGTAGGCTTTGATGGAAAGCCATGTAGAATGATCAACAAGCAGCACAAGATGGGAAGCTTCTGGAGTACAGGCACCCAGGCTCACGCTGCTGCTCTGCTCTCCACCCCTCCCCATTCCCCAAATCCCCCAACTCCACCTGCCCACCCAACCCCCACCTCTAGCCTGTAGTTGTGGCCTCCAAAGGATACACTTGATGCTTATTAGTGTCTTATTGTGTATTAAGCACCAAACTTACACCAAGTTCTGGAGATACAGGAGTGAACCCTGTAGCTATACAATGTCAGGTAGAGATAAATGCTATGAAGACAATTAAAACAGTGCTTCCTGTGTAATAATGAAGGAGGAGGGCATTTCTGTATTCCAGGACTTCTTGGAATTTCAGATTATGTTTATATTATTTTCTTTTTTTTTGTAGTTTTTGTTTATTCAATCAGTCTTTTAAACAAAAGTATATTGCTACATTTTCCCCAGCATATCATTGTTTTACTGTCCTTCTAGTACTAGAATTTAGTTGAAAGAATAAAACATTTACATCGAATCTGCTTGTCTTTTAATATTCAGATGGATAGTATGTGGCAAGAAGGGTAAGGGGGATAGCAAGTGACTGGAGCCAGGGAAGTGACTTCTGTATTGAGTGATCAGAGGCTGGGCATGGTGTCTCACACCTGCAATCACAACACTTTGGGAGGTCAAGGCAGGAGGATTCTTGAGCCCAGGACAAGACCAGCCTGGGCAACATGGCAAAAGCTGTCTCTACAAAAAAATTTTTTTAATTAGCCAGACATGATGGTGCATGCCTGTGGTCCCAGCTACTCAGGAGACTGAGGTGGGAGGATTGCTTGAGCCCAGGAGTTTGAGGCCACAGTGAGCCATATTTGCACCACTGCACTTCGGCCAGGGTGACAGAGCTAGACCTTGTCAATAAATACTTAAATAAATAAGAAAACAGTGATCAAACAGGCCTCATTGACAAGGCAACATTTGAGCAGAAATCTGAATGAAAAAGGGGCAAAGGGGTAAGGCATGCAGGTATCTGGGGAAAGAACTTACAGACATTAGTAATAGTTAGGCCAGACGCGGTGGCTCACACCTATAATCCCAGCACTTTGGGAGTCCGAGGTGGGTGGATCACTTGAGGTCAGGGTTGGAGACCAGCCTGGCCAACATAGAGAAACCCCATCTCTGCTAAAAAACAAAAAAATTAGCCAGGCACGGTGGCTCACACCTGTAATCCCAGCACTTTGGGAGGCCGAGGCAGGCGATCACGAGGTCGGGAGTTTGAGACCAGCCTGGACAACATGGTGAAATCCCATCTCAACTAAAAATATAAAAATTAGCCGGGCATGGTGTCGTGCGCCTATAATCCCAGCTACTTGGGAGGCTGAGGCAGAAGAATTGCTTGAACCCGGGAGGCGGAGGTTACAGTGAGCAGAGATCGTGCCACTGTGCTCCAGCCTGGGCAACAGAGCAAGACTCTGTCTCAAAAAAACAAACAAAAAAACACAAAAATTAGCTGGGCATGGTGGCTCATGCCTGTAATCCTAGCTGCTGTGGAGGCTGAGGCAGGAGTGTCGCTTGAATCCAGGATGTGGAGGTTGCAGGGAGCTGAGATTGAGCCACGGCACTCCAGCCTGGGCAACAGAGTGAGACTATCCCAAAAAAAAAAAAAAGAGGAATAGTTAAACGCTAATACCCTGAGGTTATAGTGGCTCGTTGGCCCACTTGGAGGCCATTGTAAAGTACAGTGAGAGGTAGGGAGATGTCAAAGGTTGACAATGAGATCAGAGGAAGCCAGATCTTGCAGAACCTTGAAAGCCATGGTGAAGACACAGGATTTATTCTAAATGTTATAGGTAGCTCTTGGAGGCTGAGGCAGGAGGATTGCTTGAAGCCAGAAGTTCGAGACCAGCCTAGGCAACAAAGTGAGACTCCAACTCTACAAAAAATTAAAAAAGAAATTTAGCTAGGCATGATGGCTCATGCCTATAGTCCCAACTACTTGGGAGGCTAAGGCAGGAGGATCGCCTGAGCCAGGGAGGTCAAGGCTGCAATGAACTGTGTTTGCACCACTGTGTTCCAGCCTGGGTGACAAAGCAAGACCCTTCCCCTCTCTCTCTCTCTCTCTCTCTCTCTCTCTCTCTCTCTCTCTCTATATATATATATATATATATATATATATATAATGCTAAGTGAAAAAAACCATCATGTCAGCTAAGTGAAAGAAACAGTCTTATTGTATGATTATATGTATAGAAGATAGACACAGCTGGGTGCGGTGGCTCATGCCTATAATCCCAGCACTTTGGGAGGCCGAGGTGGGTGGATCCCTTGAGCTTAGGAGTTCAAGACCAGCCTGGGCAACATGACAAAGCCCCATCTCTATAACAAACAAACAAACAAATAAATAAATAAAATGGCACCATATATTGTATGATTCTATTTATCTAAAATGTGCAGAACAGGCAAATTTATAGAGACAGAAGATAGATAAGTGGCTTCCTAGGGCTGGGGCTCAGGGTAGGAAGGATGGGTGAGTGAGAATGGAGAATGAGCAGTGACTGTTATTGGGTACAGGGTTTCTTTTAGGGGTATTGAAGTAGATTGTGGTGATGGTTGCTTGATTCTGTTAATAGATTAAAAGCCACTGAATTGCATGCTTTAAATGGGTAAGTTTTATAGTATGTGAAATATATCTCAGGAAAAGAAAGAAAGGAAGGAAGGGAAGGGAAGAGAGGGGGAAGGAGGGAGGGAGGGAGAGAGAGAAGAAAGGAAGGAAGGGAAGAAGGAAGGAAGAAAGAAGGGGAGGAGGGAGGGAGGGAGAGAGGGGCTGGGCACGGTGGCTCACACCTGTAATCTCAACACTTTGGGATGCTGAGGTGGGAAGATCACCTGAGGCCAGGAGTTGGATACCAGCCTGGGCAACATAATGAGACATCATCTCTACAAAAAATTTAAAAATTATCCAGGCATGGTAGCATGTGCCTGTAGTCTCAGCTACTCAGAAGGCTGAAGCCAGAGGATCATATGAGCCCAGGAGTTCAAGGCTGTAGTGAGCCGAGATTTCACCACTGCATCCCAGCCTGGGTGACACAGCAAGATCTTCTCTTTAAAAAAAAAAAAAAAGGCCGGGTGCAGTGGCTCATGCCTGTAATCCCAGCACTTTGGGAGGCTGAGGCGGCCAGCCTGACCAACATGGTGAAACCCCATCTCTACTAAAAATACAAAATTAGCTGAGCATGGTGGCATGCGCCTGTAATCCCAGCTACTCAGGAGGCTAAGGCAGGAGAATTGCTTGAACCCGGGAGGCGGAGGTTGCAGTGAGTCAAGATCATGCCACTGCACTCCAGCCTGGGCAGCAGAGCAAGACTCTATCCCCAAATAAAAAGAAAGATCATTGGCTGCTGGCTTAACCTTAGATCAAGAATCTGCAAACTACAGCCCATGGACGAAATTCAGCCACTACCTTTTTTGGAAAGCCCATGAGCTAAGAATGGGTTTTACATTTTTAGATGGTTGAAAAAAAATCAAAAATATTTTGTGCTATGTAAAAATCATATGAAATACAAATTTCAGGCCAGGCGTGGTGGCTCACGCCTGTAATCCTAACACTTTGGGAGGCCAAGGCGGGCAGATCACCTGAGGTCAGGAGTTCAAGACCAGCCTGGCCAACATGGTGAAACCCCATCTCTACTAAAATACAAAAATTAGCCGGGCATGATGACAAGTGCCTGTAATCCCAGCTACTCGGGGAGGCTGAGATGAGAGAATCGCTTGAACCTAGGAGACGGTGGTTGCAGTGAGCTGAGATCGCACCACTGCACTCCAGCCTGGGCGACTGAGGGAGACTCTGTCTCAAAAAAAAAAAAAAAATTCTAATTTCAGTGCCATTGATAAAGTTTTACTGGAACACAGCTATGCTCATTTGTTTATGTGTTGTCTATGGCTGCTCTCAAGCTGTAACACAGAGCTGAGTGGTTGAGTTGACAGAGACCATGTGGCTAGCAAAGCAAAGCCTAAAATATTTACTGTCAGGCCTTTTATAGAAAAAAACTTGCTGACCCCTGGCCTAGACTGCAGCAGAGCAAGGGAGGAAGTAGACAGACCAGTTAAGAGGCTCCTGCAGTATCCAGATGAAAGATAATGGTGGTTTGTTCTATGGTGGTAATAGTAGTGTTAGAGGTGTTCAAACTCTGAATATGTCTTGCTGGTAGAACTGACAGGGTTTGCTGATGAATTGAATGTAGGGTGAGAGAGAATGGACAACTCCTTTGTTTCTCTCCTGAGCAACCAGATGAATGGTGGATTTTGAGGGATGTGTACACAGGTTTAGGGAGGAAAATCAGGAGTTAGGATCTGAACATGTTGAGTTTGAGAGACAATGAAAGGGCAATAAAACCATCCAAGTGAAGGTAAACAGGAGGCGCGGGATGTACAGGTCTGGAATTCATGGAAACAGTTAGGCCTAGAGATAAAAATTTGGGAGTCATAAAAGCTGATATGTAAATCCATGAATCTGGATATTTTGGAATACTGTATATTGTTTATAGGGGAAATACAAAGTAGTCATTACAGGTCCACACATTAATATCACAGGGCCTCCTAGAACTTCCTGTGTAATTTGGGAAGGCCACCTTACCTAAATGTAAACTGATCTGAGCCCTTCACATCCATCAGCCTGGGTGGGAGTCACAGCTGCAGAGTGTGGAATTTCCCTTTAGGGTCATTCACCAGGGTTTAAGTTTCATGGCAAATTATCGATTCTTTTTTACTTCCCCCCTGAAGTCCACTGAGGACAATGTGTTGACAGGACATGCTACTTATGTTTCCTTTTTCACACCTTCTGGGGACTTCTCAGTTTGGAACTTTAAATTGTTCCACTTGTGAGCATTCTGCTACCAGCAAGCAACCCAAACACGCCTTCATTCCTTGTGCTCAAGGGAGCCAGGGAGTTTTTATGTTGATCACACAAATGACGTTTTTAAGAAAATAGACCAGTGGCAGTCTCACATTTCCCATTACTCATGATGTGAGATTATGACTGTGATCTTGGAAAGGAAGAGGATGACATAAACAGCAGATATTCATCCCAACTGTGTAGCTTGTCTGTGGTGTGGGTAAGTGGATGACTCAAATGCAAACCCCTTGACGTGGCATCAGGGCTCCTCACAGGCTGGCTCATCTGCTTGTGCTGGCTCATATCCCAACAAAGACACACACCTACATGCAGGCAAGGCCACATACACATGCACACACACACACACAGGCACACACACACACTTTGAAGTTCAGCCTTGCCCCAAGCACCCCACATGCTTTCTCTCTACACTTTTTCACTTGCCGTTTCCTCTTCTTGGATTTCTCCCCTTTTAAGATTTGGCCTTGGCTGGGGACGGTGGCTCGCGCCTGTAATCCCAACTCTGGGAGGCTGAGGCAGGTGGATCACTTGAGGTCAGGAGATTGAGACCAACTTGGCCAAGATAGTGAAACCCCATCTCTACTAAAACTACAAAAATTAGCCAGGCGTGGTGGCAGGCAACTGTAATCCCAGCTATTTAGGAGGCTGAGGCAGGAGAATCGCTTGAACCTGGGAGGCGGAGGTTGCAGTGAGACAAGGCCAAGATTGTGCCACTGCACTCTAGCTTGAACAACAGAGTGAGACTCCATCTCAAAAAAAAAAAGATTTGGCCTAAATGTGGCCCACTGGAAGACTATCCTGACATTTCCTGAGTTTTTGTCTCTCTGCTCTCATAACAGACTGAATTCCCCCATTCTAGCAGTGCTAATTCTGTTGTGATCATGTATTCTCATGTATTCATATGTCTTTCTCCCTCACTGGGCTGTACTCTTTTCATGTTTTCATGAAACAAACACCTAGCACCTCTCACAGTACCTGGCATTTGCACATGCTTAACAACATATCTGCTGAGAGAACACTCAGTGTTATGCTCAAGATGACTTCTGCAGAGTGAGGTGACTGGAGCCCACAGTGAAGGGGTAGGTTTTAAATGCCGAAAGCTGCGTCTTATTTGGCTTTGGGGGCTGACAGCAGCTGTTCTGCACATCCTTTTGTTCTACCAGCCTTGCTTTCCTTGAGCCTTAAAGCAGTGCTGGCCCTCCTTGTCTTTACAAGGCAGTCAAGGATTTGGAAGTTCCCCCAAGCTCCTTTACCATCACATTCTTTCCAACAGCCTACATCAGAGCATAAGGCATCTCTGAGAACTGCTGCTGCTTTGGAAAACCTCCGTTAAGTCCCAAAGTTCTGCCATCAGGGCGCATTTGTCAGCCATCTTTGGCAACCACACACATACATACACATACTTCCCCGTGCCATCAGTTTTATGTTGCTTCTGATTGACATATTTTTTCACCACTATCTAGGCCAAAAGCAACATCATTTATTCTTGTGCTAGAAATTAGCCATCTGAATTCATTTAAGGTCTGTATTTCCCTTAAGAAATCCTCTCTCCAATAACTTTTTCCAGGTCGTAACATGTGAAAAGTAAAATTCCTGGAAGTTGTATTCAGGCAGATGAAAGCGGACTTGAAGTCAGCCTGTAGAAGACCAGCCACACACTCTGTAGCAATTTCAGTCAGCAAAGCCAGAGGGCAGCTGGAAGCCCAGGCTCTCTGGAGTGTTCTTCATTCATTTAGCCATTCATTGAACAAAAAGGTATTGAGACCCCACAGGCCTTGTTTTAGGTGCTGCAAATACGGCAGAGGACAAAACAGCCAAGGTCCTGAGGTCTTGGGGAGGTTATATCTATTAGGGGAAACTGGCAGATCAAAAATAAGTAAGTGAGGGGCTGGGGAATGGTTTCTGTGATTTCTTATAGCACCCGAATGGCTTTCCGTGAGTAGAGGACTTGTATTTCTAGAAGTCAGAGCAAGTATTGGTTGACAGAGTTCGGGAAACAGCCTTGTTGAGGCTCCTGAGCCTAGGTCAAGGCCGATGCCTGGGCCTGGCCTGCAGCATGACCTGACTGGCAAGGATGGCAATCTTTGTGGACTTGCTTTAGTTTTTCTCTTTTTTAAGATTTCTTGGGCATACCTTTCTTGGGGAAAATGGTGCTGCTAACACTTTACATGCTTGGAAATAGCAGGAAATGGAGATTTCATTTCTGCAAAATAGATCATTCTCTCCTCAACTAGCACATCTCCTCTCAAACTAGCTAGACTGTCACTACTGACCCATTCCAGAGGACACATCCAGTACCAAACACCTCCAAATAGGAGTGTTGTCCTGGGCAGGGATTTCTCTCCCCTTCTCCCCACCACAGGCCTTCTCCCACGTGGCCAATTTAGAGTTGTTCAAAGGCACTATTATTTTCTCCACTAAGACAGAATCTTGGGGGTTGAATCTGTAGGTGAAGTAAGTGGCAGATTCAAGCTCCTGTGATGCAGTCCACTGAGCATGGGCTTGGAGTGCTACGCTGCCCTAGCTGACTTTCCCTAGTTTCACTCTTTTCTTGCTACTTTGCCTACTGTCTTTCTGTCCATCACAAATCAGACCCAAGCTAAACCCTTTCTTCTTGCCATCCTCTCTCCCTCTCCTTCATCCCTGTCCCTCTCCCCGTTAGGTCTTCCCTCTGGCCTCCAGATCCCAACGTGGAATCCCTGTCTTCATTGTCCTCTGAACTCCATAGGCTCTGCCCATTGTAATCTTGTGCTGGTTTTTCCTGTGGTTTTGGATACTCAATGTCTTTCCATCTTTCTCAGTTTTATGAGTGCAGTCTACTTCTCTGTTCGCTTCTTTGGAGATCTCCCATGTTTCTTTTTGCTTTTCTTTGCAGAGAATCAGCCCTCCAGCCCTTCCTTTTCTTTCTTTCTTTCTTTTTTCTTTTTTTTTTTTTTTTGAGCTGAAGTCTCGCTCTGTCTCCTAGGCTTGAGTGCAGTGGCATGATCTCGGCTTACTGAAACCTCTGCCTCCTGGGTTCAAATGATTGCCTCAGCCTCCAGAGTAGCTGGGACTACAGGCATGCACCACCAAGCCCGGCTAATTTTTTGTATATTTAGTAGAGTTGGGGTTTTGCCATGTTGGCCAGGCTCGTCTCAAACTCCTGACCTCAAGTGATCGGCCCAGCTCGGCCTCCCAAAGTGCTGGGATTACAGGTGTGAGCCACCGCACCTGGCTAGCCCTCCATTTTCATGCATTCTTTCATATGCATGCTAGGTTCTAGAACACAAAATGGGGATGCATCAAACCAGCCTCTCCCCAGGAAGCTTGGTATAGGGGGAAGAACTGGCCTGAAACTGAGCCAGAGGCCTGCAGAGAGAAGTGAAAGTGTTGAGTGTCTGTGGGAACAAAGTGGGGGGATGACCCATTCTGGCTCAGAGAGGCTCCAGGCTCTTCAGGAAGAGAATGGGGAGGAGTATTCTGGGCAGATGGAACAGCGTACACAAAGCTGGGGAGGTGTCAAAGAACGTGATGTGTTTTTGGAGTTTTGTGGAGTTTAGTGTCACTGATGATGGGGTGTAAACATAAAGAATGATGGGAAATGAGGCTGGAAAGGTAATTTAGGCTGGGCGCAGTGGCTCATGCCTGTAATCCCAACACTTTGGGAGGCCGAGGTGGGAGGATCATTTAAGCTAAGGAGTTTGAGACCAGCCTGGGCCACATAGCAAGACCTCATCTCTACAAAAAATCAAAAAGTTAATGGGGTGTTGCGGCGCACAGCTGTGGTCCAGCTACTTGGGAGGTTGAGGCAGGAGGATTGTTTAAGCCCAAGAGGTCAAGGCTGCAATGAGCCATGATGATTGTACGACTGCACTCCAGCTTGGGCGACACAGCAAGGCACTAAAAAAAAAAAAAAAGAAAAGAAAGAAGGAAGGAAGGAGGGAGGATGGGAGGGAGGGAGGAAGGAAGGAAGGAAGAAATTTAGGATATGACCTCCAAAAGGAAGGAAATTAACATACTATTTCATTTAATCTTTACAACAGCTTCCAGATTTTACTGCCTCCACTTTGCCAGTGAGGAACCTGAGGCTTGGAGAAGTTACATGACAAGTGGAAGGCAGCAGAGGCTGGGAAAAGTAGGGGGAGGGAAGGAGATGAAGAGAATTTGGATAATGGGTACAAAATTACAGTCAGATAAAAGGAATAAGTTCTTGTATTTGGTAGTACGCTAGGAATACTATAGTTAATAATAATATATTGTGTATTTCAAACTAGCTAGAAGAAAATCATTGGAATGTTTCCATCACAAAGAAAAGATAAATGTTTGAGGTGATGGGTCTGGCCCAGTGGTTCATGCCTATAATCCCAGGAGGCCAATATGGGAGGATCGCTTGAGCCCAGGAGTTCAAGACCAGCCTGGGCAACATGGCAAAGCCCTGTCTTTACAAAAAACTTAAAACTTAGCTGGCTGTCGGCCAGGCGTGGTGGCTCATGCCTGCAATCCCAGTACTTTGGGAGGCTGAAGCAGGCCGATCACTTGAGTCCAGGAGTTTGAGACCAGCCAGGGCAATGTGGCGAAACCCCACCTCTACTAAAAATACAAAAAAATTAGCCAGGTGTGGTGGTGCACGCCTGTGGTCCCAGCTGTTTGGGAGGCTGAGGTGGGAGGATCACCTGAGCCTGGGAGGCGGAGGTTGCAGTAAGTCAAGATTGGGCCACTGCCCTCCAGCCTGGGCAACAGAGTGAGACCTTGTCTCAAAAAAAAAAAAAAAATTAGCAGGGTGTTGTGATGTGCACCTGTGGTCCCAGCTACTCAGGAGGGTGAGGTGGGAGGATCAGTTGAGCCCAGTAGGTCAAGGCTGCAGTGAGCTGTGATCATGCCACTGCACTCCAGCCTAGGTGATAGAGTGTGACTCTGTCTCAAAAAAAAAAAATGACGTGATGGATATCTTCATTACCCTAAATTAATCATTATACATTGTATCCATGTATTGAAATATCACATGTACCCCAAAAATATGAACAACTATTACATATCAATAAAAAGAAAACAGTTGCTAAGGGCTTGGGCTCCAGAGTCCTGGGTTTCATTCCTAGTATCTCCACTTACTTGGTGCACTTAGTCCCCTACCTCTTCCTGGACCTAGCTTCCCATGTGCTCAAAGGGAGTGATGATACCAGAGCCTACTTTGTTGTCAGGGGAAGATTGGAAGGATTCAGTTTAAAAGTCCATGGGTAATAAATGTTAGCTTTTAAGTGACAGAGTCAGAATTTACCCCAGATATGCTGAGTTCAAAGCCCTTGTTCTTTTCGTGTATACCCTACTCCCTCCATTGATTGTGAAGGACCCTATGTGCAATGCAAAGGAGAGTCTGGATTTATCCCATAGCAACAGGAAGCACTAAAGTTTTTTAAGATGAGGAGTGATTTGGACTCACCTCATATGTTTGCAAGATCACTGTGTGGAGAGGACCTGGGGGCTAGGGGACCAGGACTAGGGGAAAGGAAAGGAGAGAAAATGGAGAGGCAGGACGGGCACGGTGGCTCACGCCTATAATCCCAGCACCAGCCGAGGCTGGTGGATCATTTGAGGCCAGGAGTTTGAGACCAGCCTGGCCAACATGGTGAAACCCCATCTCTACTAGAAATCCAAAAATTAGCCAGGCATGGTGGTGGGCACCTGTAATCCCAGGTACTCGGGAGGCTAAGGCAGGAGAATCACTTGAACCCAGGAGGCGGAGGTTGCAGTGAGCCGAGATTGCACCACTGCACTCCAGCCTGGGTGACAGAGCGAGACTCTAATGTTCCCTTCTAATGCTGTGGAAAGAAATCCCAGGGTTCCTGGAGGTCCAGAAACTTCATAATTGACACTGGCTCTAATCTCAGTATACGTAAATTGTGGTCTTTCATATCTTTCTTCTCTCCCAAGCTGAGAGCTTCTTGAGGGCAGGCACAGTGTCTGACTGTGGCCCTGGTGATGCACAATGAGTATTTCTCAAATGAATGACAGACTGTCTTCCAGCGTTCCACGCACACACTGTCTCCCCCATTGTTCACTGCCACAGGAAAGCACTCCCCACGATCCCACCATTGCCCAGTGCTTTTGCAAACCCTCCAGCCATCCAGAGTGGGAAAGATTCTCCCACTCTGGCCCGCCTTCTTTTGCATTGACCTTAAGTGATTATGCGGGCACAGTTTATAGCTTGGCCACCAGAGGACTAGTCTCAATGCTCAGGATTTTTGAGAGCAACGTCACAAGGGCTTCATTGACATAGCAGCATTTAGAGGCAGATTATTTGTTAGTTTCAGACTAAATCTGGGGCACCTGTCCATTTTGAGGATCTGGTGCCTTTAAAGTACCACTTGCCCTGCTATATCCGGAAATTTATTGGGAAAATACTATGTATCTTCTTCTAGCGTAAAGACAGAAAAAAAAAGGGAGGGGGTGCTGATGTTATGATAATCTGCCCCCTGCAGGACTTTTGAGGGAGAATGGGTCCCTGGGTAAGGGCGGCACGAAGACCGCCCTGGGCTTCAGGCTTGCCTAGTTGGGGTGCTCCACTCCAGCCTCAGCCCACCTCTGGTCGCCTGATCCTTCAAGCTGACAAGCTCTGGACTTGGAAGACTGCTTGGGCGGGCCACAAAGCCTTTGACCTCAGCTGCCTCATCAGTAAGACACTCACCAACCACATCTGTCTCACAGAATCATGTCATGGTAAATGAGAAAAAGTGTGTTAAAGTGTGTTGAAAAATGTGGAGTCCTGTGGCAATATAAGACATGTTTATTATACCTCAATCTCACCACTTAGATCACTACCCAGGGTTAGGATGAACACAAACAATAGCAAATCACAATTATAACAGGTTGAAAGTGATTTTGAGCACTTGAAGGAAAATGATAGCAGAAAATAACAAGTTTTTAATGATTAAATAGAAATTACTCTTTAGATTGTGCAAGATAAATTACTATTACTCAACATAAAATTATAACAAAACTTGTTTCAAAAATCAGAAGAGAAATAATCATTGGGACTTTGAATATCAGCATGTCACCCTATAGCCCTACATTTTTACATTTTTTGTGTGACTGCCTAATTTATTTCAAAACACTTAAAGTAAGTCGCTGGGCGCGGTGGTTCATGCCCGTAATCTCAACCCTTTGGGAGGCCGAGGCGGATGGATCACCTGAGGTCAGGAGTTCAAGACCAGCCTGGCCAACATGGTGAAACTCTGTCTCTACTAAAAATACAAAAAAAAATTAGCCAGGCGTGGTGGCAGGTGCCTGTAATCCCAGCTACTCGAGAGGCTGAGGCAGGAGAATCGCTTGAACCCAGGAGGTGGAGGTTGCAGTGAGCTGAGATCGCACCACTGCACTCCAGCCTGGGCAACAAAACGAGACTCTGTCTCAAAAAAAAAAAAAAGTAAGTCACATACTGTTTTTCCTGATCTTCACACTAGAATTGGTACATAGTTACTTGGTTTAGATTCTCAAGATAGTACTCTTCATTATCTAACAGACTCTAGATAACCTGAAGGAAGGGAAACACCATCTACGCGTACGGCCTGCAGACCTACCTGTTGCTGAGAGAGCATCTCTGAACTACTGGCGTACATGGAAGTGTATTAGCAAACCCTCAGAATTTCCAATTAAAAGCCCAGCCTTTACAGGTGAATTGGGATAGGCTGTCCCTCCCTAAAGCCCACACCAACTTTCCCTCTCCTCACCCTAACAGAAGTGGCTTCCATCCAGAGAGCAGAGAGTGCCTGATTTCTGAGGCAGTCTCTGTCATCTCCTTTGATCTTCTGCCCTGCCACAGGCCCTCTCCATGGCTGCTTGCCTGCTGGAACCAACATTCTCCTCCACACTCACTCCTCTGCATTCTGGCTTCATGTGGGCAAGGCGAGGTTTCATTCCACTCCCTCCTATTCATCAGGGAATGCCACCATTCTTTTGAGTTTCCTCCAACCACCACACACAGAATGTCCCTAAATAATCACTGTCTGATGGGTGCCTGGCAGCATAGTTCAGCCTATCTGAGACATGAGTACAAAGCATTTATGATTATTGATGGATTTTAGCTTCCAGGAGTGTCAAAAGCATCTATTTTGTCTGTGGATCACTGTGTTTGGTTTGATCAATTAGAATCAAATGGGTAAATGAATTTAATGACTTTGGATACATAAGTCAAAATGTCACATGTCCCACTGCCCTTCACTGTTTATAGAAAAAATATAGATTTCCAGCTGGGCACGGTGGCTCATGCCTGTAATCCCAGCATTTTGGGAGGCTGAGGCAGATGGATCACGTGAGGTCAGGAGTTCGAGACCAGCCTGACAACATGGTGAAACCCCGTCTCTACTGAAAACACAAAAATTAGCTGGGTGTGGTGGCACGTGCCTGTAGTCCCAGCTACTTGGGAGGCTGAGGCAGGAGAACCAGTTGAATCTGAGAGACAGAGGTTGCAGTGAGCCAAGATGGCACCACTGAATTCCAGCCTGGGCAACAGAGTGAGACTCCATCTCAAAAAAGAAAAGAAAAAAAAATAGACTTCCATGCCCCACTCCCTACCACACTCCTTAGGGCTACAACTGAAAAGATAAAGAAGGAAGATGTGTCTGGCAAGTGGCAAGGACCATATCCTGGGGGGTCTCTCTAGCATCCTCTGGGGCCCCTGGGTCAGTGAAAGCCCTGCTGGAATCAGATCCCTGGCTTCTGAGAGGTGGCAACACTGCCTGCATGTTCTCTTCCAGGCCTACATGATAAGGCACCTCTGGGGCTCATGGACACACCCCTGTTAGACACAGAAGAGGAGGTGCACTACTGCTTCCTGCCCCTAGACCTGGTGGCCAAATATCCCAGCCTAGTGACTGAAGACAACCTGCTGTGGCTGGCTGAGACGGTGGCCCTCATCGAGTGCGAGTGCAGCGAGTTCCGCTTCATTGGTGATTGCTCTGTCCGGGGTGGGGTGGGGGGCGGGCTGATAGGGCCCATTCACCCCTCCCCATCACATGTCCCACAGAGGCCCAGCTTGGTGCTCAGGGCCTCAGGAGCTTCCCTGGGCAGAGGTAGCGGAAGCATGACAGAGCCTTCCAGGAAGCAAGCAGATTCCAGCATTAGAATCTCACTAGACTCAGGGCTGTTTTATTCCCTATTTGTTTTGGGATGGCCTGGCTGTAAAAGTGTCAGGCACTGGAAAGTGCTAGGGACCACAGGAGTTGGTGTGAAGGGCAGGGAGCTCAGCTGGTTGCCAGTCGGCTTCTCTTCTTACTCTGCCCTTATGTATCCAGCTGGTCTTCCGGCCTCAGTTCCTCTCACCATAAAATGAGGAATCCAGATTGTTTCAAAGGATGGTGCTACCTGCTCTTAATGTCAGCAAACTCAGAATAAAAGGGAAGGAGGGTGGATGGTGACAGGTTCCCCCAGAGTCATAGCAGAATTGTCCACTTGAGGTAGTGGCCTAAGGAAGGATGAGATTTTCCACCTTTGACAGAGAGAGCCTCTCTCCCCCTACTGCCCCAGGATGAGCTCTGTTTGGGATGTGAACTGAATGATCTCTTTGACCCCAAGATGCTACTGCTGTCTAGATAGATAGGGCAGTAAACACTCAAGTTACACTAGGAGCCCAAATGTCTGGAACCCCAGTCATTCATATTCATAGTCACCTAGAAAGTTGTCTGTGATGTGCTTCTGTATCTCTAAGTTGATTCACACAGGACATTAGCGTTGGCTCCATCTCTGCCTCCCATACTGCAGTCCAGGCAGGGACAAACTGCAAGTGCCACCCGCCAGCCCAGGCTCGGCCGGGCCCCTCCTCTCTAAGCAGCAAGACAACTCCCTCTTTTGGAATGACCTGCTCTTGGGTCAAAACTCACAGGGTAAGTCTCAGGGCCAGTGTGCCCACCAGGAGGGCCTGGCTTGGGAGCCCCAGGCCAAGCCACGGGAGGCCACACCCACGGCCTCAGACACAGGAAAACAAAGTAATGTGGGGTCTTTCGCCTTGAAAACCACACACTCAAAGCTAATCTAATAAGGTATGTTGATAAGTTGTTTCAGAACAAGGAGAACCTAGGATAAGTTACAGCACCAGAAACCTGCCAAAACCAGGACCTACAGCTAAACCAGAAATAGCCTCATTAACTCACTGTGTTCCCCTTTGTTTTTCAAGTGAATTTTCTTCGCTCACAGAAGATTTTACTACCGGATAATTTCTCCAACATTGATGTATTAGAAGCAGAAGTGGAAATTCTGGAAATCCCTGCACTCACTGAAGCCGTAAGGTGGTACCGGATGAACATGGGTATGTCGCCAGGAAACCTTGGCTCCCCCTCGACAGTCTTGGCTTGACCTGGAAAAGCCAAGAACAATCTTCCCTCCCACAATCACTTCGGGCTTTGGGGGTTAGTGAGAGGATTGGGTTTTCTGGCTGACTCTGAATCCAAGAAGAGGATTCACAGCCTGAAACCCTGTGTGCTGCCCTGCCGGCTCAGCCTTCCCACTGAGGGTGGGGAGTGGGCAACCAGCCAGGGGTGTAGAAAGCCCAGCCCAGCCTGGATCAGGAGGAGCCCAGCCTGGGTGGGGAGCCAGGCTGGAATGTCCTGGGCCTGAAGGCAGGCTTCTCAGGGGCAGGGGAGGTCTGCCCTGCTTGTGAAAGTGGTGGGGACTAAGAGCACCCACCAGCCACTCCCATCCTTCCTCTTCCAGGCACGGTTGGAGGTGTGGGAAATGCTCAGTGCTTCATGCATCTCATCCACCCCCAAATTCCCTCGTCACCTCACGTGGAAACCCCCGGCTGCTGTGCCTGTTTCTGCCTATTCCTGACGCTTGCTGACCCCTGTCCAGCCTAGGCCTTCGTGCTCCCAGCCCTACCTCATTCCAGCTTGTTCTTCCCCTCATGGTTTCCTCAGGGCTGTTCATCATTCCATTTCCCAACTCCACCTCCATGGAAGCTACTGTGCATGTTATAGGGCGCAAGCTACCTGAGCATGGCTTCAGCCACCATCCCGAGAATGTGTAGAACTGCATTGCACATGGGAAGTTTGGCCTGGACATCACCAGACATTTATCCCATGGCAATCAGGCCTTTCCTTATCTTCAGGCATAGATTTCCCAGCCTTCTCCCAGACAAATAGAAACCCATCCTCTTGGCCAGGCGCTGGTGGCTGATGCCTGTAATCTCAGCATTTTGAGAGGCCAACGCAAGTGGCTCACTTGAGGTCAGGAGTTCGAGACCAGCCTGGCCAACATGGTGAAACCCCATCTCTACTAAAATACAAAAATTAGCCGGGCATGGTGGCACGCACCTGTAATCCCACTACTTGGGAAGCTGAGGCAGGAGAATCGCTTGAACCCAGGAGGTGGAGGCTGCAGTGAGCCGAGATCATGCCACTGCACTCAAGCCTGGGCAACAGAGTGAGACTCCTTCTCAAAAAAGAAACCCATCCTCTTTGTGGGGAGTGGCATGCTCCAGCAGGTCTCAGGACCCTGTCCCAGGGCCTTATAATCCGCTTAAGATGGTGTGAGTTCAGCCCCTTCCCTCAAAGCCTTCTACTCCTCAGAGAACATAGATCATTGTGAGATGGTAGCGTAGTCCCTGCTCCACAGAGCAATGCAAAGATGGAGGAAGTGTGTTGACAGCCAGGCTCTGGGAGCTGGCAGCACTCCTCAAACACAAAGGGTGGCTTTAGCTTTCTACAAAGCATCACAATAAGGGAAACAGCTGTGGTAACCTTGGAGCTGGACAGAGCTGACCTCAAATCCTAGCCCTGCCCCTGCCTAGCTTTGCAGTTTAGGGCAAGATACTTCATTAGCCTCTCAGGGCAGGTTCTTCAACGTGAAATGATGATAGCACTATCCCCTCTTGCAGGGTTGCTCTGAGGATTGGAGATGATCCACGAACATCCCCCAGCAGTGTGCCCACTGGCACATTGTTGCCACGGGAGCAGGGTCCTGAAGGCTGTGATAACTGTATTCTCTGGACTGTACCCTAGGCCCACTATAGGAGAAAAAGGTCCCATCCATAAACCAGCAACCCAAATACCCACCCTGAAAATAATGCCACACAGTATGTCTCTGGGGGAAATTCTGCCCAGGAGAGCCAGCAACAGGGGCTGTGAATCCAGGAAGCCTGTAACACACATTGAGTTTCCAGGCCATGGTTGCCGTTCTTTACCTTTGGATGGTTACAGAAGAGCTTGGAACTAATGAAGACTCCTGCAGAGGCTAGGGCCAGATGGCTGCTTTCCTGAAACTTAGGAAATTCAGATGCTAGTGATACAGCAAATGAATCCCCCCACTCCCAACTCACCTCCCAACAAATAGTTATGACTTCTAAGCCTGAGTATACAAAAAAATTATACTAATTTTGAGAAGATCTTGATTTGGACTGTGCAAAGAAATATCCTTCCTCTGAGCCTCCTCGGTACAATGGAGGCAGCAGTAGGAACCGAGCCCCAAAGCCTCCAATCCAGCTATGACCATGGGGGGCCTAGGAGTCACCCCTTTCTCTCTGACACAGGTGGCTGTTCCCCGACCACCTGTTCTCCCCTGAGCCCCGGGAAGGGGGCCCGCACAGCCAGCCTGGAGTCCGTGAAACCGCTCTACACAATGGCCCTGGGTCTGCTGGTCAAGTACCCGGACTCTGCGCTGGGCCAGCTTCGCATCGAGAGCACGCTAGACGGAAGCCGACTGTACATCACAGGGAATGGCGTCCTCTTTCAGCACGTCAAGTGAGGTCCTCCTTAGGGCACACTGAGTCCCATCACCCTTGGCTCTGCCCTTCCCTCTAGGAATAACCTGGGGCCTTTCCCACTAGCCAGAGGTGAAGTGTGTCCTTGGGGCCAGCCCATCATTTTAGCCATTACCATCACCAGCACCGCCACACTACCACCAGGTTAGGGCCTCAAAGGAGAGGGCTAGTGCCAAGGTACAAGGGTTGCCAAGGTTCAAAGGCTTCAGACCATTTCCTATTTCTGTCCTCTGCAGTCCATTTCCCTGGTTCTAGCCCTGTGCTAGGTCTGAGGTGACCAGGCCACAGTCAGGGAGCTGGGTACCTCCCTGTGCAGACCCCTCTACAAAGGTCCTCCGCCACTCTTGGGAGGCTCACTGGACACACAGAATGGCCAGAGCCAGGGGTGAGCCCCCTTAGAAGCAGGGCAGGGCAGGCCAGGCCAGGCCAGGCTTCCCAGAGGTGCTGATCCTCAGCCTTTGCCTTATGGGATGAGCTCAGGATGTCCTCATTAGTGCAGGGGCAAGGAATCCAACCCTGTTTTGTAGATGGGCAAACTGAGGTGCAGAACAGCAGAGCAACTCTCTGAGGGTCACAAAACAGACTGGCACCAAAATGGAAGGTAGAAGTGGGTTTTCTGGAGCCCCTGGGAGAGGGTCAGCTGACCCTGAATGCTGTCTTTTCCCAATATTGTTGTTTTGGGCTCTTTTAGCCCATAAAGTCCATATCTTTCAGAGATGTCCACCCTGATGTCACAGAGGGCAAAGACAAGTGCCTTGGAAGGGAGGGTTTGGAGAAGGGGGTTGATGTTTAGACCCCAGCCTTTTTCCAAGACCGTGGCAGGCTGCAACACAGTGACTGAGATGTCTTGGGCAGATGCGTATGAGGCAAGAAGGGAGCGACTGGGCCCTGGGCTGGCCCTGGAACCGGAAACACGGCCTGGAGACATGAAATTAGTCCATTTAGAGGGCTTTGCTGAAATAAGTCAAGCTCAGCTCCAAAAATGTGACCGGTTGTCCAGGCTTACTCTCCTACAAGGTTAAACAGATTTCCAGTTAAAACAAGGAAACGGGCTGGGCGCGGTGGCTCACACCTGTAATCCCAGCACTTTGGGAGGCCAAGGCAAGCAGATCATGAGGTCAAGAGATTGAGACCATCCTGGCCTACATGGTGAAACCCCGTCTCTACTAAAAATACAAAAAATTAGCCGGGCATGGTGGCGGGTGCCTGTAGTCCCAGCTACTCAGGAGGCTGAGGTAGGAGAATGGCATGAACCCTGGAGGCGGAGCTTGCAGTGAGCCGAGATCGCGCCACTGCACTCCAGCCTGGGTGACAGAGTTAGACTCCGTCTCAAAAAAAGAAAAAAAAAAAAAAAGAAACCCCGTCTCTACTAAAAATACAAAAAATTAGCCAGGCGTGGTGGCGGGTGCCTGTAGTTCCAGCTACTTGGGAGGCTGAGGCAGGAGAATTGCTTGAACCTGGGAGGCAAAGGTTGCAGTGAGCCAAGATTGCGTCACTGCACTTCAGCCTGGCGACAGAGTGAGACTCCATCTAAAAAAAAAATACAAGGAAACGATGTTAATGATGCCTGATTTAAGCCAGTGTTGCGGCAAGGCATCCTAGGCATGGAAAGTTTACAGGCTCGACTCTCTTGGGGTACAATGCTGATGTTCTTCATGACAGACCTTTCCTCTGGGCAGGAACTGGCTGGGGACTTGCCGGCTGCCCCTGACAGAGACCATTTCCGAGGTATATGAGCTCTGTGCCTTCCTAGACAAAAGGGACATCACCTACGAGCCAATCAAAGTTGCTTTGAAGACTCATCTGGAGCCAAGGACTTTGGCACCCATGGATGTGCTCAGTAAGTGAGAAAGCTTCTAGGTTTGAATTTAGCATCAGGGGAGTATCTGGGAGATTGGAGGGAATAGATGATGTGGCCAGGACGAGGAACTGTAGATGGAGGAGGAGGGGAAAGCCAGGCCAATATTTTGGATTTTTACAAAAGGGAAACTTTCATATTAAGTGCTCCCTCCTCACCTCCAAGCCCACAATTCGTCTCCAGCAGCAGACAGGGCTGTTACCCAGTCTGGGGCCACGCAGGACCCCCAGGGCAGGCCTGCCTTGACCCTGGGAGCTGACTTGCTGTGCTTCTCACAGCCATGCAGGGAGGAGCCTCCTCTGTTAAACAGAGCTGTCCCTGGGTCCATTTAACAGCCAAAAAATAGGTTCAGAGAAGAAAACTCACTCAAGTTACACAGTGGTCAAGCTGGGGTTTGACTGAGTCCAAAGCTAATGTTGTTTTCACCAGCTGCCTATAACTTCTTATTACCAAAAATTTGGGGGACAAAGTTTAAGCTGTATTACTATCATTTAGCAGCATCCAACATTTATTGAGTACCGGTCATATACCAGGACAGCAGTAGACACTGGCGGCACAGAAGTAAGCAACACAGACTTAGTCCCTTTCTTCCTGGAGTTCACGGTCTAGTTCTATACATCTTATCTCTTGGTTATATAATCTAGTTATATACCCTTCATTCATTACAGAGCTCATTAGAAACTGCTTCCCAAACATCAGAACAAGGCCTACATATAGTCATCTCCAGGAAAAGGGTTATGGGTTCATCTTTCCAGCATACAGCCCCCATTCTCCAGACATGCCTAGAGGCTTAGTCTCATAAAAGTGACAGGGATTTGATGAGAGTTGGCTCCATGACATTTGCCAAACCACGAACATAAACACACAGAGAGAGATTCCTAGCTTCAGTCTGAGTGGCCACATGAAAAGCTACACACTCAGGACACACCCAACCAGAAACCGGAGGCAGCTGGCATTGTAGGTGGACAGGGTCATCAACCCAGCTTTCCTGAGGGAGGAGGGTCAGGTGAAGAGGGGCAGTGCCCTTTCCCGCCTCACCACCCAGGAAACCTTGCAGCAAGCAAGGTTTATGTCAGGGATTTCTGCTGCTTCTCAGACTAGGCAACACAATATGACTGAGGAAAGATATTGAGACTTAACGTGAAATACACTACTAACCAAAGGGCCCTACCTGCTTTCCCTTCTGGCCATATGATGATGTGTTCTATCTCCTGGATTCCCATAGATGAGTGGACGGCAGAGATCACTGTGTATTCCCCACAACAGATCATCAAAGTGTATGTTGGAAGCCACTGGTACGCAACCACCCTGCAGACACTGCTGAAGGTACTGACGGCCTCGGCTGCCCTGCTCCCCATCTGGCATCACCACCTGAGCTGCTCTGGGGGCCATCACCTGGCCCTCACACAGCTTCCAGCACTTGCTTAGAACAAAGGCTTTCCCGCCAGGCACGGTGGCTCATGCCTGTAATCCCAGCACTTTGGGAGGCTGAGGTGGGCAGATCACGAGATCAGGAGTTCAAGACCAGCCTGACCAACATGGTGAAACCCCGTCTGTACTAAAAATACAAAAATTAGCTGGGTGTGATGGCACGTGCCTGTAATCCCAGATACTTGGGAGGCTGAAGCACCAGAATTGTTTGAACCCAGGAGATAGAAGTTGCAGTGAGCTGAGATCGCGCCACTGCACTCCAACCTGGGTGACGGAGTGTGACTCTGCCTCAAAAAACAAAACAAAACAGAGCACAAGTGGACCGAGTGGCCTGCTGGGAAGGCCCTCCAGAGTTTGCATAGGGAGGGGGCCAGCTCTGAGGGACCTGGACTGAGAAGGAGGTACGGTGGGCTTCCAAATGCCTTGAGAGGGTGGTCTAGGGGCCATCAAAAGTTGAAGCAGGGATGATGTGCTTCTCCCTGGAAGCTCTGCTCCCCACCATGGTTCCTTGTGACTGACAAGACAGGGAAATGGAATCTCAAAGCCTCTGCTCTAGTGTAGTTGGAAAAGGGGAGTGAGAGAAGATTGACCTGCCCCTTCGCAAAGACCTAGCCTCTGAGACTGAGTCCGGTGTCCAACCCCCTCCAGTATCCAGAACTGCTGTCCAACCCTCAGAGAGTGTACTGGATCACATATGGACAAACCCTGCTCATCCACGGGGATGGCCAGATGTTCCGACACATTCTCAACTTCCTGAGACTTGGCAAACTGTTTTTACCATCTGAATTTAAGTAAGTGAAGCAAGGACGCAGTAAGATGAAATCACGAAGGCTGACCCCTCCCTTAGCAACAAAGGAGACCTGAGTTGCAGCCTTCAGGGAGGAGGTTATTTTATTTCCATCGTGGGAACTGTTGGCAGCGGCAGTTCCAGGAGCTCATGCTCCCTCCCACACCCTCATCCTAGCTGCCCAGCTGGATATCTCCTTGTTGTTTGCAGGGAATGGCCCCTCTTCTGCCAGGAGGTGGAGGAATACCACATTCCATCCCTCTCAGAAGCCCTTGCACAATGTGAAGCATACAAGTAAGAAAACTTTATCACGACTCTATGTTTAGAATTTGGTCCTTTAAATTCCTCTTGAAATCCTGTCCTAAGTCCTACTCCTAGAGGATCCTGATCTCCTTGGGGTTGAGGGAGTGAAGCAGGCCCAGGATTGGCCAGTGACCTAGGCAAAACCCTTTAAGAGCCCCTTCTTCCCTGCTGTCTAGCATTAACTCCCAGCCAAAGAGCAGATCTGACCAACTGGCCAATGGCCTGATGGAAGTCTCTACTCACTAACCAACCCCTCTTGGTTTCTGCAGGTCATGGACTCAGGAGAAAGAATCTGAAAATGAAGAAGCTTTTTCCATCAGGAGGCTGCATGTGGTGACAGAAGGGCCAGGGTCACTGGTGGAGTTCAGTAGAGACACTAAAGAAGTAAGCACCAGCCTCCTCTGGTTGGTGTTATCCTCAAAAACCACTACCACCGGGCTCAGGGTGGATGGGGGTAGGTTCAGCTACTGGTGGGTGCAGCAAAATGAAAGAGCAGAGCCTACATGGGTTCCTAGGACAGGACCTGGCTTCTGAACCGTGAAGGAGGCACAGGAACTTACTGGCCACTTGTGGCCTGCGATGCTGATTGTATCTCCTGTTGGAATGACAGGCCACTGGGCTGGCACCATCCCCACTCAGCCTGAGCAAAGCTCAAATGGGTGACCCCTGTCAGGGATGGGATTGTTCAGGGAGAGCAAGTGAAGTCTTGGAGGCCCAGCTTATTAGATCTTGGGCAAGGCGTTGATGTCCATGCCCAACCTATCCAGAGTTACTGTGCCCTTCCCTCCCCAGACCACAGCCTACATGCCTGTGGACTTCGAAGACTGCAGTGACAGGACTCCATGGAACAAGGCTAAGGGAAACCTGGTCAGGTCCAACCAGATGGATGAGGCTGAGCAGTACACTCGGCCCATCCAGGTGTCCCTATGCCGAAATGCCAAGAGGGCTGGCAACCCTAGCACATACTCACACTGCCGTGGCTTGTGTACCAATCCTGGACACTGGGGGAGCCACCCTGAGAGCCCCCCAAAGAAGAAATGCACCACAATCAACCTCACACAGAAATCTGAAACCAAAGACCCTCCCGCCACTCCCATGCAAAAACTCATCTCCCTGGTGAGAGAATGGGACATGGTCAATTGCAAACAGTGGGAATTCCAGCCACTGACAGCCACACGGAGCAGCCCCTTGGAGGAGGCCACCCTGCAGCTCCCCTTGGGAAGCGAGGCTGCTTCCCAGCCCAGCACCTCAGCTGCCTGGAAAGCCCATTCCACAGCCTCAGAGAAGGATCCAGGACCACAGGCAGGGGCTGGAGCTGGAGCGAAAGACAAGGGGCCAGAGCCAACCTTCAAGCCATACTTACCCCCAAAAAGAGCTGGCACCCTGAAGGACTGGAGCAAGCAGAGGACCAAGGAGAGAGGTGAGTCCTGTCCCCCTTTGATCTAAGTCTTATTCACAACAGAGAAGGCAAACTCTTTGGCCAAGATGGCAGAGCAAGTTAGTGACAAAGGAGGACTAGACCCCCCCGCTCACCAATGCCATCTCTGTGCCAGGCAGCAGACACAGAAATGACTGGCACATTGGCATGGCTGGAGGGGCCAGGAGAACACACACGGCGAAGGGATGAGTGCTGTGGGAAGGAGGTGCCTATGAAGCAGGAGCACAAAAGAGGCTGAGGGCTGGGGAGTCAGCAGGGGAAGGAAGGAGAAGTCCAGGATGTTTGGAAGCGCAGGGCATGGGTCTAGCTGGAGGCCAGGCTTCACATGCAGACGTGATAAAAGATGAGGCTGAAGACAGAAGTCATAAGGACAGGCCTCGTGGGCCAGCTTCAGGACGTGGTACTCCATTCTGACCAGGATGGGAGTGAGCAGCGTCTGAAGGATTTTAGACAAGAGCACGGGGTCAGGTGTGCCCATCAGAAAGTTTGCTCCAGGAGCAGAGGAAATGCAGCAGGAGCTAGGTATTCGAAGCCACTTGGAGTTCTTTCTAGGCTAGGGGAAGCAGGCTAGGCAGGTAGTGGAGGGAAGGAGGGATGGGCCAAGGAGAAGCCAGGTTTCTAGCCTGTGGGACTGCAAGGGGGTGGATAGGCCCTTACTGAGGTGTGGGTAAGAGAAAGAGCAGAGCTTGGGGAAGGGCACATACTGAGTGTGAAATGCCGAGGGACATCCAGGTGGAGAAGCCCAGGAGACAGCAGGGGCTACAGGGACTGAACTGGAGAGAGAGCTTGTGTAGCCAGCTAAGGGAAGGTGGCCAGGGAACTGTGCTGAAAATCGCTGTGCCAGGATGCTGCCTCTGCTCCCTCAAAGCCCTGCCTGCAGTATTGTCACCTTCCCTATTAGTGGCTCCAGCCCTGCTTGGAGGGGCCTTCTTGGACTCTTGCCTGTGAGCCCTAAGTTGGTCTGTCAAGGTTGGGATGACAAATGTCCACTCTTTGGACATGCATCAAAGGCTGGCCCCAAAAGTTCTCAACTTAAAATTTTATAAAGATTTCCAGCCCTCAGCCCCATTTGATACGTCTTAGTTCAACAGAGGAATCTGGAGTTTCTTCGAGTTCCAAAATGTTCAGGATTTGGCTTGCAGTGATGCCAGGGCAATGAAGAGAGGAGTGGCCAGGACAGGCCCCTGCCAGCCCAGGGTGTCACTTCTGAGAAACTAGAGGTGGCAGCTGTTGCAAGGCTGGGGTGACTTGATTGTACTGGCCTGTCACCAGAGGTCCCCTTCCTGCTTGGGCTCTGAGGTGGCTTAAGGAGAGTCCCTGCTTATGAAGATTTGATGGTAATTGAAGAAAAGAATTTTAAAAGCCTGTGCGTGTGGCTCACGCCTGTAATCCCAGCACTTTGGGAGGCTGAGGCGGGTGGATCACCTAAGGTCAGGAGTTCGAGACCAGCCTGGTGAAACCCCATCTCTACCAAAAATACAAAAATTAGCCGGGCGTGGTGGCAGGTGCCTGTAATCCCAGCTACTCAGGAGGCTGAGGCAGGAGAATCGCTGGAACCTGGGAGGCAGAGGTTGCAGTGAGCCAAGATTGTGCCATTGCACTCCAGCCTGGGCAACAAAAGCAAAACTCTATCTTGAAAAAAAATTTTTTTTTAAAAGGAGAGCCCCCTCCCTATGTTGTTTTCACAGAAAGCCCTGCCCCTGAGCAGCCTCTGCCCGAGGCCAGTGAGGTGGACAGCCTAGGGGTTATCCTCAAAGTGACTCACCCCCCCGTGGTGGGCAGCGATGGCTTCTGCATGTTCTTTGAGGACAGCATCATCTATACCACGGAGATGGACAACCTCAGGCACACAACACCCACAGCCAGTCCCCAGCCCCAAGGTGAGGCTCTGGAGCCAGGCCGAGCCCTGCGCCTCCTCGTGAGGATGCCTGAGCCCCCTCCCAGGGTACTTCAGGCAGAGACAGTGGCCCCTGGGGGCCCTACCCCTCTCCCCCTCCTCACACTGTCTCTAAGGCCCTAGCTATTGACAGATGTGGCCACATCCACTTTCCCTCCTCCACAGAAGTGACTTTCCTGAGTTTCTCTCTGTCCTGGGAAGAGATGTTTTATGCACAGAAATGTCACTGCTTCCTGGCTGACATCATCATGGATTCCATCAGGCAAAAGGACCCCAAAGCCATCACAGCCAAGGTGGTCTCCCTGGCCAATCGGCTGTGGGTATGTGTGACAGGCCTCAGGCCCTGGGGCACCCTGTACCTTCTCCACCTCTTCCCCTGCCCCACAATAAGTGGTGCAAGGCAAGAGGAAGTAAGCCAAGATGGGGTTAAGGAGAAGGCCAGGGCCAGAAGAGTGGTGGGACAGGGAGGCAAGCAGAGCAGTTGCACCTGGACTGAGCCTCGGCCAAGAGGCAGATTTGCAGTGACAGTGCCCGCCCCCTACCCCTGTGGCTCTGTGGGCCCAGAGAAGTCCCCGCTCTGCATCTCACTCTGAGGGGCTAGGAGCTGCCCTAGCACTGCCTGACTGTGGGCTCTCCTGGCAGACCCTGCACATCAGCCCCAAGCAGTTTGTGGTAGATTTGCTGGCCATCACCGGCTTCAAGGATGACCGGCACACCCAGGAGCGCCTGTACAGCTGGGTGGAGGTGAGGGCCACTTGCAATCCCTGGGAATCCACCGACCCTGTGGATGCCTCAGATGGACGTGTGTCTTGCTGCACCAGGGCTGGGCCAGCACTGCCCAGAAGGCTAGACAGGCAGCTTAGGCCACTGCTCCCAGGGAGGGAGAAACTGCATGAAATTAACCAATCCAGAGTAGTCCAAAAGCAGTATTCAGGCCACTGGTTTTTACAGTTTTCCTCCAATGATACCAGCTGTGCCTTCATCACTAACAACCCTGGCCACACTTAGGGACACATATCATATGAGCCCAAGCTTTGACTCATATGGGAGTGAGGCCTTTTCAACCAGTGATACCAGCTTCACCTATCTGGCCACGATGTCACCAATTGTGTACATTCCTTTCATTTCTAAACTACTTTTAAGCATTCTTAGGCCGGGCGCGGTGGCTCACGCCTGTAATCCCAGCACTTTGGGAGGCCGAGGCGGGTGGATCATGAGGTCAGGAGATCGAGACCATCCTGGCTAACACAGTGAAACCCCGTCTCTACTGAAAACACAAAAAAATTAGCCAGGCGTGGTGGTGGGCGCCTGTAGTCCCAGCTACTCAGGAGGCTGAGGCAGGAGAATGGCGTAAACCCGGGAGGCGGAGCTTGTAGTGAGCCGAGATCGTGCCACTGCACTCCAGCCTGGGTGACAGAGCGAGACTCCGTCTCAAAAAAAAAAAAAAAAAAAAAAAAAAAAGAAAATATTCAGTAAGGGCAAAGGAATGATCAAGGGTTTTTTTCTTTTTCCTTTTCTGATTCCTTAATCTAATTTTAACATTGAGGCCGAAACGATTTAGGCAGTTTCTCATTGATCTGACACTTCTATAATCAAGAGCATTATTATAACACCTTTCACCACAAGCCCTCTAGTACCCAGTTACCATTAGGCATCTGGCTCATATGTGGTTTGTAAAGGTGAAGTCAGCATGTATGGCTAAAAAGCAGAAAACCAGTAGCAGGAAACAGATTTTTGAACCTCCGGTCTTTCTGCTTTGTTCCCTGATAGCCATTTCTAGCCCCACCCTGTGAGATGCCCTGGGGCAGAGCTGGGCCCTAGAGCATCAAAAGTCCCCAACAGCCGGGCTTGCCCTG